>NW_015495299.1:0-300000 GCF_000001405.40 Homo sapiens | reverse complement strand
CAATCAACAGAGCCATACAGATTATACAAGTTAGAACACTAATTTCTGGGTGGAGCATTAAAACAACAGGTACATAAGTAGGCGTTGACTTCCGGTACATGTGCTGTGTTCTCTTTTCAAACTGTCAAAGTGAAGCATGGGGGCTGACATGCAGATCAGGCTGCAAATGCCTTTTATGACAAGAATTCGATCTCAGCATCGTGAAAATAGGTATCATTAATTTCCATTTGATTCAATTATTCTTTGAAAAGGAAAAACTTTCTTTCTTTCTCCCAATCTCGCTGCCTTTAAAACTGATAAAAACATTTGTATCCCTAAAATTAGTTCGCTTTTCTGTTCAAGGTTTTCAATGCCAACTCAAGAAAAACGTTATTGTGAAGATTATATGCAATTCAGCTAAGCTTCCTGAAAGATTCTATTCATTTCTCAAATCAATGTCTTTCAAATACATCTCCCTCATCTCAATTCTCTCACTGTCTAAGGACCTTCCATCTTCGACTTCCATTGTGGTAACAGGCTCCTGAATGATTGTCTTACTTCCATTCAAATTCTTTTCCAAACCATCTTGCAAACTGCTACCAGATGATCTTTACAAAAACAAATATTCTGTCACATCACTCCTTGCTACAAACATTTTTACATGCTTTGGGAGCAATGGAATAAAATCCAAACCCTTAAGCATGACATTCAAAGGCCTTTGTCATCAGAACACTCCCATTTATGTTGTCCCTTCTCGAGCCAAATCAGAATACTTTCATTCTTCCTAATACACCAAAGAATATTGTCATTTGTCTTAATGCCTGGCATTAAGTAATAAATGACATGGGAACTACAGCTAGGCAAGCTGCATCTCTATTACAGGATAAGCTATGCCAGGGGTTGGAGTGTGAGGGTTGTTCTACCACCTCCCAACTGGCAGCAGCAACAATATCACCACCCAACCTTCAATTTCCATCTAACCTCCCTTTGCTTCCCTTGGGTGAATAAACAGGGTCTCTTTTTAACGTGTTGCTGTGCCTCAACGCCTTCCAAGCAGAGATCGTTCATCTGAATGGCAACAAAATACTCTACTGATGCCAAACATCTTGAGTACATTCTGGGGTGTAGTATAGTTTATGTTTGACAGTGGAAAATACTGAGCAATGTCCCAAATACCACCCCCTGGGGCAACACACACATATACATGTTTCAAAAAATCTTTCTTCCCTAAGAAGACAGCCCTTGAAAAACAGCTTGCTGACCATATGTTTGCTAGGTCATGGATCTGTGGTTTTTACTGGAGAATTTCTCTCTTGTGTCCATCAATTCTTTCTATTCATTCTTTTCTTTTCTTTTTTTTTTTTCTTTTTAGATGAAGTCTCACTCTATTGCCCAGGCTGGAGTGCAGTGGCACCATCTTTGCTCATTGCAACCTCCACCTCCTGAGTTCAAGCAATTCTCCTCCCTCAGCCTCCTGAGTAGCTGGGACTACAGGCACGCACAACCACACCCACCTAATTTTTCTATTTTTAGTAGAGATGGGGTTTCACCATGTTGGCCAGGCTGGTCTTGAACTCCTGACCTCAAGTGATCTGCCTGCCTCAGCCTCTCAAAGTGCTGGGATTATAGGCGTGAGCCACCGCTCCCTGCCTTTTCTATTCCTCCCTGTTATCCGGTCAGAAGCAAAATACATGTTCCCCCAAGGGCCCCTGTGGTGTTAACAGGAGACACATTCAGAGCTTGAGTTCTTTTTACCAGAGTGTGTGAGGAACTCTACACAGGCAACCTACGTAGACAGAGTTCACAATATCAAGTCCTTCTCTCTGTTCAAATCAGCTTAGAGCCTAAACTGCCTTAAGATTCTGTGAGGTGTACATTTTTGCAGTGATCCATGAAAAACCTATCTAACTCAACAATACAGAACAAAATTAAACCTCTCTTCATTCGCCAAATGTTCTGCCAGAAGGAATCTTTGTGTTTTGTCCAGGTAGATGAACAAAATGTTTCCCTCTATAGCCAAACCTCATCTAAAGCCACATTTTAAAGTTTAATGTTACACAGTTCTACCAGGTGTCCTTCCCCAAAATCATCTGGATTTTATAGACTGTTTATTATTACACTTTCTGCCAGAACTCTTGCAGTAAAATTTATTTATTCAGAAAAGAGTTTCAGCTTTGCCATCTATTACACCTGAATAGATCAGACACTAGATTGTTTAATTCAATAGGTAGTTCTATGCTCCACAACCACATGATTTGCCATTTGAGTATCTAGGTGGAAGTAACCCAGGAATGTGATAACGTGGGTCCTCCAAGCAGCTGAATCCCTGCAGTAAATATGTCCCTTCACTTTCTTTGGAACATAAACCAGAGACTTCATAGAGGTTCTCTGAACTTTGCTTCACACCAAGCATTTTTCACACATTTTTAAGAGACTTGGGTGGCCCTACATATATCCCTGTTCACAATACAGCTTGGAGGTTAAGTGGCTACACAAACTTTTTATGATCATAGAGACCTTTATTAGTCTTCATTTCAGTCAGAATTATTTATTTGCCTTTCAGCAGCACATATGGTTTAAGACAAATACAGTAGCTATTTCTTCTTTTCTGTCAAGTCGAAAAGCCTTATCCTGGCATTGTTATTGTGCTCTTCCAAACTGAGAAAACTACATGGACATCTCAATGGAAAGTCACTGCCATCCAAGACCACTTGATCCTGCGTGTTTAATGATCCTCTTTATTTTAAACCTGGATTTAAAGACCTAATGCTGCTGGGTGTGGTGGCTCACACCTGTAATCCCAGCATTTTGGGAGGTCAAAGGGGATGGAGCACTTGAGGTCAGGAGTTCAAGGCCAGCCTGTCCAACGTGGCAAAACCTTGTCTCTACTAAAAATACAAAAATTAGCCAGGTGTGGTGGCACACGCCTGTAATCCCAGCTACTTGGGAGGCTGAGGCACAAAGAGCACTTGATTTTTCATACTTGATTCTCGAGTGAGAATTGCTTGAATCTGGGAGGTGGAGGTTGCAGTGACCCAAGATTGCGCCACTCCACTCCAGCCTGAATGACAGAAAGAGACTCTGTCTCAAAAATTAAAAAAAGAGACCTAATATCCACCTACTATCTGTCTTCATTTTTGGTTACTGCCCACCACAGCTTCTTTCTATTGCCCAGACATCCCTCCTATTCACCTCTGATCCTTCATTCACATCCTCCCATCATCTCTCAAAAACTACTTGTATATATGCATATGTATATATGTGTGTGCATGTATCTATGTTTATCTTCACACGGCTAAGTTGAGGAAAAATTTCCCCCATTTTCTTTTTGTGTCTCTTTTTGTCCTTTCTTTCTTATCCCACCAAAAATAAACAGAGAAATACAACACAACATGATTGATTATACAGTGTAATACCACTTTTTAATAATTTAAAGAAACATCTCTATAGGCCCTTAAATTTAAGTCGGCAGAAATGCTCAAGGTAGTAAGCTTTCTTTGTAAACACATTTTTCCTTTGAGAGCACCGATATTACTTTGAGATTGCATTATCACACAGTTCATTTTCACGATCTAATCTCCACAGATTGGGTCTGTCAATTCCTACCTGTAAGCTGTGCTCTGCCCCAAAGTTGCGCTCAACCATGTTTCTAGTTCAAAGTATAACTTAGCAGACACCTGACCCACTTCTACTTCATTCTTTTTTTTATTTTATTTTTTGAGATGGAGTCTCATTCTGTTGCCAGACTGGAGTGCAGTGGTGTGATCTCAGCTCACTGCAACCTCCGCCTTACTGCGCCTGGCTAATTTTTGTGTTTTTAGTAGAGATGGGGTTTTCCCATGTTGGCCAGGCTGGTCTCGAACTCCTTACCTCAAGTGATCTGCCCGTCTTGGCCTCCCAAAATGTTGAGATTACAGGCATGAGCTACTGGGCCTGGCCTTCATTCTCTTTTTTGGAAAAAAATGTATTCTTATTTTCATAGAGGCAGGGTCTTCACTGTGTTGCCCAGGGTGGTCTTGAACTCCTGGGCTCAAGCAGTCCCCTCGCCTCAGCCTCCAAAAGTGCTGGGATTACAGGTGTGGGCCCCTGTGCCTGGCCTACTTCATTATCTAATCAGGGTAACTGGGTTACTGCCTAGTGAGCTATGATTCTGCCACTGCTCTCCAGCCTGGGTGACAGAGCAAAACCCCTGTCTTAAAAAAAAAAAAAAAAAAAGGCAGCAGAGTCTTACCAGCAGCACCTCTTTAACCCACCATAGTCAACTGCAAAACCTCCTTCATGTTAAGTCTTCATGGCTAAAAAGGGGATTTCCTAAATAGCTCCCTAACCATTGCTGGGGTAAGAGTTCCTCCTCAAAAGGCCAGCTTCTTTCCCTTTCTGTCCCCTCTAAGGGAAGCTCCCCTCTCCCTCCTCCAGTGAGCTTCTGAAGCCATAACCATTGTGAGAAATAGCTCCTACCTCAAAGACTTCTTATAACATCTTGTCACAGGAGGTGAGCACTGCCAGGGCTCCACCACAGTGCTCAAAGGTAGGGCCTAGAGAAGTTATATTAGTTAGGATACATGTTCAGCTGCTTTAACAAAAGCCCATTCCGGCCGGGCGCGGTGGCTCACACCTGTAATCTCAGCACTTTGAGAGGCCGAGGCAGGCGGATCACAAGGTCAGGAGATCGAGACCATCCTGGCTAACACGGTGAAACCTCATCCCTACTAAAAACACAAAAAATTAGCCAGGCATGGTGGTGGGCACCTGTAGTCCCAGCTACTCAGGAGGCTGAGGCAAGAGAATGGCATGAACCTGGGAGACAGAGCTTGCAGTGAGCCAAGATTGCGCCACTGCACTCCAGCCTGGGTGACAGTGTGAGACTCCATCAAAAAAAAAAAAAAGCCCATTCCACAGACCCACACGGTTTTGTGAGAAAAAAATAGCCCAAAAGGATTCCAGGAGAATATTTTCACTTAGTAATCCAAAGGAGGTGGTCCAGAAAAGTAGGGCAGCTCTGTTCCACGAGGTCACCCAGGGGTCCAAACTTCTTTTTGTGAAAAACCATGTTTTCTTCATTTACTTGGTGCAAGGTGGCTCATCACTGCATCTATATTCTAGCCCATGAGAAGAGGAGGAAAGGGGATGTATAAGGCCTTGGACTCTGGTACAGAAGGCTCCAAAGTCTGGGGGTTATATTGGACTTCATTAAGAAAACTGTTGGTTCTGTCTACAAAATATACCTAGAATCTAATCATTTCCCATCACCTTCACTGCTACCACCTAATCCAAGCCACCGTCATCTCTGGCCAGGATTATTGCAATAATTTTCTATCTGGTCTGCCCATTTCTTACTTGTTTGCCCCACCATTATACCTAACAGTCTATTCTCAACACAGCAGAAAGAGGGATCTTTCTATAACAAAAATCAGATTGCTTTTCCCCTTTGCGAAAATCATTCAAAGGCTGAAAAGCATCTATATGATGTAACCTCCTACATTCTTGTTGAATTTTTTTCCTTCTTTTCTTCCTCTTGCTCGGTTTTCTCATCCTGCCCTAGACATACTGGCATCCTTATTGCTTCTAGAATATGTTAGACATACTTCTGCCATAGCAGTGGTGCCTGGAACACTCTTGCTGGAAATATCCACGACTAATTCCCTCACCTCTGTCAAGCCTTTGCAGTTATTTTTTCAACGAGTCTTTCTCAGACCACCTTATTGAAAGCTAAAACCAGGCTGGGTGCAGTGGCTTAAGCCTGTAATCCTAGCATTTGGGATGCTGAGGTGGGCAGATCACTTGAGGTCAGAAGTTTGAGACTAGCCTGGCCAACATGGTGAAACCCCATCTGTACTAAAAATATGAAAATTAGCTGGCTGTGGTGGCTCACGCCTGTAATCCCAGCTACTTGGAGGCTGAGGCAGGAGAATCGCTGGAACCCAGGATGTGAAGGTTGCAGTGAGTCGAGATCATGCCACTGCACTCCAGCCTAGGCAACAAAGCAAGACTGTCTTAAAGAAAAGAAAGAAAGAAAGAAAGTTAAAAACCACCTTCTATTCCCTTTATCCTTTTCAATTTTTTCATCTTTCTGTAGTACTTACCATCTTTTAATATACAATGTAATTTTATAATATTACTTTTTTACTATCTATCCCTGCCTGGTAAATATAAAATCTAAGAGGGAAGAAATAGTTGTCTGTCTTATTTAGTGAAGTATCTCAATCAGCTAGAATAGTGCCTGAACAATGTGAGCAATTAACAAATATTGGCTGAATGAATGAGTGATCGGGATTCAGAAATGGTGGTTGCCACTCCTGAGTTAGTCTTATGGGTTGGATGGTAACCCTCCTCCCCCACCAAAAAAAAGATATGTTGAAGTCCTAACCCCCATTACCTCAGACTGTGACCTTATTTGAAATGGGGTCTAGGTTGGGCACGGTGGCTCACACCTGTAATCCCAGCACTTTGGGAGGCCGAGGCGGCTGGATCACGAGGTCAGGAGTTTGAGACCAGCCTGGCCAATATAGTGAAACCCCGTCTTTACTAAAAATAAAAAAATTAGCCGTATGTGGTGGCGCACATCTGTAGTCCCAGCTACTCAGGAGGCTGAGGCAGAAGAATCGCTTGAAACCGGGAGACGGAGGTTGCAGTGAACCGAGATCATGCCACTGCACTCAAGCCTAGGCAACAAGAGCGAAACCTGTCTTAAAAAAAAAAAAAAGAGAGAGAGAGAGAAATGGGGTTTTTACAGAGGCAATAGAATAGAAAATAGAATGAGGTATTAGGGTGGGCCCTAATTCAAAATGACTGGTGTGTTTATATAAAGGGGAAATTTAGACAGTCACACAGGGAGAATGCTATGTGAAGATGTAGGCAGAGATCAGCGTAACACATGTACAAGCCAAGGAAGGCCAAAGTTTGCCAGCAAACCACAAGAAGCTAGGCAAGAGCCATGGAAAAGATGTTCCAGGACAGCCCTCAGAAGGAAACAACCTTGATTTCAGACTTAGTCTCCAGACTGTGAGACAATACATTTCTGTTGTCTTAGGCCAACCAGTTTCTGTTGCTTTGTTACAGCAGCCCTAGGAAATGAATACATTTAGTCTCTAGATATTTGGGAAGGTTTAAATGAGGTCTGGAAACTTACTTAGATCTGGAAGTACCTGAAAACTGTAAAGCAGTGGCCAAACAAGTTATAATAGGTAAACAAGAGTATGTCTTCAAAAGTTAACTGTGTCTACTCAAGGACTCAGTAGGACAGTTGCTAAGTTCTGCCGTTTCTCTTTTCTCCACTCTATCCCTACCCCTCACCATCATCATCAAACAAAAACATCTGCTGTAAGTCTTAGGGGAATTCCTAAGCTCCTATTTCCCATAAAGGATTCAGGTGAGCATCAACCAGCTGTTCTTGAAGCTTTTTCTCCAAGGCTGAACTACACCTTAAATCTAATGTGTTCATCTGCTTCCTGGAAGATTAGGAACCTCTCTGGTGCAGGGCTTTCTGTTTGAAGGTGTTCTATTCAGATAGATCACTCATCCTCAAGGCATACACACACACACGTAAACATACCAGTATCCCACCCTCCAATCCCCTGCCCCAACAGAATGCGGAAGAAGACGGTTGCCTTCAACAGGCCCTGCGATGATCACACTGTCCCAGCAGGGTCAATAATGACATTGGAAGGGGAGGCTCCTGACTTTTGGTGAGGATAGTGGTTAGAAGCTATTAGGGGTCTTCCATGGGCTTTTCTTTGTTTGGGGAATGAGATTCTGTTTAGGGTTTTATAAGGTGATTCAGACCACCCCATGGGCCATATGGCTTCTGAATTGCTAACAGCCTAAAGGAACAGATCATAGGCACCTGTAAGGTAAGGATGTCCTAGTACACAGAAAAGACAAAGTTTTAGACTAAGCTGGGAAGGATCTGACACTGGGGAGAGTCAGCCACCAGAAGGAGTAAGTGAGAGGGCAGAGTGAGATCCCAGGCCTGAAAGAATGGGGCAGCATGACAGGAGCCAATTCTTGCTCACTGGAATAGGACACACGAAGGAAGGGATTTGGTGTCCAGGAATAAGCCAAGATCCTGATGATAGAACTGTGGGTCAGCCAGGTGCGGTGGCTCACTCCTGTAATCGCAGCACTTTGGGAGGCTGAGACGGGTGGATCACGAGGTCAGGAGTTCAAGACCAGCCTGGCCAAGAAGGTGAAACCTTGTTTCTACTAAAAATACAAAAAAAATTAGCGGGGCATGGTGGCAGTTGTAATCCCAACTATTCTGGAGGCTGAGGCAGGAGAATCACTTGAACTCGGGGGACAAAGGTTGCATGAGCCGAGATCACGCCACTGCACTCCAGCCTGGGTGACAAAGTGAGACTCCATCCAAAAAAAAAAGGAACTGTGGGTCAAGGTTGGAGAGAGTCTGGCAGTGACCCTGACTTAGGGGTGAACTCACAAAATCTCACCTGAAGTTTTAAAATTATCTTTGGTTTGGAATGGGAGCCAATCATTTCTTAAGCATCTGTTAATCACCTGTGATATATTAAGGTGTACAAGGCACTGGGGGTACAGCCATGACAGTCCTTATTCTCAAAGAGTTCACAGTCTAATAGAGAAGAAATTAAAAATAAATTAATGACAACATAACGTGTTAAGTGTGATAAGACAAGTATGACAGAAGGGGGAATGCTGTAGTGGTTAAGAGCTCAGGCCATGGGTCCAACAGATCTGACTTTAGATCCTGACTCTGCAATTGCAGGTTGTGTGATCTTGAGTAAGTTACTAAGCTTCTATAAGCTTCAGTGTTGTTTGTTAAAAATGAGACCAATAATAGTACAGTTGATCCTTGAACAACATGGGTTTCAACTGTGCAGATTCACTTAGGCATAGATTTTCTCCCTCTGCCCCTACCACCCCGAGACAGCAAGACTCACCCATCTTCTTCCCCCTCCACAACCTACTTATTGTAAAGATGATGAGGATGAAGCCCTTTATGATGGTCCACTTCCACTTAATGGCTAGTAAATACATGTTTTCTTCCTTATGGTTTCCTTTTTTTTTTTTTTTTTTTTTTGAGGTGGAGTTTTGCTCTTGTTACCCAGGCTGGAGTGCAGTGGTATGATCTTGGCTCACTAAAACCTCCACCTCCCAGTTCAGGCAATTCTCCTGTCTCAGCCTCCCAAGCAGCTGGGATTACAGGCATGCACCACCATACCCGGCTAATTTTGTATTTTTAGTAGAGACAGGGTTTCACCATGTCAGTCAGGCTGGTCTCGAATTCCTGACCTTAGATGATTCACCCACCTCGGCCTCCCGAAGTGCTGGGATTATAGGCGTGAGCCACTGCTCTCAGCCCCTTATGATTTCCTAATAACATTTTCTTTTCACTGGCTTACTTTATTGCAAGAATACGTATATAATACATAAAACATACAAAATATGTGTTAATTGATACTTTATGTCATTAGTAAGGCTTTTGATCAACAGAAGGCTATTAATAGTTAAGTTTTGGGGGAGTCAAAAGTTATATGCAAGTCAAGTTTGGTGGTATGTTCCTGTAGTCTCAGCTACTTAGGAGGCTGAGTTGGGAGGAATCCTTGAGCTCAGGAATTTGAATCCAGCCTGGGCAACATAGTGATACTCGTTTCTAAAAAAAAAAATAATAGGGCCAGGCATGGTGGCTCACACCTGTAATCCCAGCACTTTGGGAGACTGAGATGGGCAGATTACTTGAGGTCAGGAGATCAAGACAGCCAGCCTGGCCAACATGGTGAAACTCTGTCTCTACTAAAAATACAAAAATTAGCCAGCATGGTGGCAAAAGCCTGTAGTCCCAGGTACTTGGGAGGCTGAGGGAGGAGAATCACTTGAACCTAGGAGGCAGAGGTTGCAGTGAGCCGAGATCGCACCACTGCACTCCAGCCTGGGCATCAGAGTGAGAGAGTTGGTCTCAATAATAATAATAAGTCCGGGCATGGTAGCTTATGCCTAAAATCCCAATACAACACTTTGGGAGGCCAAGGTGGGCGGATCACCTGACGTCAGGAGTTCAAGACCAGCCTGGCCAACAAAGTGAAACACCATCTCTACTATAAATATAAAAATTAGCAAGGCGTGGTGACAGACACCTGTAATCCCAGCTATTAGGGAGGCTGAGGCAGGAGAATCACTTGAACCCGGGAGGCGGAGGTTACAGTGAGACGAGATTGTACCACTGCACTCCAGCTTGGGCAACAGGGCAAGACTCTGTCTCAAAATAATAATAATAATAATAATAATAATAATAATAATGGGCTGGGCACAGTTACTCACTCCTGTAATTCCAGCACTCTGGGAGGCTGAGGCAAGAGAATCACTTAAGGCCAAGAGTTCAAGACCAGCCTGGGCAACATAACAAGACCCCATCTCTACAAAAATAAAAATATCAGCCAGGCATGGTGATGTACTTCTGTAGTCCCAGCTACTTGGGAGGTGGAGGTGGGAGAATGACTTGAGCCTAGGAGTTTGAGGCTGCAGTGAGCTATGATTGTGCCACTGCGTTCTGACCTGGGTGACAGTGGCAGACTATGTCTCAATAACAACGAAAAGTTTTATGTAAATTTTTTTTACTGTGTGTGGGGTCAGCGCCTCTAGGCACCCCCCATGTTTTTCAAGGGTCACCTGTACTTACCCACAATGTAAGATCTTTTTTTTTTTTTTAAGAGACAGTTTCTCACTTTGTTGTCCAGGCTTGTCTCAAACTCTTAGGCTCAAGCAATCCTCCTGCCTTGGCCTCCCAAAGCACTGGGATTACAAGTGTATGTAAGATTCTTATGAGGATCAAATTAGATCATACATGTCTGGCATCTAGTAAATTCTCAATAACATTGACTATCATTTTATTATAAATTGTTTTAATAATAACAATAATAATTATTATAATTATCTGCAGGAAGGTAAGTCAGAAAATGTTTCTAAGAAAGGTGGCATTTGAATTGAATATTGAAGAACAAAAAAGTTGCTGGGCTAGGGTTGGGAGGAAGGGAATAAATTGCTTCTGTTTTTTGCCCTGCCGGATTTCTCAGAAGGTTTTAGGTAGGATGATGAATTCAGCGATAGTCAAATTGAATTTGAGATGCCTGTGAGCAACACAGGATGTTTTGACCTCTTTATTCTAACCCTACTATAATCTAAAATTTTACATACTTGCCTCATGTATGATTGTAACTCCATGAAATGAATATAACTATTAATCTTTTTTCTGCTTGATCTTCATTCAATACTACAGATAGAAATAGCACAAAATAAAATGGAAGAAGACAGAGTTACACACAGTATACTTTTGTGCTGATTGAAAAACTGACATTCAAGTCTTCTTAACCCAGAAAAACTGGTCTTGATAAGAAAAAAGGCAGAGGGGCAGGGCGCGGTGGCTTATTCCTGTAATCCCAGCACTTTGGGAGGCCCAGGTGGGTGGATCACGAGGTCAAGAGATCGAGACCATCCTGGCCAACATGGTGAAACCCTGTCTCTACTAAAAATACCTGGAGGCTGAGGCAGGAGAATCACTTGAACCCGGGAGGTGGAGGTTGCAATGAGCCGAGATGGCGCCACTGCACTCCAGCCTGGTAACAAGCAAGACTCCGTCTCAAAAAAAAAAAAAAAAAAAAAAGGCTGGGTGCGGTGGCTCATGCCTGTAATCCCAGCACTTTGGGAGGCCAAGGTGGGCGAATCACCGGAAGTCGGGAGTTCGAGACCACCCTGACCAACATGGAGAAACCCTGTCTCTACTAAAAACACAAAAATTAGCTGGGCGTAGTGGCACATGCCTGTAATTCCAGCTACTCGGGAGGCTGAGGCAGGAGAATTGCTTGAACCCGGGAGGTGAGGTTGAGGTGAGCCAAGATCACACCATTGCACTCCAGCCTGGTCAACAAGAGCAAAATTCTGTCTCAAAAAAAAAAAAAAAAAAAAAAAAAAAAAAAAAAAAAGGGACAGGGAGCGGGCACAAAATAAAACTTACTTTGGTAGAAATTATAAGAGACAAAATTTGGTATGGGCAAAAATAAAGTAAAACTGATTAATAAATCCAATCTTTGGCCAGGCACTCTGGCTTACACCTGTAATCCCAGCACTTTGGGAGGCTGAGATGGGTGGATCACTTGAGATCAGGAGTTTGAGACCAGCCTGGTCAACATGGTGAAACCCTGTCTCTACTAAAAATACAAAAATTAGCCAGGAGTGGTAGCCAGCATCTGTAATCCCAACTACTCAGGAGGCTCAAACAGGAGAATTGCTTGAGCCCAGGAAGCAAAGGCTACAGTGAGCCGAGATCGTGCCATGCATTCCAGCCTCTGTAACGGGAGGTTGTCTCAAAAAAACAAACAAACAAACAAACAAAACAAAAATAGAAGGCTGTCTCAAAAAAAAATCTAATCTTTGTCATAAATTATTATGGAAAAGAATTATTTCAATAAGATAAAAATTTAAATAAAGCTTAATTGCATTCTGTAGGAAATTAATATAGAAATTAAGTGGTCATAATCAAATTTAATCCAAAAGCTACCTTTTGGATGAGAAGCCATCCATATTGATATAATTCTGATTACTATGTTTGCTTTCATAAACATGGACTCAAAACATCCTTGGATGCAAAATCTCAGGTCAAAATCTCCAGTGACATCCAGATGGATTGGTCTAGGAAATAGTAGGAACTCTTTATCTAGAGTTTAAGAAGTCAGGGCAACAACAAATCCAGATTTTTCAGGAAAAAATTTGTTTTGAGGTGGGGTCCTGCTCTGTTGCCCAGGCTGGAGTGCAGTGGCTTGATCATAGCTCGCTGCAGCCTCAAACTCCTGGGCTCATGCAATCCTCTTGCCTTGGCCTCCTGAGTAGTTGGGACTACAGCATGAGCCACTAGATCTGGCTATTTTAAAAATTTATTTTTTGTAGAGACAGGTTTTTGCTATATTTCCCAGGCTGGTCTCAAGCAATCTCCCTGTCTCAGCCTCCCAAAGTGCTGGGATTACAGGTGTGAGCCACTGTGTCTGGCTGAAATACAGATTTTGAAGCTATCACTCTGTAAGTATTAATCCGTTTTCTTTTGCATCTGCCATAAAATAATAATGCATAGTAGGAATCTAATAAATGCTTGTTGAATTCTCTCTAGTCAGCCCTACAAGCATTACGAACTGAAGAATTATAACCGTAGAGTCATTCATTTTAATTTAGCAAGTACTAAATACTTTACAGAAAGGAACTCTCATGCTGGGAGAATGATAATCAGAGTGAAACTGAGGCTCACCAAGACTTGAACATATGGAGTATAACCACAAGTCCTATCAAAAAATATACTATATTTGCTGGGTATAGTTGCTCATGCCTATAATCCCAGCACTTTGGGAGGCTGAGGTAGGAGGATCACTTGAGCCCAGGAGTTCAAGACCAGCCTGGGCAACATAGTGAGACCTCATCTCTACAAAAAATTTAAAAATTAGCTGGGCATGGTCATGAGCACCTGTGGTCCTAGTTATTGGGGTGGCTGAGGTAGGAGGCACTTGAGCCTAGGAGGTCAAGGCTGCAGTGAGCCAAAAGCATGCCATTGCACTCCAGCTTGGGCAACAGAGTGAGACCCTGTCTCAAAAAAAAGAAAAAATAATACTATGTCTGGTCCATAACCTGAAATATTTTTATCTTCACGTTCCTTATCATTCACTGAACTTTTATTTTTCTTTTAAAATTTTTTCTTTCTTTTTAAATTTGCTTCTACAGATTTCTTCATTCTCCATTTAGCAAGGTCATGGAAGATTTGGAGGAAACATTATTTGAAGAATTTGAAAACTATTCCTATGACCTAGACTATTACTCTCTGGAGTCTGATTTGGAGGAGAAAGTCCAGCTGGGAGTTGTTCACTGGGTCTCCCTGGTGTTATATTGTTTGGCTTTTGTTCTGGGAATTCCAGGAAATGCCATCGTCATTTGGTTCACGGGGTTCAAGTGGAAGAAGACAGTCACCACTCTGTGGTTCCTCAATCTAGCCATTGCGGATTTCATTTTTCTTCTCTTTCTGCCCCTGTACATCTCCTATGTGGCCATGAATTTCCACTGGCCCTTTGGCATCTGGCTGTGCAAAGCCAATTCCTTCACTGCCCAGTTGAACATGTTTGCCAGTGTTTTTTTCCTGACAGTGATCAGCCTGGACCACTATATCCACTTGATCCATCCTGTCTTATCTCATCGGCATCGAACCCTCAAGAACTCTCTGATTGTCATTATATTCATCTGGCTTTTGGCTTCTCTAATTGGCGGTCCTGCCCTGTACTTCCGGGACACTGTGGAGTTCAATAATCATACTCTTTGCTATAACAATTTTCAGAAGCATGATCCTGACCTCACTTTGATCAGGCACCATGTTCTGACTTGGGTGAAATTTATCATTGGCTATCTCTTCCCTTTGCTAACAATGAGTATTTGCTACTTGTGTCTCATCTTCAAGGTGAAGAAGCGAAGCATCCTGATCTCCAGTAGGCATTTCTGGACAATTCTGGTTGTGGTTGTGGCCTTTGTGGTTTGCTGGACTCCTTATCACCTGTTTAGCATTTGGGAGCTCACCATTCACCACAATAGCTATTCCCACCATGTGATGCAGGCTGGAATCCCCCTCTCCACTGGTTTGGCATTCCTCAATAGTTGCTTGAACCCCATCCTTTATGTCCTAATTAGTAAGAAGTTCCAAGCTCGCTTCCGGTCCTCAGTTGCTGAGATACTCAAGTACACACTGTGGGAAGTCAGCTGTTCTGGCACAGTGAGTGAACAGCTCAGGAACTCAGAAACCAAGAATCTGTGTCTCCTGGAAACAGCTCAATAAGTTATTACTTTTCCACAAATCAGTATATGGCTTTTTATGTGGGTCCTCTGACTGATGCTTTCAGATTAAAATTGTTTCCAAGATAGAGAGCCGACTCCACTTTCATAGTTATTGTTTCTGGTCACTATATAGGCATCACATTTTTGTGTGGATATGAAACTTAGGAAGGATCCTCTTGACTCCTTGTGATGTGGCAATAAATTTTTTTTAAAAAACTGAAAATACTTAGGAAGGATCCGCATAATTTTTTTCTGCAACTTAAATGAAATGCATCATTCTTGTTAATTATACCATGGTGAATTAATCACTTTTGAAGCAATATCAGTTATTTTTTGAATAATAACTTTTCTAAAGCCTTAAGTCTTAATATTAAATATATGATTAGCCAGGCACGGTGGCTGACACCTGTAATCCCAGCACTTTGGGAGGCCAAGGTGGGGGGATTACCCGAGGTCAGGAATTCGAGACCAGCCTGACCAACATGGAGAAACCCCGTCTCTACTAAAAATACAAAATTAGCCGGTCATGGTGGTGCATGTCTGCAAACCCAGCTACTCGGGAGGCTGAAGCAGGAGAATCACTTGAACCTGGGAGGCAGAGGTTGTGGTGAGCCAACATCACACCATTGCACTCCAGCCTGGGCAACAAGAGTAAAACTCTGTCTCAAAAATAAATAAATAAAATAGATAAATAAATATATGATTAACTAATTTTAAAAATGTTAAAATGTATTCTTAAATTCATTTTAATTTTGTACAATAACCTGCTAGACACATTTTTAAAATGCAACATGTGTACTTAATTTCTTTATGTAATCTATGTATATACATTTATGAATTAAAGTAATTGTTGGTTATCTTAAAACATCTGTTCTAGTTAATGATTTGGGAGATTTTTTCTTCTTTCTCCCACTCTCTCTGTTTTTTATAGTAGGAACAGCCTTTATTGGTTGCAATGGGAAGTGGAAGAGGAGGGGATATGACAGCTCATGTTCCTGGGACAGTGTCCACAAATACCGTCGCCACACTCCAAAAACCCAGTTAACTAATGATGCTTAATAAACTCCTCCTAAACCTAGTTCTTAAAACAGTTTATACTTTTGATATAATTCTCACAATTCTGAGGGTCAGGAATTCAAAGAAGTCAGAAAAGAGGTTCATCTCTCTCTGCTTTGCAATATCTGGAGCATCAGCTGGACTGAGATGATGCAAATCGAAGCTGGAAGCTGCCTAAGACATCCCCTTCCCTCCCTCCCTCTCCCCTCCCAACACAGCTATTCCACCATGGCATTTCAGGGTCGCCAGACTTCTAATGTGGCAACTCAGGGCTCCAAGAGGCCAAGGTGGAAATTTCTAGTCCTGTTAAAGGCTATGACTGGCACAGGTACAGTATCACTTCTATTGTATTGTATTGGTCAAAGCAGGCATAGACCAGCTCATGTTCAAGGGGAAGAGACACAGATCCCCATCTCTCAACGGAAAGAATGTCAAAAAAAATTGCACCAATCTTTAATCCTCTACGGTATCATTATAAACAGAAATGCTTTTAGAAAATTCTGGGTATCAGGTACCTATCAATGGTAGATTGGATAAACAAAGTGTGGTACATATACATCATGGACTACTGCACAGCCATAAAAAAGAATGAAATCGTGTCCTTTGCAGCAACATGGATGGAACTGGAGGCCATTATCCTAAGTAAATTAGTGCAGGACAGAAAACCAAATACTGCATGTTCTCACTTGTAAGTGGGAGCTGAGGCTGGGCTCGGTGGCTAATGCCTGTAATCCCCGCACTTTGGGAGGCCAAGATAGGCGGGTCACCTGAAGTCAGGAGTTCAAGACCAGCCTGGTCAACAAGGTGAAACCCCGTCTCTACTAAAAATACAAAAATTAGCCAGGTGTGGTGGCACGCACCTGTAGTCCCAGCTACTCGGGAGGCTGAGGCAAGAGAATCACTTGAACCTGGGAGGCGGAGGTTGCAGTGAACCGAGATTGCGCCACTGCACTCTAGCCTGGGCAACAGAGTAAGACTGTCTCAAAAAAAAAAAAAAAAAAAAAAAAAAAAAAAAAAAGCCTGGGCGGCTGGGTTCAGTGGCTCACACTTGTAATTCCAGCACTTTGGGAGGCCGAGGAGGGGTGGATCACAAGGTCAGGAATTCGAGACCAGCCTGACCAACATGGTGAAACCCCATCTCTACTAAAAATCCAAAAAATTAGCTGGGCGTGGTGGCATGTGCCTGTAATCCCAGCTACTCAGGAGGCTGAGGCAGAAGAATCACTTGAACCCAGGAGGTAGAGGTTGCAGTGAGCTGAGATTGAGCCACTGCACTCCAGCCTGGGCAACAGAGCGAGACTTGGTCTCAAAAAAAAAAAACAACCACCTGTTGGGGTACTGTGCTCACTACCAGGGTGAGAGGATTCATACTTTAAACCTCAGCATCACACAATATTCCCACGTAATGAATCTGCACATGTACCCCCACTAACTAAAATAAAAGTTGAAATTTAAAAAAAAAGGAAATGGCTATGTAAACGTGTATAAACTAAGGGTATATATGAAAACACTGACATTCAGATGGCAAACAGACCAGTCTAATTTCAGAATGATTTCAGAAAAATCATGGACATATTGATATATTTCCACCTTCTATTCCTATATTTATATAGACACCAGTGTAAGATCAATAAAGCATACCTTTAGGTCAGTGACCTCTTCATGGTGCAAATCTGTTGAATTTTAGACTACACATCCCTTCCAAATCACTCTTTCCCTAAGGTATATAAGCCCTGGGTCTTGCAGGTAATGGTGCGGGGATCCACCGTCTTGTCTCACCACTGTCCAAGACACAGATATGGCTTCTGTTCGTAAGTCTCTATCAAATGTTTCTTTCCAAGAAACTGGGTATGTCAGCCTCTTTAGCCTCTCAGCTTCCTCAGACTTTGATGGTTGAGGAAACTGCACAGCATGGAATGGGTTTAGAAAGTGAGATTAAACCTGCATTAAAAATCCTAAAATAGCCCTCTCCCGTCTCCCTCTCCCTCTCCCTCTCCCGTCTCCCTCTCCCTCTCCCGTCTCCCTCTCCCTCTCCCGTCTCCCTCTCCCTCTCCCGTCTCCCTCTCCCTCTCCCGTCTCCCTCTCCCGTCTCCCTCTCCCTCTCCCGTCTCCCTCTCCCGTCTCCCTCTCCCTCTCCCGTCTCCCTCTCCCTCTCCCGTCTCCCTCTCCCTCTCCCTCTCCCGTCTCCCTCTCCCTCTCCCTCTCCCGTCTCCCTCTCCCTCTCCCTCTCCCGTCTCCCTCTCCCTCTCCCTCTCCCGTCTCCCTCTCCCTCTCCCTCTCCCGTCTCCCTCTCCCTCTCCCGTCTCCCTCTCCCTCTCCCTCTCCCGTCTCCCTCTCCCTCTCCCTCTCCCTCTCCCTCTCCCGTCTCCCTCTCCCTCTCCCTCTCCCTCTCCCTCTCCCGTCTCCCTCTCCCTCTCCCGTCTCCCTCTCCCTCTCCCGTCTCCCTCTCCCTCTCCCGTCTCCCTCTCCCTCTCCCGTCTCCCTCTCCCTCTCCCGTCTCCCTCTCCCTCTCCCGTCTCCCTCTCCCTCTCCTTTCCACAGTCTCCCTCTCATGCTGGGCCAAAGCTGGACTGTACTGCTGCCATCTCGGCTCGCTGCAGCCTCCCTGCCTGATTCTCCTGCCTCAGCCTGCCGAGTGCCTGCGATTGCAGGCGCGCGCCGCCACGCCTGACTGGTTTTCGTGTTTTTTTGGTGGGGACGGGGTTTCGCTGTGTTGGCCGGACTGGTCTCCAGCTCCTAGCCGCGAGTGATCCGCCAGCCTCGGCCTCCCGAGGTGCCGGGATTGCAGACGGAGTCTCATTCACTCAGTGCTCAATGGTGCCCAGGCTGGAGTGCAGTGGCGTGATCTCGGCTCGCTACGGCCTCCACCTCCCAGCCGCCTGCCTTGGCCCTGCAAAGTGCGGAGATTGCAGCCTCTGCCCGGCCGCCACCCCGTCTGGGAAGTGAGGAGCCTCTCTGCCTGGCTGCCCATCGTCTGGGATGTGAGGAGCCCCTCTGCCTGGCTGCCAGTCTGGAAAGTGAGGAGCGTCTCTGCCCGGCCGCCATCCCACCTGGGAAGTGAGGAGCGCCTCGTCCCGGCCGCCATCCCATCTAGGAAGTGAGGAGCGTCTCTGCCCCGCAGCCCATCCTCTGAGATGTGGGGAGCGCCTCTGCCCTGCCGCCCCGTCTGGGATGTGAGGAGCGCCTCGGCCCGGCCGCGACCCCGTCTGGGAGGTGAGGAGCGTCTCTGCCCGGCCGCCCCGTCTGAGAAGTGAGGAGACCCTCCTCCTGGCAACCGCCCTGTCTGAGAAGTGAGGAGCCCCTCCGCCTGGCTGCCACCCTGTCTGGGAAGTGAGGAGCGTCTCCGCCCGGCAGCCACCCCGTCCGGGAGGGAGGTGGGGGTCAGCCCCCCGCCCGGCCAGCCGCCCCATCCGGGAGGTGAGGGGCACCTCTGCCCGGCCGCCCCTACTGGGAAGTGAGGAGCCCCTCTGCCCAGCCAGGAGCCCCTCTGCCCAGCCAGCCGCCCCGTCCGGGAGGGAGGTGGGGGGGTCAGCCCCCCGCCTGGCCAGCCACCCGGTCTGGGAGCTGAGGGGCGCCTCTGCCCGGCCACCCCTACTGGGAAGTGAGGAGCCCCTCTGCCCGGCCACCACCCCGTCTGGGAGGTGTACCCAACAGCTCATTGAGAATGGGCCATGATGACGACGGCGGTTTTCTGGAATAGAAAAGGGGGCAAGGTGGGGAAAAGATTGAGAAATCGGATGGTTGCCGTGTCTGTGTAGAAAGAAGTAGACATGGGAGACTTTTCATTTTGTTCTGTACTAAGAAAAATTCTTCTGCCTTGGGATCCTGTTGATCTATGACCTTACCCCCAACCCTGTGCTCTCTGAAACATGTGCTGTGTCCACTCAGGGTTAAATGGATTAAGGGCGGTGCAAGATGTGCTTTGTTAAACAGATGCTTGAAGGCAGCATGCTCATTAAGAGTCATCACCATTCCCTAATCTCAAGTACCCAGGGACACACACACTCTGCCTAGGAAAACCAGAGACCTTTGTTCACTTGTTTGTCTGCTGACCTTCCCTCCACTAGTGTCCTATGACCCTGCCAAATCCCCCTCTGTGAGAAACACCCAAGAATGATCAATTAAAAAAAAATAAAATTAAAAAAAAAATTTTTTTTTTAAAATCCTAAAATAAGGTAGAAAATAATAAGTGTCATAAGAGAGCCAAGGAGAAGTGCAGATTGTTCAGAGGAAAGAGATTCCATCCAACTGTGGAGGTGAAGAAACACTGGAAATCTGTATCTTTGTCTTTGGGGTTTCCCAAAGATCCACCCCTTATCCCAGTCTCTTCTGAAGATCCGCCTCTTATCCCTGTCTCTGCTAGAGTCTTTGTCTTATCTGACTCTGCTACTCACTACAAGTTTAAAAACATATTTCCATTTCTATAATTTCTCAATTTTCTTTTGAAAATTATGAAGGGAGCAGTCTTTTTGCCTGCCACCATCCACAGAAGATGTGGCTTGCTCCTCCTTAACTTCCACCATGATTGTGAGGCCTCCGCAGCTATGTGGAACTGTGAGTCCAACTCAACCTCTTTCTTTTGTAAATTGCCCAGTCTCAGGTATGTCTTTATCAGCAGCGCGAAAACAGACAAATACAGCAAATTGGCACCAGTAGAGTGGGTCACTGTTGAAAAGGTACCTGAAAATGTGGAAGTGACATTGGAACTGGGTAACAGGCAGAGGTTGGAACAATTTGGAGGGCTCAGAAGAAGATAGGAGAATGCGGGAAAGCTTGTAACTTCTTAGAGACTTGTTGAATGGCTTTGACAAAAATGCTGATAGTGATACGAACAATAAGGTCCAGGCTAAGGTGGTCTCGGAGATGAGGAACTTGTTGGAAACTTGAGCAAAGGTCACTCTTGTTATGTTTTAGCAAAGAGACTGGTGGCATTTTGCCCCTGCCCTAGAGATTTGTGGAACTTTGAACTTGAGAGAGATGATTTAGGGTATCTGACTTGCAGCAGTCCGTTTTCAGGCTGCTGATAAACATACCCATGACTGGGCGTTTTACAAAAGAAAGAGGTTTAATGGACTTACAGTTCCACTTGACTGGGGAGGCCTCACAATCATGGTGGAAGGCGAAAGGCATGTCTCACATAGGGCAGACAAGAGAAGAGAGCTTGCACAGGGAAACTCCCCTTTTTAAAACCGTCAGATCTTATGAGACTTACTCGCTATCACGAGAATAGCACAGGAAAGACCTGCCCCATGGTTCAATTACCTCCTATTGGGTCCCTCCCACAACACATGAAAATTCAAGATGAGATTTGGGTGGGGACATAGCCAAACCATATCATTCCACCCCAGCCCCTCCCAAATCTCATGTCCTCACATTTCAAACCCAATCACGCCTTCCCAACAGTCCTCCAAAGTCTCATTTCAGCATTAACTCAGAAGTCCAGAGTCCAGGCCGGGTGCAGTGGCTCACACCTATAATCCCAGCACTTTGGGAGGCCGAGGTGGGTGGATCACCTGTGGTCAGGAGTTCGAGACCAACCTGACCAACATGGAGAAACCCCGTCTCTACTATAAATACAAAATTAGCAGGGTGTGGTGGCACATGCTCCAAAATGATCTCCTTTGACTCCATGTCTCACATCCAGGTCATGCTGATCAAGAGGTAGTAGGTTCCCATAGTCTTGGGAAGCTCCGCCCCTGTGGCTTTGCAGGGTACAGCTTCCCTTCTGGCTGCCTTCACAGGCTGACATTGAGTGCCTGAAGCTCTTCTAGGCGAACGGTGTAAGCTGTCAGTGGATCTACCATTCTGGGGTCTGGAGGACAATGGCTCTCTTCTCACAGCTCCACTAGGCAGTGCCCCAGTAGAAACTCTGTGTGGGGGCTCCCACCCCACATTTCCCTTCTGCACTACCCTGACAGAGGTTCTCCATGAGGACCTGCCCCTCTGCCTGGGCATTCTGGTGTTTCCATACATCTGAAATCTAGGCAGAGGTTCCCAAACTTCAATTCTTGATATCTATGCACTTGAAGGCTCAACACCACATGGAAGCTGCCAAGGCTTGGGGCTTGCACCCTCTGTCTGAAGCCATGGCCCGAGCTCTACATTGGCCCTTCAGCCATGGCTGGAGCAGCTGGGACACAGGGCACCAAGTTCCTAGGCTGCACACAGCACAGGGACCCTGGGCCCAGCACACGAAACCACTTTTTCTTTCTAGGCCTCCAGGCTTGTGATGGGAAGGGCTGCCATGAAGACCTCTGATGTACCCTGGAGACATTTTCCCCTTGTCTTGGTGATTAACATTTGGCTCCCTGTTACTTATGCAAATTTCTACAGCTGACTTGACTTTCTCCTCAGAAAATGAGATTTTCTTTTTTATTGCATTGTCAGGCTGCAAATTTTCCAAACTTTTATGCTCTGCTTCCCTTATAAAACTGAACGCCTTTAACAGCACCCAAGTCACCTCTTGAATGCTTTGCTGCTTAGAAATTTATCCCACCAGATACCCTAAATCATGGGTAAAACATATCCATGACTGGGTATCACGAGAACAGCACAAGAAAGACCTGCCCCCATGATTCTATTGCCTCCTGCCAGGTCCCTCCCCACAACACGTGGAAATTCAAGATGAGATTTGGGTGGGGACACAGCCAAACCATATCATGGCAGAAGAAATTTCTAAGCAGCAAAGCATGCAAGGGGTGACTTGGGTGCTGTTAATGGCATTCAGTTTTATAAGGACGCAGCGCATAACAGTTTGGAAAATTTGCAGCCTGACAATGCAATAGAAAAGAAAATCTCATTTTCTGAGGAGAAATCCAAGCTGGC
Organism: Homo sapiens; assembly: GCF_000001405.40. Taxonomy (NCBI): domain Eukaryota; kingdom Metazoa; phylum Chordata; class Mammalia; order Primates; family Hominidae; genus Homo; species Homo sapiens. The sequence continues at coordinate 277,317 of NW_015495299.1, read as the reverse complement.
TGCAGAAATTTGCATAAGTAATGAGGAACCAAATATTAATCACCAAGACAATGGTGAAAAATGTCTCTAGGACATGTCAAAAAAACCTTTGCAGCAGCCCCTCCTATCACAGGCCCAAAGGCCTGGGAGGAAAAAGTGGTTTCATGGGCCGGGCCCAGGGTCCCCGTGCTGTGTGCAACCTAGGGACTTGGTGCACTGCATCCCAGCCACTCCAGCCATGGTTGAAAGGGTCCAGCGTAGAGCTTGGGCCATGGCTTCAGAGGGTTCAAGCCTCAAGCCTTGGCAGCTTCCATGTAGTGTTGAGCCTGTGAGTGGACAGACATCAAGAATTGAGGTTTGAGAACCTCTGCCTAGAACAGTGTTTTAGTGTTTAAGTCTCAATTTACACAAGGTAAAATTTACCCTTATGTGATATTTTCTTATCCCTCACCATATTTTCTTATCACCTCACCTCACCTCATCATATTCATGAGAATATGAAGCAAGGATTACACTGATGAAATAGGATTAAACTGTCTAAAAGCAGGGATGAAGAACCTTCCGTATTCTGTTACCAACACATCAACTGGCCTATGAAGACCCTGGCTTGTGTTCCTCCTCTGTCACTTACTAGTGACTTAGTATATTTACTGAATAATCATGGACAAATAAGCATATCTTTTCATAGTAATAGTCCATGAAATATCAAGCATTTCTCAATGTTGCTATAGACTTACTTTTAAAAACAAAGTTTAGGCTGGGCGTGGTGGCTCACGCCTGTAATCCCAGCACTTTGGGAGGCCGAGATGGGCAGATCACTTGAGGTTAGGAGTTCAAGACCAGCCTGGCCAACATGGCAAAACTTCATCTCTACTAAAAATACAAAAATTAGCCGGGCATTGTGGCGCACACAAGTAATCCCAGCTACTTGGGAGGCTGAGGCAGGGGAATCGCTTGAACCTGGGAGGTGGAGGTTGCAATGAGCCAACATCGCACCACGGCACGCCAGCCTGGGCAATAGAGCGAGACTCCATCTCAAAAAAATAAATAAAGTTTATAAAACATTTCATTGAATACATATGCCATAATTTAGACATTTCCATCTGTGAGGATTATAAGTCATCTGATCTCCTTGCTTTCATTCGTATCACCTCCAGATCAAAGCTGTCTTAACATTAATATTCTCTGGTTTGGAAACCTCATATAATGTGCCAGCCTGTAATTCAAATATGTCTACAGGCTGGCCCCATCCTATCTAAGATTCCAAACACACACTGCAAAATCTCACGAATTTGTCTAATTGCTTCCCAAATCTTTATATCTGATTCTTCCAAAAAACTTGTCATCAATTCTAGCCGTCTCTGACCTTCTGAACTTTTAGATTATTTGCTTAATCCCCAAACCAATGACTTTTATTTTTAACAATTTTATGTTTGAATTGCCTCCCTATACTAATTTTCTCTTCTTCTGTGTTTTTTTGTTTCATCTAACAAAGTGATACGGAAGGAATCAGTTTTGAGTTCCCACACTGCCCAGCCCTCTGCTAGGGATGCCGAACATGAAAAATATTGTTTCAGGCTGGACACGTTGGCTCATACCTGTAATCCCAGTACCTTGGAAGGCCAAGGTGGAAGGATCACTTGAGTCCAGGAGTTCAAAGCCTGGGCATCATAGCAAGACCCCATCTCTAAAAAAATTTTTTTAAATTAGCTGGGTATGGTGGCACATGCCTGTAGTCCCAGCTACTCAGTAGGCTGAGGTAGAATTGCTTAAGCCTAGGAGTTCAAGGCTGCAGTGAGCCGTGATCATGCCACTGCACTCCAGCCTGGATGATAGATTGAGACCCTGTCTCAAAAAAAAAAAAAAAAAGAAAAGAAAAACTTTCATAGTCATTATAATCATTTATGGGGCATGCAAAAAAAAAAAAAGTGGGCTCTTTTTTATCTTTGCTTCCTTCTACTCTAAAGCCAGAAACAGGAAAAAAAAAAATCTCTTTGGAAACCAGTGCCTTCTGAGACTATTTGTTTAAAACAAGTTCATGAGCCAGGCGCAGCAGCTCACGCCTGTAATCCCAGCACTTTGGGAGGCTGAGGAGGGGGTATCACAAGGTCAGGAGTTTGAGACCAGCCTGGCCAACATGGTGAAACCCCATCAAACTAAAAATACAAAAAATTAGCTGGGCATAGCGGCAGGCACCTGTAATCCCAGCTACTTGGGAGGCTGAGGCAGGAGAATCGCTTGAACCCGGGAGGCAGAGGTTGCAGGGAGCTGAGATCGCACCACTGCACTCCAGCCCAGGCAACAGAGTGAGACTCCACCTCAAAAAAACAAAACAAAACAAAACAAACCAGTTCATTCAATATATTGGCTCTCAAGAAAATGAGTACCAGGGTTTTCTACTGCAGCACTGCCCATAATAACAAAACATTAAAAGCAACCTAAGAATCCAGTCAACAGGAGACTGTCTAAATGAACTATGAGAAAATGAATTATGAAATGAGAACATGAATTATGCATCTATTAAATAAGGATGTACTAATAATGGGATATCCAAGGCATAATCTCCAAGGTGTTCATTTTTTTTTTTTTTTTTTGTATTTTTAGTAGAGACAGGGTTTCACCATGTTGGCCAGGCTGGTCTCAAACTCCTGACCTCGTGATCCCCCACCTCTGGGATTACAGGTATGAGCCACCGCGCCTGGCTCTTTTTTTTTTTTTTTTGAGACAGAATGCAGTGGTACAATCTCAGCTCACTGCAATCTCCGCCTCCCGGGTTCAGGCGATTCTCCTGCCTCAGCCTCCCAAGTGGCTGGGACTACAGTCGTGCGCCACCACGGCCAGCTAATTTTTGTATTTTTAATAGACACAGGGTTTCACCATGTTGGCCAGGATTGTCTGGATCTCTTGACCTTGTGATCTGCCCACCTAGGCCTCCCAAAGTGTTGGGATTACAGGCGTGAGCCACCACACCCGGCCCCAAGGTGTTCATTTTCAAAAGGAAAATGCAAGGTGCAAAAGTCTATGTGGTGTGTTACAATTAGTCTATGCATAAGCTTACAGTGGCTCTGCAAAGACCTAAGAACCTGTTAACACTGCTTTGATGGAGCGGAACTGGAGGCCTAGGGGACAGGAGAGACTTCATTGTACATACTCTTGAGTTTTGAACTGTTGGTATATTATCTTTTTTTTTTTCTTTTGAGATGGAGTCTCACTTTTGTCGCCCAGGCTGGAGTGCAGTGGCGTGATCTCAGCTCACTGCAACCTCTGCCTCCCGGGTTCAAGCAATTCTCCTGCCTCAGCCTCCCAAGTAGCTGGGACTACAGGCGCATGCCACCACACCTGGCTAATTTTTTGTATTTTTAGTAGAGACAGGGTTTCACTGTGTTAGCCAGGATGGTCTAGATCGCCTGACCTCATGATCCAGCTGCCTCGGCCTCCCAAAGTGCTGGGAATACAGGTGTGAGACACCACATCCGGCCATGTGTTTTTTAAAATATGAAGTTAAAAGATACCATCAAAATATTTTTTATTCAAGGGTGTAGAATCAAGATTTCAAAATGGTATGCCTCATCATTCATCACTGTAGGATTCTGAAGACATCTGTGGTTTGAATTGACCATTCTAAATTTTTGACCACCTTTAAACTAATTATTAATCATTAGTTTTCTCATCATAAACTTCTGCTGATAGTTAACATTTTGGCCAAGCTATTTGGAACTCAACCCCTTCACCATGTCAATAATTGCAAATTTTTATTACCATTCACCGAAGTTTATTCATGGTTTTGGTTTTTTGTTTTTTGTGTTTCTTTTGGCATTTTCATTATTCCCAAACTCTCTGGTTTTCCAGAAAATGTAGTGCTGCCCTCTGCTGGCTCTTATGATAATGACAACCTGAAAATGTCTCCCATGACTTTTAGGCTGTTGGATTATAAACATTGCTTAGAGATATTATTCAATGTATCTATCTGTTAAATAAATCTTCCTTATAATATAGTTTCCCACAGTCAAGGCAGTCACAACATAAAATCAGATGGAGAAGAAATAGCACTGTATAGTTCTATTAAAAAATTGACCTAGGGGCTGGGCATTGTGGCTTATGCCTATAATCCCAGCACTTTGGGAGGCCAAGGTGGGTGGATCACCTGAGGTCAGGAGCTCGAGACCAGCCTGACCAAAATGGTGAAGCCCCGTATGTACTAAAAATAGAAAAATTAGCCAGGCATGGTGGCGCATGCCTGTAATCCCAGCTACTCAGGGGGCTGAGGCAGGAGAATTGCTTGAACCTGGGAGGCCGAGGTTGCAGTGAGCTGAGATCACACCACTGCACTCTAGCCCAGGCAACAGAGTGAGACTCCATCTCAAAAAAAAAAAAAAAAAAAAAATTGACCTAAAATTTTTTGATCATTTGAGATCAGCAATTCCCAAGCACTGCTTTTGTAAAACTACTATTTAAAAAAATGTATCAAATGTTAGCCAGACCCCAAATTCCCTGTTAAGATTAAACGGTTTCCAATACTTGACCATCTCTTCACTCAACATACTACCCTCATCCCAGTATTTACCTGCAGCATGAGAACCAATCAGATTTCCAAATCCAAGTAAAATATTCCGCCTCTACAACCCAGCACCTATGAATCTTCACAGCAAAGTCAAGTTTTTCTGGGAAGCCTGGGAACCAGTTACCTATATAATCCCCCTCCCAGGACACAGTGCTACTCCAAATCACATTCCCAACACTTAAAAGATGGTTTCTTTACATCATGAGTCATTATTTTAAATTTGTAACCTGTTAAGTAGTTGTAAGTCATGCCAAATTCTGGGAAGCCCTCCCTCCTCTGGGTTAGGTGTCTTCTAGCAGTGTCACACATCTCACATCAAGTTCCCAGTGCAAAGATGCTAGGTTACAACAAATCACATCATCAGGCACTGCTAAGGACATCACAAGTGGGTAAAGTTGCACTACAATTTTTTTTCTTTTGACAGGACCTTGCTCTGGCACCCAGGCTGGAGTGCAGTCGCACAACCTTGGCTCACTGCAGTTTCAACCTCCTGGGTTCAAGAAATCCTCCCACCTCAGTCTCCCAAATAGCTGGGAATACAGGGGTGCACTACCATGTCCAGCTAATTTTTATATTTTTTGTAGAGACAGGATCTCTCCCCATTGCCCAGGCTGGTATCAGCCTCCTGGTCTCGATCCAGCCACTTCAGCCTCCCAAACTGCTGGGATTACAGGCATGAACCACCACACCTGGCCTGCACTGCAATTTTCTAACAACAATGCCAAACCAAATTTGGGGTATTTAGGAATCACATATTCATTTAATTCCTTCCCCCAAAATGAAAGGAATATATACACCACCCTCCTATGTAACATACTCAAGAGCCAAAGGTAATCTTTCAATCTTTTATTTAAATGCCATGATCCAGGATGGATTTTAGATCTTGTTGAAAGCAGCCACATCCATGGACTGCACATAGTCCTCAAAAGCAGTGATCTGCTCCTCCAGCATATCTGTTCCAACTTTATCATCTTCAACTACACACTGTATTTGAAGTTTCTTAATTCCGTATCCCACTGGAACTAGTTTAGCTAAAAAGAGCATTAAGAAAAATCCTAGTTAGAAAAGTCTTGTAGGAAAGGTTGAAACTGTAGGCAAATTCCAGATGTTAGTTTCAAAAAAAAAAAGGCAAAGCCTAAACTCACATGAGCCCCAGACTAAGCCGTCTGCTTGAATGCTTCTGACGCACTCCTCTAATTTCGCCATATCTGTCTCATCATCCCAAGGTTTCACATCTAGTAAGATGGAAGACTTGGCAACAAGTGCAGGTTCTAAAAACAATAAACAGCATTATTCAAATAATGAATTGTATTTTTTTCACCCTACTCCAAGACACAAACAAATCCATCTCAATTTGTTTTGAGACTATCTCCTTAGCCAAACAAAACTACAGATACATCTTGTGTCTGTCACACATATATACCCACTTTCTGTTTTGCTAAGAAAGAGGTGTTTGTGTTAACAGTTTCTTTCCCACAGAGGAATGCCACAACTGCTACCATAAGAACAGCTGCAGACCAGTAGCTGTGGAAGAACCTGTACAGGTTTTAAAATATTGACCTATTCAAGGAATGTGGAGGAAATTACTTCAAGGTCAAGCTTTGAAAAAGATTACTTACATTAACATGAAATGAAGTTAAAAACAAATGACCTACTTTTGGCTTTCTTTGATTCATATTGTGCAAGACGTTCTTCCCTTAGCCTCTTTGCTTCTTCACTTTCCTGTAAAGAAAAAAAATTAATCCACTTCAGAAAGCTGGTTGTTCCTCTGCTTAAAGCTAGTGGGGTCATCACAAAAAAGACTGGCTTAATCAGAAAAAAGCAAATCCATCACGAACTCAGCCGAAAGATGGTGATTTGATTTTATTCATCATGCAACCAGTCAGAATTTGAAAAAGGCATATAAATTAAAGCCAGGATTCAAATCCAGGCAATTTGGCTTAACCACATTGATACAATTGCTGATCGATGTATTCTTTTTTTTTTTTTTTGGGACGGAGTCTCGCTCTGTCGCCCAGGCTGGATGCAGTGGCACGATCTTGGCTCACTGCAACCTCCGCTTCCTAGGTTCAAGCAATTCTCTGCCTTAGCCGCCTGAGTAGCTGGGATTACAGATGCCTGCCACATTTTTTTGTATTTTTAGTACAGACAGGGTTTCACCATCTTGGCCAGGCTGGTCTTCAACTCCTGACCTCGTGATCCACCCGCCTCAGCCTCCCAACATGCTGGGATTACAGGCATGAGCCACTGCGCCTGGCCGATATGTTCTTTATAGAAGACGCCATACCTCCTCATCATCAGATCCAAAGAGGTCAATGTCATCATCATCTTTACTATCTGTAGCTCCACTTCCTGTAGTGTCTTCCACATCGGCAGGACCATATTTGCCCAAAGCTTTCTTCACTCCTGGCAGGCTTGAAAAACATTTAAATTCAACCACTATTGAGCTAGTATAACATCCTTTTCCAGAAAATACAAAATAACTTGTTTTAATCACTACTTATCACTAGATCCCTTTTGCAATCATAATTTACCCTTTCACATGCGCCCAGGTAAACACTGTCATATGTTCAACTCCTCACCCGACAAGCATTAGTACCATGTGAGACATTATTTTCAATACTCACTATGATTTACTCTTTCAGTATGAACATTTCTGTTTGAGATTTCATTAAGTATGCTCAGTTCCATTCTTAGTGAACTGGAGTCCACTTCCCCAAACTTCCACCCTTGTTGGCAGTTTCAGAAGAATGGCCAAGGACTGAATGAATGAGCCACCCTCTCACCCCAGAGGTGGGCCCCCCAGGTCAAGGTCGAGGCACATTGGCAGGGCAGTGTGGGGAAAAGTTGAATTGCTGCTGTCCATGTTCTACCTGTTCTGTGAAAAAATGGAGGGCTTCAGTCTCTTGGCCTTCTAAGGTTACAGAAAAATTTAGCTTACAATATCCCAACAAAACTAAAGTAGCCTGGGTCCAGTTTTGTCATGTGAACATCCTGATAAACTTCGAGAGCAGTCTTATTCTTCAGCTCTATACAAAGATGATTTTACCTGGCCTTTTCCTTTTCGTAAGACTTGATGTGATTATACCAACGTAGGGCATGACACAAGTCGGCAGGCGGTGGGCTGGACACGGCTTCAAATACTGCCACATCTGCTTGTGATGGCACATACCTGCCAAGGACACAGAAACATTCACACACACCTTTGAAAAACAAACGCCAGCGAATAAATAATAAATACCGTATGCATCACATTAATTAGTGGGCACTAACCCCAGCAGGGTTGCTTTAATGCTTTTCTTTTCTTATTAGCTCCTTCAAATCAAACCATATGTTTGGGTCACCGCGCTATCCTGAGAAATGTCTGCCACTAAGTAGACCTCAAATACTGCAATGTCTGGCGTTGCTCTATCTACAGCTTAACATGTATTAACTGGGCAGCGATGCGGAAACACCTGGCTGAATTAAGTGTAAATAAAGCACATTTTAACCTTTCCTTGCTCGTGAACCGCTCCCCGGAGGCCGGGCTCGCCCCACACGAGGGCCTTGGGAGACGGCAACGGGGCGCTTTCCCCTCCCTCTCGAAAGGGCCCCGGGCCCGGCCTCCCTCCCTCCCGCGGCAGCCGACACGCTGCGCCACGTGGCCCCGGCCCCGGGCGGAGAAACCTCCCCGCCACCCCGACTCAGCCCGTCCGCTCACCCCTCGATGTAGCTCTTGTCCGCCAGGTAATCGTTGAGCACCTGGAGGCCGGCAGGGCTTTTCAGGTCTCCGAAACCCATGGTGTCGGCTGTATCCGAGAGCTGGGGAGCAGCAGAAAGAGAGCGCGCAAATTGTGGGCGCCCCACGCTGAAGAGAGGAAAAAGGACCCGAAGAGACCGGAAAATTCCTTATATAGAGACGGAGGCGTTTCCCTCCACCGCGCCGGACCGAAGGTTAAAGGTCAAAGTACTTTTGCATTCCCACTTCTCCACGTACGAATTGGGGGCCCTGAATTAAATGGCCCACAAATTGTCCATGGACCTTTCGTTGCGTTTGGAAGTAAATTAATAAAATAGGCATGTCTTAAGTTCGTACCTCCACGGCTCCCGAAGATGACGGGAACCAGCCCTAGAAGCGCCGGAGATGACCGAAGACGCCCGGCCTCGAGGCTGGGGCCACTTCCGGCGGAACTGCGGGTCCAAGTTGTCCTTCCCGCCTCCGGGCTGGGCCGACCTCAGCTCCGCCCTCTGGTCGGCTGACGGAAATTGCCGACAAACTTGTCGAATGCAAGGATTCTAGTCCCTCCGGGCTTTCCGTTCTCCAGGCCCGGCTGACAGAGTTAGCCGAGGCCGCCATATTGAATAAGCGACCCGGCCTCCTAGGGGGTCGTCGTGGTCCAGACAGTTTAGCAGAACAGCCTCCGCGGCTCCGGGGAGAAGGTGAGGTCTTGTATGGATGGGAAGGGTGAGGTGCGTCGGCCAGAGGCTTATTTATTGACGGGACTGTTTCCTTTGGCCCACGCGACGTAGTCTTCTGTTGTCCTTGACTGGGCGCCGCCTCCCGCCCCGCCGCCTCGGAAGCCCCTGAGAGCCGGCAGATGGGGGGCTTTTAGCCACGGTCTCTGGTCTGATGAAGCAGAAAAGAAGATGAGGATCAGGGGGTCCTCGGGAACGCTGTCACGAATGTAGGCTTGCAGGTGACCTTCCCTCTGCAGGGAAAATTCAGGACATTTCCCTCTCAGAGGAGGAGGCCGTTTTATTCCCCGGGAGAGGACCAGTGTCCGATGACTTAGGCCTTAAGACTAAGCCTTTCCCCCCAGATTTTTACACGCCTGATACAGTGCATGATTGTTTGGTCGCTGTTGTGTTAGCAATGGCTCACGCTTCTGTTTGTTGTCCTTGTTTGTTTGGTCCATTGACCACGTTGGACAGCATTTTTTTATTCCTTTAACTAACGGGAAATTGAGAAAAACGACTTTTGAAAAGTTAGCCCAGGATTGCATTGCAAATAACAAAACGTTGTTTACAGGTTATTGGGATCCAGTGCTTGAACTGTAAGGTCTTGGATCAGACACAACTCTGTTCACACACGAATTGACGGTATAGAAGTGTAACGTTAACTGTTTTTGATGAATAAACAAGTTATTTTTGTTTTGCGGAATATTCTTGTTTTCACCGACTTAAGGCTGCCAGAGCACCTGCACTTTTTAAATCCGGGAAAGTGGTCTCTACAAATTAACGACCAGAAATTAGAGATTCAGTTCACTTAACCGTTATTGAACATTTACTACGAGCCAGAAATGAGTCCGTAAAGAAGAATAAAATGGATGATATGCTGGGGGAATCGTAAATGTTAGATAGCCTGGTCAATGAAACTGAGAAAAGGCTTTTAAGCCAAGATTTGAAGGATAAGGAGGGGCCAGGGAAGAGCATTTCAGTCTGAGGTCACAGCCGGTGGCAAGAGGGGAGAGGCTGTGTGGGAATAGTGTGGAAGCTTGGTGACCTGTTAAGCTATTGAAGGCCGGAGGCGGTGGCTCACTCCTGTAATCCCACCACTTTGGGAGGCCGAGGCGGGCGGATCACGAGGCCAGGAGATCGAGACCATCCTGGCTAACACGGTGAAACCCTGTCTCTACTAAAAATACAAAAAATTAGCTGGGCGTGGTGGCGGGCGCCTGTAGTCCAGCTACTTGGGAGGCTGAGGCAGGAGGCTGGCGTGAACCCGGGTGGCGGGGCTTGCAGTGAGCCGAGATCGCTCCGCTGCACTCCAGCCTGGGCGACAGAGCGAGACTCTGTCTCAAAAAAAAAAAAAAAAAAGCTATTGAAATACTCCAGGCAAGGAGTGATGGTGGATTGGGATAGGGTGGTACCTTGGAAGGCAAGAAGTAAATGGATGGATCCATGTTGGAGAACGTGGAATAGCATAGTCCCTATATGGAAAAGTATCCAGTCTAGTTTAAGAAATGATTAGTCATTAACATTTTCCATCCAAAGAGATAATTATTTCTATTGCTACTTGGCATATCAATGTTCAAAGCACATATCGAAGTGTTGCAAATCTGTATTTCTTATGTTGGGCTATGCTTTGTTGCTGGATGTCAACAGTCTAGTTCTAGTTGATTTCCTATCCAAAGTGAGTACTATTTTTATATTGCATTGGAGATAAAAAAGTATTAAAGTTTTAAAATTGTATGAAATACTGATTGTTGATTTCAAATCTGTCAGTGCTCTAATGGAGTAAGTTTAGGTTTATATTTATGCCATCAGTAGTTTTTAATAGGACAGATGCTACTCTAGTTCTAGAACTTGGTGATAAGACTGTTTGGTGGTTATTTTCATAAGGGTCCTGTGCTAGGTCTTCAAAAAAGGGAAATGTCCAAATTCCTTGTCCTCAAGGAGCTTACAGTCTGGTAGGTACTAAAATTGATTACTAACCTACAGTTTAGTAAGTAAAACAAAAATATCTACACAGTGTGTACTGGTACTAAAGAAAAAGAGCTCAAAGAAAGAGTGCTTTAAAATTGGTTGTCTGCCAGGCGCGGTGACTCACGTCTGTAATCCCAACACGTTGGGAGGTCGACGCGGGTGGATCACTGAGGTCAGGAGTTTGAGACCAGCCTGGCCAACATGGCGAAACCCCTTCTCTACTGAAAATACAAAAATTAGCCGGGCGTGATGACAGGTGCCTGTAATCCCAGCTACTTGGGAGGCAAGAGAATTGCTTGAACTTGGGAGGCGGAGGTTGCAGTGAGTCAAGATCACACCATTGCACTACAACCTGGGTGACAGAGTGAGACTCTGTCTCAAAACACACACACATACTGATTGTCAGTGGCCAGTATTGCCTAAGTTGAATTCAGCTTTAACTGGCATTTGTTGAGCCCCTACTAATAGCTCATTGTCTAGGAAGTATTGTTTTCCTCCTGCTCTATAAGTAAAGAACCAGAAACTCATTTACCCAACATTACTCACTAGCAGGAAACAGATTGGATATTTGCAATTTCAGTATCACATATTCTTAATTAATGAAATTTATGAATGAAATTTCCTGTTGTACATCATCTATGATAAGTATGCAGAATTTTGTGCTTAAAACCTATGTATATGTACTATTATTCAATAATACTATTGCAACTATTGAAACTTTAATGTTGAAATTTTTTAATACGTTCTAATCACATAATTTGCCTTTTTTCTTTTTTTTTTGAGACAGGGTCTTATTCTGTCACCCAGGCTGGAGTGCAGTGGCATGATTGTAGCTCACTGTAACCTTGAACACCTGGGCTCAAGCCATGCTCCCAGGTCAGCCTCCTGTGAAGCTGGGACCACAGGCGCATGCCACCACACCCAGCTAATTTTTTTTTTTTTTTGGTAGAGATGGGATCATGCTGTGTTGCCCAGGCTGGCCTCTAACTGTTAGACCCAAGCCATCTTCCTGTGATGGCCTCCCAAAGTGTTGAGACTACAGGCGTGAGCCACCTCTCCTGTCCAATTTGCATTTTTTTTTTTTTTTTTTTTGAGACAGAGTGTTGCTCTGTCGCCCAGGCTGGAGTGCAGTGGCGTGATCTTGGCTCACTGCAAGCTCCGCCTCCCGGGTTCACGCCATTCTCCTGCCTCAGCCTCCCCAGTAGCTGGGACTACAGGCGCCTGCCACCACGCCCGGCTATTTTTTTGTATTTTTAGTAGAGAAGGGGTTTCACCATGTTGGCCAGGATGGTTTCGATCTCTTGACCTCGTGATCCACCTGCCTCAGCCTCCCAAAGTGCTGGGATTACAGGCATTTTTAATACCTTTAAAAGTTCCAAATGATTTTGGATGCTCAACCTATATGATCAAGTGAATAGAAGGAAAGTTCAGTGCTTAGCCTATATGATCAAGTGAGTAGGAAAAAAAAAAAACTCAAAAAGTTTAGAAGTTTTGGTGACTTGGCCGGGCGTGGTGGCTCACGCCTGTAATCCTAGCACTTTGGGAGGCCAAGGCAGGTGGATCACCTGAGGTCCGGAGTTTGAGACCAGCCTGGCCAACATGGCGAAACCCCATCTCTACTAAAAAATAAAAAAATTGGCCAGGCGTATTGGCTCACACCTGTAATCCCAGCACTTTGGGAGGCCAAGGCAGGTGGATCACCTGAGATCAGGACTTCAGGACCACCTTGGCCAACGTGGCGAAACCCTGTCTCTACTAAAAATACAAAAATTTGCCGGGCATGTTGATGGGCGCCTGTAATCCCAACTACTCGGGAGGCTGAGAATTGCTTGAACCTGGGAGGTGGAGGTTGCAGTGAGCCGAGATCTTGCCACTGCACTCCTGGGTGACAGAGTGAGACTGGGTGACAGCAAGACCCCTGCCTCAAAAATAAATAAATAGGCTGGGCACAGTGGCTCACTCCTGTAATCCCAGCACTTTGGGAGGCTGAGCTGACTGGATCATGAGGTCAGGAGATGGAGACCATCATGGCTAACACGATGAAACCCCGTCTCTACTAAAAATACAAAAAATTAGCCTGGCATGGTGGTACACACCTGTCCCGGTTACTCAGGAAGCCAAGGCAGGAGAATCGCTTGAACCTGGGAGGCGGAGGTTGCAGTGAGCTGAGATCGCGCCACAGCACTCCAGCCTGGGCAACAGAGCGGGACTCCGTCTCAATAAATAAATAAAATAAATAAATAATAAAAATACAAAAATTAGCCTGGCATGGTTGTGCATGCCTGTAGTCTCAGCTACTCTGGAGGCTGAGGCAGGAGAATCGCTTGAACCCAGGAGGCAGAGGTTACAATGAGCTGAGATCGTGCCACTGCACTCACTCCAGCCTGGGCAACAGAGTAAGACTCTATCTCAAAAAAAAAAAAAAAAAAAAAGGGCCGGGCACGGTGGCTCACGCCTTAACCCCAACACTTTGGGAGGTCAAGGTGGGCGGATCATGAAGTCAGGAGTTCGAGACCAGCCTGGCCAACATGGTGAAACCCTGTCTCTACTAAAGATACAAAAAATTAGTCGGGTGTGGTGGCGGGTGCCTGTAATCCCAGCTCTTCAGGAGGCTGAGGCAGGAGAATTGCTTTAATCCGGGCGGTGGAGGTTGCAGTGAGCCGAGATTGCACCAGTGCACTCCAGTCTGGGTGATAGGGCGAGACTCCATCTCAGAAACAAACAAACAAAAACAAATAAAAAGAAGTTTTGGTAACTTTTCTGTTTTGTGTGTCTTTAAGTCGTGGTGTTTATATAATCGACACCCATTTATTTCAGTAATTCAGCAAGCCTTTTAGAGCAGTGTCTCAACTTCAGCACTGTTGACACTTTGGATAATTATCTTTATTGTGGGGGACTGTCCTGTACATTGTAGAATAGCCAGCACCTTGTCCTCTACCCACTAGATGTCAGTAACTTCCCCTTGTTTGTGACAACAGTGTGTTCAGACATTGCTAAATATTCCCTGGGGAGCAAAATTGTCCTCAGTTGAGAGCCATTGTTTAAGAGCTTACTCTGTGCCAGCCTGGTGGATAGGTACTGAAGATAGAAAAATTCAAGGAATTAATGCAGTGAGGGCAGAACGGGCTTATAAACACATAATTGGAAATCTGTAAGATAAGTGTACCAGAAAATAGCAATCAAGACACCTCAAAGGCTTGGGCTGGTGAGCTATCTCAGAATATCTCAGGAACATTTAGTAGACAGCTATGCTTAGAACATGAAATGATAGAATGGGTATTGGTAGGAAATAAAAGCAGAAAAGACAACTTTATTTTACATAACCATTAATGATAAGCTCACTGTTAGTCTTGCAGTTTATTTTACTGTGTGGTAGTGCTTTAAGTTTGATCCTTTCTATGTCATTTTTTTTTAAATGGCAAAACTGCTCTCTGCATAGAATTAGAAAGTCCAAATGTATACAATAGCTGCTGCTGCTTAGCTCTTTGACATTGTACAAGTCAGTATCTCTGAGACTGAGAATTCTCATCTACAGACTAAGTGAAAATATCAGAACCTATGAGTGTTCAATGACATAATGTATGTGAAATAATTTAAAGCCATAAAACATTACCAAACAGTTGGTGATTGTTTTTTTCCCTACAATAATATAATTCTTTGTTTTATTTTTAGCAATATGTTAAGGATACCTGTAAGAAAGGCCTTAGTAGGCCTTTCTAAGTCTCCTAAAGGATGTGGTGAGTATTTTCTTAAATTTGCATTCGTGGATATTAGACCTTATTTTTGTAAATTTATAAGTCTATGGCATAGTTTATCAAAGACCCTAAACCCATGATTTTTTAAAATAAAAATAGAAACCGGCCGGGTGTGGTGGCTCATGCCTGTAATCCTAGCACTTTGAGAGGCTGAGGCAGGTGGATTGCTTGAAGCCAGGAATTCAAAACCAGCCTGGCCATCATAGTGAAACCCCATCACTACTAAAAATATAAAAATCAGCTGGGCATGGTGGGGCACACCTGTAATCCCAGCTACACAGGAGGCTGAGGCACAAGAATAGCTTAAACCCGGGAGGTGGAGGTTGCATACAGCCAAGATTGTACCACTGCACTCCAGCCTGGGAGATAGATCGAGACTCCATCTTGGAAAAAAAAAAAAAAAGAAGAAACAAATGATCTAAGTTGAATAATTTTCAAAATATAATTTTACTTTAAACAGTTTATAGGAATTATCATGGAATAGAAAGTATTAGGAACTACACACATCAATGCCAAAATGGAAAAATCACATTCTGTTTTTGAAAAGTGATCTTCCCATGAACATATTTTCAGTGACATTAAGAGTTTCAGTTTAAAGTTGGGTATGGTGGCTCACTCCTGTAATCTCAGCACTTTGGGAGGCCGAGGCAGAAGGATTACTTGAGGTCAGGAGTTTGAGACCATCCTGGCCAATATGGCGAAACCCTGTCTCTACTAAAAATACAAAAATTAGCGGGCGTGGTGGTGAGTTCCTGTAATCCCAGCTACTCGGAAGGCTGAGGCAGGAGAATCGCTTGAACCGGGGAGGTGGAGGTTGTAGTGAGCCAAGATGGCGCCACTGCACTCCAGCCTGGGTGACAGGGCAAGACTCCCTCTCAAAAAAAAAAAAAAAAAAAGAAGAAGAAAGAAGTTTCAGTTTAAACTACTCTGCTATCAAAAGTAGACAACCATAAGTTTGCATCCAGAGCAATACAGAGGAATAATAAGGAATGAAAAATTTTAGGTTTGTAGTTAGAGTCAATTCATCCATTATCATCTGCTATAATAAACTGTTAATCTGTTTTTCGCTTCAATATCTTTGATGGTCAGTTCGAACAACTGCCACAGCAGCAAGCAACTTGATTGAAGTATTTGTTGATGGTCAGTCTGTCATGGTGGAACCGGGAACGACCGTCCTCCAAGTAGGCATACATTCTAACTATTTTGTGTGTGTGTTCTGATTTTTTTAAAAATACTAATTTATTTCCTTTATACTGATTATTAGTAAATAATTCTTTAAAATAACTATACACAGCAAAGTTATATTAAAATTATTTCATTTTAAATCTTGGCACTTCAAAGTGAGCTATCATATATTTGTTTGTGGCATTTTTAGTGAATTATGGTAGTTCTTTTGTTTCACTTTTCATTCCAAATGAATACCCATTAAGAAATTTGAAGTCCGAGCGCAGTGGCTCATGCCTGTAATCCCAGCACTTTGGGAGGCCGAGGCGGGCGGATCATTCAGGAGTTCTAGACCAGCCTGGCCAGCACTGTGAAACCCCTTCTCTACTAAAAATACAAAAAATTAGCTGCGCATCGTGGCGCGCACCTGTAATCCCAGCTACTCGAGAGGCTGAGGCAGGAGAATTGCTTGAACCCAGGAGGCGGAGGTTGCAGTGAGCCGAGATTGTGCCACTGCACTCCAGCCTGGGCAACAGAGCAAGACTCTGTCTCAAAAAAAAAGAAAAGAAATTTGAAGTAACTTAAATTAGTTACTATAGGTAAGTTTGTGAAAAAATAACCTCCATTTGTTGTGGGCCTGCTTAATGCTTTTCATTTTCATATAACCTTTCTGTGGTTAGTAATATTCATAGGAATATATCCTACAAAGCAGGTAAATGGAGGGTAGCATGTGCTTACATTCATGCTCTAAATATTTCTTCATATTCCTCCAGAAATAATAAATTGGTCATAGAGAAGTCATGCTTCACTCCATTTGTAAGTTGTCACAGATCTAAATGTTCTTTGTTCATTTTAGCAGTCATTTCTAGACTATCTGCCAGTCACAGACATGAAAGCACAAAATATGATATAAATGTATGTTCAAGGTACAGTGAAAAGTTGTGGCAGGGATAGGAGGTAGTAGAAAGAGGTATTGGGTGCCTCAGGTCATCCCTGAGGAGGTGTTAAAGGATGAACAGGTGTGTTCATATTGTGAACAAGAACGACATGCTTGCATTTCCTATGGAAAAAGTTAAGGCAGATAGCTTGTCATATTTTGAAAGCTTCAAATAGTTTAATATTGATGAAACATAAGGTATAAGTAGAAGATGAGATCACAGGAAATCAAGTTATTGAGGAAGGGAAGGTCCAGTCATGAAATACAGTATCTGCTATGCAGAAGAGCTTATATTTTGATCCATCAGGAGTTTTGTTGCCTATTTAAACAGGGTGACAGCGACTGTAGAGGATGATCATTTGGAGAATAGCAAGACTGGAATAAGAGACAAGGAAAAAGCATTTTGTATTATTGGGACAGGATACTACAAAAGCCCTAAAATAGATAGTGTCAATGGGAATGAAAACAAGAGAGTAGATTCAAGGGAGAATGAAATGTAGACAGGCCTTCAGGAATGATGAAGACCCGAGGGATTTTTTCCCCCGTCGTACAGAACTTCCCAATATTGCTTTAACAGTGAGAAAAAAAAAACACAAAAGAAGTTTCAGTAGAGCCACAGACAAATAGTTCTTTAGAACTCAAAGAGACCGGAGGAATTCTTGTGGTTTTCTGCATTTGTTAGGTTATTTTGGAGTGTATAGAGGGGAGAGAAATCATTTGAATTTAAGCTGTCTGTGGAACATACACATGCAAATACCTGTAAATCTGAAGCTTGGAGAAGTGGAGGTCTAACATGGCTGCAGATTAAGGTTTGGACATAATCAGCATAAGGAATGTCAGCTAGGATGAAGGCTGGGACACTATCTGTCTTTTTCACTACTATACCTGCATCCTGCACAAAGGAAAGACTCAACACATTTTTGCTAACTAAATAGTTTAAACACTGGAAATTGATGAGATTGCTTTAGAATGAAGGCTGAGGATGAGGAACTAACTCTAGAGGAAATTTGAACATGTTTATAGACTAAAAGGAGGAAGAAATTGCAGAGCAGGGTAGGTGATAATTGGCAGAGCAGGGATAATCCCCCTTACTGGGCAAACAGAAACTGGGAAAACCTTCAGCCACAGTGGGAGGTGAGTCCTGGGTAGCATATAGGAGCCAAAGACAGATAGCCAGCTAGATAATGTGTAGTGAAATCTCTAATCCAAAGGAGGGGAGCGAGGCAAAGAAGAAGTCCAGGTATGAAACCACTGGGGACATTGTGGACAATGGTTCAAAATGGATGTGGGAAGTCAAGTCTTCAGCACAGTGGAAGGATACTTTATCCAGTTTCTTCCACATAAGGTGAAGTCACGCCAAGGATCCTGAGATCCTCTGAGGCAGCTTCAGAGGAGACGGGTTAGAATCAAAGGCAAAGAAAGGGACTGAAATAAGAATGAATTAAGATAGATAGATAGATAGATAGATAGATAGAAGTAATAAGATGCTGTATGTGTGTGTTTCAGCAATAACAGCAGTGAAGTCAGGTTATTCTAATGCTTTTTTTTTTTTTTTTTTTTTTTTTACTTCTAGGCTTGTGAGAAGGTTGGCATGCAGATCCCTCGATTCTGTTATCATGAAAGGTTGTCTGTTGCTGGAAACTGCAGGATGTGCCTTGTTGAAATTGAGAAAGCCCCTAAGGTACTTGATACCTAAAATTCTACACCATGCTGTAGAAGGTAGAAAACTTTAAATCTTGCAGCAAACTTTATTTAGAATCAATATCGTAGTGGAGAACCTAGCCCTCTTTACTTCTATCTATAAATTTAATTCTTTTGTACAATTGATTCTCTTCATTTCAAAACTGGAAACACATAGATAGAAGTGCTTTACAAACACATGTCATATAATTGTAACATATCTAGAAATTAAAGGTGATTTATAGTTGTCAGTATTTCCAAATGGCTGTATAATATATAACCAGGATGTAGAGTTGCCAAGTAGCACATTAAAAGTGCTGACGCCCTGCCATTTTTAGTAGAGAAAAGGGTTGCAGGGAAGAAGTTCACTTTCAGTAGTTTAATTTCATTTTGGTGTATGCAATTTTTTTATTCAATAGTGCCTGCTAATCAAAGCAGTTATTTGGTGTTCTGTTTCAGAGCAGAATAAAAAATTGCATTGACTATTAGAATAAACCTAAAAACCAGGATGTTTTATTTCTGAGATAAATGCAAAGTACTAGATCATCGTATTATGAATATGAAAACTTAACAAAATTCAGTTTTAAAAAATACCCTATTCTTTGCCTGTTATCAAATGTATAATTTAATGTTTTTATATAATTTAACATTTTTATATATTGAGTTGCTTGTAATCACAAATAAATACAAATACACATTTTTTTTTTTCATTGAAATCCCAGGTTGTAGCTGCTTGTGCCATGCCAGTAATGAAGGGTTGGAATATCCTAACAAACTCAGAAAAATCCAAAAAAGCCAGGTACTTTATTGTTATTCAATGTAGTACCCTTTCATAAAGCAGAAAATTGCACATTTTGGTATTTAGACCTTCCCATAGATTAAGAATTTAATATCAAACTCGGAAGAAGTTGGTGTGCTCAGCTTCTAGGAGCAATAGAAGTGAGTACTACATAGTAGAGAAGGTGAAGTCAGGAGTTTATGGTATTGAGCTTTAGGATCAGCATTAAAAATCCTTCTTTAGTAACTTGCTCAACTTGTGAAGAAGGGTGAATCTGGACTTACTAAGCTACTACTATACTATACTGGGATTGATTGTGTTTGTTTTTATTTTGAATTAATGTGAATATTTTCTGAGGACCATTCAGCAACTTTTGATCATTCGGTATTGTTAAAAGTTACAATTTTCTTTATTTTTTGAAACGAGGTCTCACTATGTTGTCCAGGCTGGGCTTGAACTCCTGGCCTCAGGTGATCATCCTGCCTCAGCCTCCCTCCCATAGTTCTGGGATTACAGACGTGAGCCACCAAACCTGACCAAAAATCATAATTTTCTATGTTCTCTAATGATACTTTATTCTAGGCTCCTCTAAGCATTTTCCAGATTGTGTGTTTAATACTACCAGAATGATACTCGGGAGGATCACTTGAGCCCAGGAGCTCGAGTCCAGCCTGGGCAACATAGCAAGACCCCGTCTCTTAAAAAAAATATTACCACAATGATAGATAATTGGCATTTCTGATATTAAATGTAAAATTACTATTAATTGTATAACAAATATACATCTATGAAGGTTGTTTAAATGGCCTATATGTGGGCCTGGCACAGTGGCTCACGCCTGTAATTCTAGCACTTTGGGACGCCAGGGCGGGAGGATCACTTGAGGTCAGGAGTTCGAGACCAGCCTGACCAACATGATGAAACCCTGCCTCTACTAAAAATACAAAAATTAGCCAGGTGTGGTGGTGGGCATCTGTAATCCTAGATACTCGGGAGGCTGAGGCAAGAGAATCGCTTGAACCTGAGAGGTGGAGGCAGGAGGCTGCAGTGAGCCAAGATTGTGCCACTGCACTGCAGCCTGAGCAACAGAGCGAGACACCATCTCAAAAAAAAAAAATAAAGTCTATAGGTCATTTTGAGTGCCAGCAGTTAATGTCAGTGTGTGTGTATTTGAGAGTCATTTTATATGTTACAATTTTCATACAGGGAAGGTGTGATGGAGTTCTTATTAGCAAATCACCCATTGGACTGTCCTATTTGTGACCAGGGAGGTGAATGTGATCTGCAGGTATGTAGTAGAATTCTGTCAATCTTTTTGGTTGTCTCAGATTTTAATTTTATTAGCAGCATGAGATTGACTCTTTCATAATCTACTTAAGGACCAGTCCATGATGTTTGGAAATGATAGGAGCCGATTTTTAGAGGGGAAGCGTGCTGTGGAAGACAAGAACATTGGGCCATTGGTAAAGACCATCATGACAAGATGTATACAGTGTACTCGCTGCATCAGGTAACTTTTTTTCCTTTTTTTTCTATTATAGAATATAATTGTATACTTAATAGTCACAATTTGATGAATAATAACATTGGAAAGAATGGCTACTTTTTTTGGGTGGGAGAAGAGGGATGCTGTTTCTGATATATGAATAAAATAAGTTCACTTTCATTTAGTACCAACTTCAGGTGGATTTAAAAATTAAAATCTATAAGCATTTGCTTTCACTCATAACTTGGTGAGTTGTACACATATGATTTGTACAAGTTTCTGCCTGTGTGTTACACCTCAATTAAATGCAAACATTTCATTATTTTTTATTCTAGGACTGTGCTCACCTTTAAAAATATACTCATTTCTTTTTAGTGTTTGGAAAATCATCTCTTTGTGATCATGAATAAGAAAGGAAATAATTTTGCTGGACTTGACCATTGATGACACATTTTTTATCTTGTAGGTTTGCAAGTGAGATTGCAGGAGTAGATGATTTGGGAACAACAGGCAGAGGAAATGATATGCAAGTTGGCACATACATTGAAAAGATGTTCATGTCTGAACTGTCTGGGAATATCATTGATATCTGCCCTGTAGGTGCCCTAACCTCTAAGCCCTATGCCTTTACTGCCCGGCCTTGGGAAACAAGGTATCTTTTATTTTATGACAATTTGTTTTTTTGTCCTTAATTCATTACTATTCAAAAAAATATTAAGGTTCATTTTCTTCCTGGGTTTCAGTTGTTTTGGTCTGTTGACTTTGTTTGTTTATGTAAAACCCTTTAAATAGAAGGTAAGTAGTTAGAATGGATTGAACCTGTGCAAATTAACTGTAGTTTTCTTGGAAATTAATTCTAAAGTACTCAACCACAAAATTATTTTTTTCATGTGTTCTTCCAAAGAGTTTAATAGTGTTGACATTTTAAATGTATAGTCTCCCATGTTGTTGTTTATTAAGTTTTCAACTATGAGGAATGTCATTTAGCCAGTTTCTGCTAATAGACATTTAGCTTGTATATTTCTTTATGATTACAAATCTGTAAAAAATATTGCTGTTTACACATTTCTGTGTATATCTCTCATTCTCCTGATTAAACCAAGAAATGGAGTAGATAGATGCAAGAGGTGTGATTATTTTTAAGGTTCTTAAAACATAACAAATTATCATCCAATTTTAAACTTTATACTTTTCAACTTGGGATTTGGCTTTTTGTTTCTGTGTAATTTCTGTGTCCTTACTGAGAATCTCTACTTGCTGATTCGTGGTTGTCATACATCCCCTTCAATTTTTAAATATGATTTTCTTTGGTTCTTTCAACATATTTTAATATTCTTGGTTTTATTTTTAAGTGAGGCTTCTTAGGAGTTCCCCTGTGTCTGCATAGTTTAGTAGTCAGGTATAATTGTACTTCAAACACCGTGACCTAATAAGAGTTATGTTCTTTGCCAATGGATCTGTTTGTGGATGGAGGAGCATATTCAAAGTTGAGGCTGTTTTCAAGTTTGCCCAGCTATTACTTTGCACTGGGCCCTTTGGGTCTCAGAGTTATCCAGGAGTTTATGAATAGGTTGAGCTTTCTCTGGTTTCACCTGCACATGTAGCAGCCTCTGTTAGGAATGCTTGCCGCAATTACCACTACAAACTTAGGCTGGTAAAATCTTGGCTATCCTCAGCTACGATGACCTCCAAAGTATCACCTCCACAAACAAGTTTGCCTCGTGCTCCAAGTTAAGTGAGTTGTCTCCATCTGTACCAAAGAAGTTCTCATCTTCACAGCCTGCCCCGGCCTCGAAGAAATTCCATTTTGAGGGGGTGGAGAGGAGCATAGGAGGAGCACTGAGCCCAGCCACCAGTTTTTCAGTGCATAAAAGCTTCCCACATTGTATGTGTTTAGATTTCTAAACTGCTGAAATGGTGGGTTTTGTCATTTTTGGCCAGCTTTACTTTTGCTTTTCAGTGGGAAGGTTTTTTGAGCTCCTTAATCTCCCATAGACAGAAATCCTGCCCCTCTTGTTGAATCGTCCCAGATTTGGCTAGTTGGAGCCCCTTCAAACTAGCTTCTGTGTCAGATAATAGTTTTAAAGCCTTCCTTACTGTGCCAGGAATTTATGTGTTCAAATGTGGGTGTGCCGGGAGCAGTGGCTCACACCTATAATCCCAGCTTTTAGGAGGCCAAGGTGGGAGGATTGCTTGAGACCAGTAGTTCAAGACCAGCCTGGTCAGCATAATGAGACACCGGCTCTACAAAAAATTTTTAAAATGTGGTGAGAGGATAGTTTGAGCCCAGGAGTTCTAGGCTGCAGTGAATTATGATCATGCCACTGTAGCCTGGGCAACAGAGTGAGACCCCAGGGCAAAAAAAAAGGTGGGGGGTTCTTTTATTTAATTGCAGTTCCTCTAAGCTTCATTTTTTAAAGTAATTCAGAAAGGGAATTAATTGTAAAAAAAATTTTTTGGTAAACCAGGTAACAGAAACTTTCTTTATTCCCAAAAGCACCATAGTAAACACCGTATGTGTTTCTCAGAAAGACAGAATCCATTGATGTAATGGATGCGGTTGGAAGTAATATTGTGGTTAGCACAAGAACTGGAGAAGTGATGAGGATTTTGCCACGTATGCATGAGGACATCAATGAAGAGTGGATCTCTGATAAAACCAGGTATATGCTATATTGTTTTCCTTAACTTTTACAGTTTATTTAAAGGAAATTTTATAATAATTTTGAAGAATTATCTTTTATATTTGCAAATTAGTTACTGAATATAGACTACTGGAATCTGAGTTGCTTATATAATGTGATAATACTGACTTTAATAGTCCTAGGTCAATCCCTGGATATTGTATTTACTTTGAGAAAGATATTTTTTCCTCCCACATGGAGAAATTCAAGTAGATTGATACATTCTCAACTTATTTCAGTTTGTTCATTAGAGAAAAGAAGCTAGGCTGGGCGCAGTGACTCACACCTGTAATCCCAGCACTTTGGAAGGCCGAGGTGGGATGATTGCTTGAAAAAGAAGCTGAATAGAAGAGTTTGCACAATATAATTTTGATAAAATATTTAGAGATACTCATGCTTTGTAAATAAAAATGATTTGACTTTTTTAGCTGTCAGATTTTTTTGTGTTGTAATTTTAAGATTGTTCAGTTAGCTGAAAGTATAAGAAATCAAACTTTTTTTTGTATGATTTAAGGGAAGAAATCAAACTTTCAGATGGTATTTTAGTTTTAGGTGAAGTTCATAAAATCTATTAGTTCATCTCTAAAAATATCTGGAATAATTACTTGTATCTAGGTGTTTAGATATTTGACACTTTAACCAGTACTGTATTTAAATAACATTTCTTGTTGATTTAACTTGAAAATTATAGTTACTTCTTTAGCAAGATTCCACAATGGTGTAATTTCTGTTTTCTAGATTTGCCTATGATGGGCTAAAACGTCAAAGACTTACCGAGCCAATGGTCAGAAATGAAAAAGGGCTTTTAACCTATACTTCTTGGGAGGATGCGCTCTCTCGCGTAGCTGGAATGGTAAAATTTGAAATAAATAGTGTTAAATAGTGTTTGTGATTATCAAGAAACATCTTTGCCATGAAGGGGGGGATGTATATTTCTTCCCTTTTTTACTTTTACCAAGATTATGATTTAATCTCCTTCCATTTTACAGACATCTACTGAGGACATATGCTAGATATTATGCTATTAAGGGATATAAAGACCAGAGACACATCATTCCTGCATCCTACAATCTTGTAGTAGAGAAAGTTGCACAATTCAGCAATTATTATATGCAGCTATGAGTAATTATATAAGGAGTAATATGAGTGAGAGCACGTAGGAGGAATGCCTAACTAGGACAGGCATATCAAGATGCCTTCCTTGGAGGTTGCAGTGAGCCGAGATCGCACCACTGCACTCCAGTCTGGGTGACACAGCGAGACTCCATCTCAAAAAAAAAAAAAGCTGCCTTCCTACAGAAGGTGATTCTTAAAGAAGAATCTGAGAATGAATATAAGCTTGCCAGAGTACAAGTGGAGGGAATAGTTTTCTTGTTAGAGAAAGACAACATAAAGCACTAGAGGGAAAGGCAGATACTTCAGAGGAGGTCGCATTTAAGGTAACTATAGTTCCACTTCATTCTCCAGACCTCATTTTGAAGTGCCTTTGTTCCTAAATATAAAACAGCTTCCTTCTAAGTTGATGTTATTAGCTGTGGCCCCACATAACACCTCTGCAGCTTTTCACTTTTAGATTAATTAATAATTGTTGTACAACTTTTTTTGTGTTTTTGAGATGGAGTTTTGCTGTTGTCGCCCAGGCTGGAGTGCGGTGGCGCGATCTCGATCTCGGGTCACTGCAGCCTCTGCCTCCTTGGTTCAAGCAGTTCTCCTGCCTCATCCTCCCGAGCAGCTGGGGATACAGGCGTATGCCACCATGCCCAGCTGATTTTTGTATTATTAGTAGAGATGGGATTTCACCATGTTGGCTAGGCTGGTCTTAAAGTCCTGACTGCAGGTGATCCGCCCACTTCTGCCTCCCAAAGTACTGGGATTACAGGCATGAGCCAGTGTGCCTGGGCATGTTGTAAAACTTTTAATCAGAAGTCTGTTAACTTTTTTTGTACTTGAAAACAAGTACTGTTTTATTTTCTGAACATTTCATTGTGGTCTTTGCTGCGTGTAGGTTTCTTGGTGATGCCCTTTTCATCTGTTTCTAGTTGCAGAGTTTTCAAGGCAAAGATGTGGCAGCAATTGCAGGTGGCTTGGTGGATGCTGAAGCCCTGGTAGCTCTCAAAGATTTGCTTAATAGAGTGGACTCTGACACCTTATGCACTGAAGAGGTCTTCCCCACTGCAGGAGCTGGGTGAGAAATATGAAGCTAGGATCTAGGCTTTCCTTTCTTTTTTTAGTTACAAGTTATGTATAAAATGTGACAACCTGGATTCTCCAACATATCCCCCAGTTTATTTTCATATATAGACCAAGATCAAACCAGAAGTTGTAGGAAATAGAGGAATCCACTTATCACTAAGTATCTCAGGCACAGTGGCTCACGCCTGTAATCCCAGCACTCTGGGAGGCCAAGGCAGGCAGATCGCCTAAGTGCAGGAGTTTGAGACCAGCCTGGCCAACATGGCGAAACCCCGTCTCTACTAAAAATACAAAAAAATTAGCCAGACGTGGTGGTGTGCGCCTGTAATTCCAGCTACTTGGGAGGCTGAGGCAGGAGAATTGCTTGAACCTGGGAGGTGGAGGTTGCAGTGAGCCAGGATCACGCCACTGCATTCCAGCGTGGGAGACAGAGTGAGACTCTATCTGAGAAAAAAAATAAGTATCTGAAATGTTCATTTAATTTAGAAATACTTCATAAAATTTTTTGTTTGAGAAGGCAATGGGTTTGATGATAGGAGAATATTTCATGGATTCTCTGTATGTCTTAATTTTAAAGTAAATTTGCATTTTATATATTGTATTTCTAGCACAGATTTGCGTTCCAATTATCTTCTTAATACTACAATTGCTGGTGTGGAAGAGGCAGATGTTGTTCTTCTGGTTGGTACAAACCCACGTTTTGAGGCACCACTGTTTAATGCTAGAATTCGAAAGAGGTTGGTAATAGTATTTATTCAAGGTTTAAAAATATTTATGTAATTTTTTTGTTTTATATGTGAAAAATGGCATCTTCCTAATAGTGTTAGTGGTAGTGAGACTCCAAAAGATAACTGGAAGACAATTTTTTTTTTTTTTTTTGGTGGGACGGAGTCTCACTCTGTCACCCAGGCTGGAGTGCAGTGGCAGGATCTCGGCTCTGCAAGCTCCGCCTCGAGATGGGGTTTCACCATGTTAGCCAGGATGGTCTCGATTTCCTGACCTCGTGATCCGCCCGCCTCAGCCTCCCAAAGTGCTGGGATTTCAGGTGTGAGCCACTGCACCGAGCCTTTTTTTTTTTTTAATTTTTTTAATTTTTTAGATTTTTAAAAAATTATTTTTATTTTTATTTTTTATTTTTTTGTCTTTGAGACAGAGTCTCGCTTTGTCGCCCAGGCTGGATTGCAGTGGTGCGATCTCGGCTCACTTCAAGCTCCGCCTCCCGGGTTCACGCCATTCTCCTGCCTCAGCCTCCCGAGTAGCTGGGACTACAGGCGCCCGCCCCTGCACCCAGCTTATTTTTTGTATTTTTAGTAGAGACGGGGTTTCACCGTGGTCTCGATCTCCTGACCTTGTGATCCGCCCGCCTCAGCCTCCCAAAGTGCTGGGATTACAGGTGTGAGCCACCGCGCCCGGCCTTTTTAATTTTTTAGAGATGGAGCCTTGCCATGTTGCCAGGCTAGTCTCGAGCTCCTGGGTTCAGGCCATCCTCCCACCTTGGCCTCCCAAAGTACTGGGATTACAGGCATGAACTGCCACGCCCAGTTGCAACAATTTCTAATAGGTCCGTTTTCTCCTCTCCTTGCGAGTCTTTTAAATTTACTTTATTAGCTTTTTATTTTGAAATAATTCAAGATGCTTGAAATGGTCTTTGTATACCATTTTGTATATTGTTCACATAGATTAACTGATGTTAACATCTTGCCATATTTGTATTATGATTCTCAGTGTGTGTGTATATATATATATATATATATACACACTACATATATATGTGTGTGTGAATCTAATTTTCTGAATCATTTGGAAGTTTCTGGTGGACATGGTGCCCTTTTATACCTAAATTCTCAGCGTGGATTTCCTGAGAACAAGGAGCATTCTCTTAAATAATGAAGAAATTTAGGCTGGGCGTGGTGGCTCACGCTTGTAGTCCCAGTACTTTGGGAGGCTGAGGCAGGTGGATCACCTGAGGTCAGGAGTTTGAGACCAGCCTGACCAACATGGAGAAACCCATCTCTACTAAAAATACAAAATTAGCCGGGCATGGTGGCGCATGCCTGTAATCCCAGCTACTTGGGAGGCTGAGGCAGAAGAATCGCTTGAACCTGGGAAGCGAAGGTTGTGGTGAGCCAAGATCATGCCACTGTACTCCAGCCTGGGCAACAAGAGCAACACTCCATCTCAAAAAAAAGAAATTTAGTTTTTTTGGTTTCTGAGATCTCAGTTTCGGGTCACTGTATCCTCTGCCTCCTGGGTTCAAGCAATTCTCCTGCCTCAGCTGCCTGAGTAGCTGGGAATACAGGCATATGCCACCACGTCCAGCTAGTTTTTGTGTTAGGGGTCTTGCTCTGCCACACAGGCTAAGGTATATTAGCATGATCACACCTCACTGCAGCCTTGACCTCCTGGGCTCAAATGATGCTCCCACCACAACCTCCTGAGTAGCTGGGACTGCAGGCATGCACCACCATGCCCAGCTAATTTTTTAAAATACCTTTTGTAGAGACAGGATCTCCCTATGTTGCCCAGGCTGGTCTTGAACTCCTGAGCTCAAGTGTTCCTCCTGCCTTGGCCTCTGAAAGTGCTGGGAGTAATAGACATAAGCCACTGCATCCAGCCAGAAATTTAGTTTTGATACAATATTATTTCATAAGCCTACGTTTATATTTAAATTTCATTGATTTTTTTTTTCATAATTTCTTTTATAGCAATTTTTTTGTTTCCTCAGGATCCATTCTGGAGTCATACATTACAATTAGTTTCATGACTCTTCTGGTCCCTTTTTTGACTTTTTTTTTTTTTTTTTTTTAAGAACACAAGCCAGTTATTTTCTAGCATGCTTTCTGTCTTTTAAATTTACATCTTAGAGATTTATAAAGAGGGTAACCATATAGTTTATTGTCTAAACTACGGGAGTGAAAGAGGGAATTAATAATTACATCAGGATAACAGGGAAAAAAAAAAGCATTATCTCAGACAAACCAGACTATATAGTCATTGCACTTATGACTTTTTGGAGGAACTGGAGCCATAGTTCCCTGCTGTGGAGAATAAATGTCAATAACATGGTATATTTTCATGAATTATGAAAATGTTTAAATATCCTTAATGGATAATTAAGAGATAATTGACCCTGTCATGTAAATACTGCAAAATAAAAATTACAGATTAATTCTAAAATTAAAATTTTTTTAGGCCGGGCACAGTGGCTCATGCTTATAATCCCAGCACTCTGGGAGGCTGAGGCGGGTGGATCACCTGAGGTCAGGAGTTCAAGACCAGTCTGGCCAACATGGTGAAAGCCTGCCTTCTACTAAAAATACAAAAATTAGCTGGGCGTAGAGGCAGGTGCCTGTAATCCCAGCTACTCCGGAGGGTGAGGCAGGAAAATTGCTGGAACCCGGGAGGTGGAGCTTGCAGTGAGTCGAGATTGCGCCACAGCACTCCAGCCTGGGTGACAGAGTGAGACTCTCTCTCAAAAATAAATAAATTAATAAATAAATAACTTTTATAGCTGGCTTACTAGCATTTCTTTCTTTTTTTTTTTTTTAAATTTTTTATTTTGAGGTGGAGTTTTGCTCTTGTTACCCAGGCTGGAGTGCAGTGGCCCGATCTCAGCTCGCTGCAACCTCTACCTCCTGGGTTCAAGCGATTCTCCTGCCTCAGCCTCCCAAGTAGCTGGGACTACAGGCATGCGCTACCATGTCCAGCTAATACTGTATTTTTAGAAGAGATGGGGTTTCACCATGTTGGTCAGGCTGGTTTCAAACTCCTGACCTCAATTAATCCACCTGCCTTAGCCTCCTAAAGTGTTGGGATTTACAGGTGTGAGCCACTGCGCCTGGTCTGGATAGCATTTCTACACAGCAAATTAAATCACTGAATTGCCTTGGCATGCCTTTTTGCAACACTGTTTTGAAAGGTACGTAGTAAATCATATCTGTTAAATGTATTGTCTGTGCTTTTAACATTTTGTAATAGTAAATAGATGTATCACTTAGGATTGATGAGACCAGTAACTGCTTAGCTTAGTTATTTACTTCTTAAAATGTTGTTTTTATTTCAGCTGGCTGCATAATGACTTAAAAGTGGCCCTTATAGGCAGTCCAGTGGACCTCACTTACACATATGACCACCTGGGAGACTCCCCCAAAATTCTTCAAGACATTGCTTCGGGAAGCCATCCATTTAGCCAGGTGCTCTCAACTTATGTGTATCTACTCTTGTTGATTTTTAATTATTATTATTTAAACTTAACTGTTTTTGTAATAATCCTATGTAAGTGTTAAAACTTACACCAGGTTGGGCGCGGTGGCTCACGCCTGTAATCCCAGCACTTTGGGAGTCCGAGGCAGGTGGATCACCTGAGGTCAGGAGTTCAAGACCAGACTGGGCAACACGGTGAAACCCTGTCTCTACTAAAATACAAACCAAAGTTAGCGTGCGCCTGTAGTATCAGCTACTTGGGAGGCTGAAGCAGGAGAATTGCTTGAACCCAGGAGGCGGAGGTTGCAGTGAGCCAAGATTGTGCCACTGCACTCCAGCCTGGGCAACAGAGCGAGACTCTGTCCCACCCCCAAAAAAACTTACACCAATACAGAAAAGAACATGAGGAAGAAAGTAAAACATTACCTAAAATTCCACCACCCCAAAACAGGTATTGATAAAACATCATAATCTCTCCATTTATGTAGAGAGCAAAGCAAGATGGATGAATAGTCAAACAAAAATGAGATCATACTGTACATGCAGTTTTTATTTGCCAGAGTTTAATTTTCTTGAAATTATCTGAAAAGAAATCAAAGTAAACCTGAAAGAATTGCACTTTTAACTTCATTTAAATCTTTCTTTATTACAAAAGGAGTTATTCCTTAAAATTTTACCAGTCCTTCTATTTTTGTTTCTGAGGTACATGTTTTTTTCATTTGAGTTCTTTCTTTAATTCATTTTGTTGTTGGCTTTATTGTTTTGCTTTTCCCCAAAGGTGGCTCATGGTTGCCTGTATTCCTTGAGTTCTTGCTTGCTTGAGAATGTCTATTCCTGAAGAGACAGCTTGTCAGGATGTGAAATTCCAGGGTCAGACTTTTTTTTCCCCCCTTTCTGAGCTTTATAGACACTGCCTTTTGTTAGTGAAGAAGCATGTAAACTTTATTCCTCCGCCCCGCCCCAAACCCTGTCCTGATTATCTTTTTTTTTCTTTTTCCTTGGCGGGGAGACGAAGTCTCGCTCTGTCACCCAGGCTGGAGTGCAGTGGCACGATCTTGGCTCATTGCAACCTCTGCCTCCCGGGTTCATTCTCCTGCCTTAGCCTCCCGAGTAGCTGGGACTACAGGCACGCACCACCACACCTGGCTAATTTTTGTATTTTTAGTAGAGACGGGGTTTCACCATATTGGCCAGGCTGGTCTCCAACTCCTGACTTTGTGGTCCACTCGCCTTGGCCTCCCAAAGTGCTGGGATTCTGATTATCATTCTTGAAATTCAGTAACTTCACCAAAATATGTCTTAAAGGTGAAGACATCACTATAAGACTATAGGACAGAATGTACTTTCAGTCTAAAGATACAAGGTTCTCTTTATTTTAGAATATATGTGTGGTGGTGGAGGTGATTAAAAAACTAAGGAGTTGGCCGGGCATGGTGGCTCACATCTGTAATCCCAGCACTTTGGGAGGCTGAGGTGGGTGGATCACCTGAGGTCGGGAGTTTGAGACCAGCCTGACCAACATGGAGAAACTCCGTCTCTATTAAAAATACATAATTAGCTGGGCATGGTGGTGCATGCATAATCCCAGCTACTCAGGAGGCTGAGGCAGGAGAATCGCTTGAACCTGAGAGGTGGAGGTTGTGGTGAGCCAAGATTGCACCATTGCACTCCAGCCTGGGCAACAGGAGTGAAACCCTGTCTCAAAAAAAAAAGAAAAAAAGAAAGAAACTAAGGAATTTCCGGCCAGGTGCAGTGGCTCACACCTGTAATCCCAGCACTTTGGGAGGCCAAGGTGTATGGATCACCTGAGGTCAGGAGTTCGAGACCAGCCTGGCCAACATGGTTAAACCCCGTCTCTACTAAAAATACAAAAATTAGCTGGGTATGGTGATGGGCACCTGTAATCCCAGCTACTCGGGAGCCTGAGGGTGGAGAATCGCTTGAACCCAGAAGACGGAGGTTGCAGTGAGCTCAGATCATGCCACTGCACTCCAGCCTGGGCGACAGAGCGAGACTCCATCTCAAAAAAAAAAAAACAAAAAAAAAACCAACAACTAAAAACTAAGGAGTTTCTGTTTGTCACACAAGGGGGTCTGGAGGTAGGCACATTGAAAGCTGATGCAGGCTGGGTGCGGTGGCTCATGCCTGTAATTCCAGTACTTTGGGAGGCTGAGGCGGGCGGATCACAAGGTCAGGAGTTTGAGACCAGCCTGACCACCATGGTGAAACCCCGCTTCTGCTTAAAAAAAAAAAAATACAAAAATTAGCCGGTTGTAGTGGCCTGTAATCCCAGCTACTTGAGAGGCTGGGGCAAGAGAATCACTTGAACCCAGGAGGCAGAGGTTGCAGTGAGCTGAGATTGCGCCATTGGACTCCAGCCTGGGTGACAGAGTGAGACTCCATCTCAAAAAAACAAAAAGAAGAAAGAAAAAAAAAAAAAAGCTGATGCAGTTGTCCAAGCATATCATCAAAGAGAGCCTGCCTTCCTGCTTTGCTGTCGTCAGTGCATTTGCTTGCTCACATGTGATTGTGTGTGTCCTTCTCCTTGTGGTTCCAAGATGGTTGCTTCACTTACAGTCTCAGGTGTAGGGAAGAAGGTGATGTGCAAGAGGATGAAGTAGCAAAGCACAACTTGTTTATTTTGAATAGAAAAAAAATTATGATTAAAAGATCAAAAATATTAAAAAATATTCCGTGAAAAGTCTTCCTTTCTCCTCTCTAATTCCCATCCCCATGTGATAGGTGACTACTATTTTGAGAGAACGTTTCCTTTTCTTTTTTTCTTTTTTCTTTTTTTTTTGAGACAGAGTCTTGCTGTGTCCCCAGGCTGGAGTGCAGTACGGTGGCATGATCTCGGCTCACTGCAACCTCAGTCTGCCAGGTTCAAGCGATTCTTGCCTCAGCCTCCCGAGTACCTGGGACTACAGGCGCACGCCACCATGCCCAGCTAATTTTTTTATTTTTAGTAGAGACAGGGTTTCACCATGTTGGCCAGGATGGTCTCAATCTCCTGACCTCGTGATCTGCCCGTGTCGGCCTCCCAAAGTACTGGGATTACAGGCGTGAGCCACTGTGCCTGGCCTGAGAACGTTTTGTTCTATAATAGATTTAAATACATTTTTCATTAATTCTGTTACCTTCATTAAGAACTCTTGATGTGGTGGCTCACACCTGTAATCCCAGCACTTTGGGAAGCCAATGCAGGCAAATCACCTGAGGTCAGGAGCAAGACCAGCCTGGGCAAAATGGTGAAACCCTATCTCTACTAAAAAATACAAAAAAACCCCAATTTGCTTGGCATGGTGGCGTGTGCCAGTAATCTCAGCTACTTGGGAGGCTGAGGCAAGATAATAGCTTGAACCTGGGAGGTGGAGGTCACAGTGAGCCGAGATCATGCCACTGCACTCCAGCCTGGGCAACAGAGTAAGACCCTGTCTCAAAAGAAAAAAAAACAACTCTTGACAATGCAGTTGTCGAATCTTCTTTTCTATATATGTATTTTTAAGGTCTCACTATGTTGCCCAGGCTGCAGTGCAATGGCAGAATTGTAGCTGACTGTAGCCTCAAACTCCTGGGCTTAAGCAGTCCTCCCACCTAAGCCTCCCCTGTAGCTGGGTCTGCAGGCATACACCACCATGCCCAGCTAATTTTTATATTTTTTTGTATAGATGGGGCTCATTGTGATGCCCAGTCTGGCCTCAAACTCCTGGCCTCAAGCAATTCTCCCACCTCAGCCTTCTAAAGTGTTGGGATTACAAGCATGAGCCAACCTTGCCTGGTTTTTCATATCTGTGTTTTTTTCCTTTTTCCATTTGTTTTGTATCCTGTACCCTGTCTTTCCTGTCCTTGTATTTAATCATGTTTTCTTTCTTTTCTGTCTTTTTTTTTTGTTTTTGAGATGGTCTGGCTCTGTCACCCATGCTGGAGTGCAATGGTGCTGTCTTGGCTCACTGCAGCCACCACTGGGACCACAGGTGCACACCACCATGCCTGGCCAATTTTTTGTAGAGACGAGGTTTTGCCACGTTGCCCAGGCTGTACTTGAACCTGTGGGCTCAAGTCATCCACCCACTTCGGCCTCCCAGAGTGTTGCGATTACAGGCCTGAGCCACTGCACCTGGCCTGTTTAGTTTTTTATTGTTTCTGGAATGGTATTTATTACTTGTTTGTCTTCCAGTTCTATCCTGAATTCAATGATGAAAATCTCCTTACTATATAATACTCTACAGTGTTGCTTCTTTGAGTTTTTAAGTGAGAAAGAGTGTGTTATTTTTCATTGTCTTTGAGACTATTAAAAACTATTTCTCTCAACTATTCACATTTCCTTGGCAAATTCCTCTTGTGATTAATGTATTCCTCTTTATAATATATCAGCATAATTTCCATGCTGATTCTTTGATTGTGGCCAGCTATTTATTGAAGAATGACACAAAGGATGGGTGGGAGAATGAGACGTGTATTCTATAACTTTACACGTTTTGTTTTGTTTTGTTTTTGAGACAGAGTCTCACTCTGTTGCCCAGACGGAGTGCAGTGGCACAATCTTGGCCCACTGCAACCTCCGCCTCCCAGGTTCAAGCAATTCTCGTGCCTCAGCCTCCTGTGTAGCTGGGGCTACAGGTACATAACACCGCACCTGGTTAATTTTTTTGTATTTTTAGTAGAGACGGGGTTTCGCCGTGTTGGCCAGGCTGGTCTCGAACTCCTGTCCTCAAGTGATCCACCCACCTCAGCCTCCCAAAGTGTTGGGATTACAGGCGTGAGCCACCGTGCCCAGCCTATAACTTTACATCTTATTTGCCCATCTTCTGTGAAATTTGTAGTTTCCTTTACTCTTGGGATGCATTCTCCTAGTTTTTGTCATTTAGAGTTACTATGGTTTAAAACAAAGCCTTAAAATTGTAGGTATTTAACATTGTGATCTGGTGATCATTGCTTTCCCTGCCTCCTCCTCCCTATCTGTGGCATGGTAAGTAGATGGAAGATAGTAGGCATGATACTTAAGCATAGTTTTTCCTATTCTTTAATTAACATCTGAATCTCTGGAGAGAAGTTCCCCAATTTTTCTGGGACCTGCCCATAGTTATTCTGACCACAGGATAATTTGCTAGGCTTTTTATTCTGAATAATTACTTTTAGAAAACGTGTTTTAGCTGATACTCAGGCATATTTCACAGTAGCATTGGCAAGATGCTTTGGATTAAACTAAATCTGGTTGTATATGTGTGTCTGTATGTTGGGCTAACAAATTGAAGACATTCATGTTACACCTAAGACTTGGGACAACCTATATTATAGAGGCAAATATGGTTTGGTGTTCAGCTTACTTGTAATATTTTAAAATCAAAGTTGTTTTTTTTTTTAAATAGGTCCTAAAGGAAGCTAAAAAACCAATGGTGGTTTTAGGCAGTTCTGCACTCCAAAGAAATGATGGAGCAGCAATTCTTGCAGCTGTTTCTAGCATTGCACAAAAGATTCGGATGACTAGTGGTGTTACTGGTGATTGGAAAGTTATGAATATCCTTCATAGGTTTGTTGAGTAATTGCTTTATATACTATAAATTCAAGTAATGTTGTGTATATGTATGTGTTCCTGATACACTGTTAAATTTAATTTACAAACAACATTTAGCAACATTATCCCAGTTACACATGTGAAATATAGACCTTTACTCTGTGTGAGAAGAGCCCGAGATGATAAGGAATATTTAAAATATTTGAAATAACAGTGAGTGTTGAGAAAAAAAGTGAAGTACTATAAAAATTGTTATATTAGTTACACCTTGGTTCAAAAATTGCAACAAGTTCTTTAATTAAATGATAAAAATGTAAGCTAATATGAGAATTCAGCTAAAGGATTTCTTTCTTTCTTTTTTTTTCTTTTTAATTATTTGGCTTTTTGTTTTGAGACAGGGTCTCAGTACAGTGGCATGATCATAGTCCACTGCAGCCCTGACTTCCTGAGCTCCAGCGATCCTCCCACCCCTGCCTCCCAAGTATTAAATGGCTGAAGCTACAGGCGCATGCCACATGCCCAGCTAATTTTTTGTTTTTGTAGAGATAAAGTCTCACTATGTTGCCCAGGTTGATCTCAAACTCCTGGGCTCAGGCGATACTTCTGCCTCAGCCTCCCAAACTGCTGGGATTATAAGCGTGAGCCACTGCACCTAGCCTTTATTTCAAACCATATCAATAATGCAGGTTTAATTTAGGTAAGTTGAAAAGAGACAGATATGTGCAGAAATGGAACTGATCCTTATTCTACAATGTGTAGATAATTATTACTATTTTCATGCATTTTCTTCTAGTTTTTTTCTTTACCCTGCGTAATATTTTATTTTATTTTTTTGAGACCAGAGTCTCACTCTGTTGCCCAATCTGAAGTACAGTGGCATGATCTTGGCTTACTGCAGCCTCCCCCTCCCAGGTTCAAGCGATCCTCCTGCCTCAGCCTCCCAAGTAAGCTGGGACTATTGGCATGTGCCACCACACCTGGCTAATTTTTTTATTTTATTATTATTATTATTATTATTTTTGAGATGAAGTATTGCTCTGTCACCCAGGCTGGAGCACAGTGGCACGATCTCGGCTCACTGCAACCTCCATCCCTGAAGTTCAAGCAATTCTCCTGCCTCAGCCTCCTGAGTAGCTGGGACTACAGGCGCGTGCCACTATGCCAGGCTAATTTTTTGTATTTTTAGTAGAGACTGGGTTTCACCGTGTTAGCCAGGATGGTCTCGATCTCCTGACCTCAGGCGATCTGCCCACCTCAGCCTTCCAAAGTGCTGGGATTACAGGTGTGAGCCACCACGCCCGGCCTAATTTTTTTGTTTTTAGTAGAGATGGGATTTCACCATGTTCGCCAGGCTGGTCTCAAACTCCTGACCTCAGGTGATCTGCCACCCTCGGCCTCCCAAAGTGCTGGGATTACAGATACGAGCCACTTCACCTCACAGCTGTGTAATATTTTTTAGTTACATAGGTGAAATTATACTGTGAATACAATTTTGTGTCCTGGTTTCAATAGGTTTTCATTGCCAAATGAGAATTTCCTACTATGGTCAGAAATTTTTTTCTAGAAATTGTTTGTAAATAAAAATGTTAATGGCTAATTGATATCATGAATATACTATAAATTTTTTTAGCCATTTTCTTCTTTTTAACATGTATGTTGATGGTAGTTTTTAACTTCTTAAATAATACAGTGATTCACAGATACCTTTGCACTTGAAATTATCTTCTTAGGATATATTTCTAAAAGTAGAACTATTGGGGCACACAGGATAACCATTTCTGAGCCTTTCGAAGCATGCTTCCAACTTGTTTTAGGTCCTCAGAATGGCTACTATTTCTAGATAGTTAACAAATACCAAGCTAAACCAAAACAACAACCCTGCTATTCAAAGTATATTTATTCCAGACCTCTTCTTTAAAAGATTATTTTGTGCTTATAAGAGTAATATATATTCGTAGAAAAAATTTCTATAAGGTTTTGGTTTTCTCATTATGGTTTTTGCTGAATTACAGTTTAATGAGTGGTTTTCAATTTCTCCCTTTTCATTTTTGAAATAATCTGATTTTTCTTCTTTGAATATATATGACTTATCATGTTTTATGTCTTACTTTATTGAATAAGAATCAGACTTAAAGCAATTACAGTTGGCATAAAATTTCTAGAATTATTTCATTCAATACTATGTCATGGAGAGACAGAGCGTCCTAAGAATCTGACATTTCTTTGGTTGCCATTCTCAAAACAGTAAAAGACTGCTGTTTCTGGTTTTAGCATCTATTTTAAATGGGTAAGAATGGGATTTTTTGGCCAGGTGTGGTGGCTCACACCCGTAATCCCAGCACTTTGGGAGGCCAAGACAGGTGGATCACCTGAGGTCAAGAGTTCAAGACCAGCCTGGCCAACATGGTGAAACCCCATCTCTACTGAAAATACAAAAATTAGCCGGGTGTGGTGGCATGTGCCTGTAGTCCCAGCTACTTGGGAGGCTGAAGAAGGAGAATCGCTTGAATCCAGGAGGCAGAGGTTACAGTGAGCCGAGATCACGCCACTGCGCTCCAGCCTGGGCGACAAAGTGAGACTCTATCGCCGAGAAAAAAATAAAATAAAATAAAATGGGTTTTTTGACATTGTTGAAAGGAAATTATTCCAAAAATCACATTTAATTTTTTACATTGAAAATACTGCAGTTATGGTAAAATTCCATAATTGCTTTGCAGGATTGCAAGTCAAGTAGCTGCTTTGGACCTTGGCTATAAGCCTGGGGTGGAAGCAATTCGGAAGAACCCTCCCAAGGTGCTGTTTCTCCTGGGAGCAGATGGAGGTTGTATCACACGACAGGATTTGCCAAAGGATTGTTTCATTATTTATCAAGGTAAGTATCACCTGTGACACCAGAAACAAAAGAGAGTAGTACATTATGTATGTTAGAAACCATTTAGTAATATATTTAGTGAACTGAATGTTTTCCATTTGAGAATTTTGCCTCCCCCACTCCTCCTCCTTTTTTTTTAAACAAACCACAAGTGTTATTAGTTACATAATTGATACTGCTTTTAAGAATTATTACCTGCCGGGTGCGGTGGCTCACACCTGTAATCCCAGCACTTTGGGAGGCCAGTGCGGGTGGATCACCTGAGGTCAGGAGTTCAAGACCAGCCTGACCAACATGGTAAAACCCTGTCTGTACTAAAAACATAAAAATTAGCCGAGCGTGGTGGCGGGCGCCTGTAATCCCAGCTACTCGGGAGGCTAAGACAGGAGAATCACTTGAACCTGGGAGGCAGAGGTTGCAGTGAGCCAAGATCATGCCATTGTACTCCAGCCTAGGCAATAAGAGTGACATTCCCTCTCAAAAAAAAAAAAAAAGTTAAACCAAAATATATGAACTAAATCCTGTTCCTTGGGTGCCGTGGCTCATGCTGTAATCCCACCACTTTGAGAGGCTGAGGCAGGAGGATTTGTTGAGCCTAGGAGTTCTAGACCAGTCTGGGCAACATAGGGAGACCCTGTTTCTACAAAAAATTTAAAAATTAGCTAGGCGTGTTGCTGCATGTCTGTGATCCCAGCTACTTAGGAGGCTGAGGTGGGAGGATCACTTGAGTTCAGGAGTTTGAGGCTGCAATGAGCCATGATCACGTCACTGCACTCCAGCCTGGGTGACAGAGCAATAAAAAATGTTATTTTTAATAAAATTAAAAACAAAATAAACTAAAATCCTGTTTTTAGTCCTTTAAGAAATAATCATTGTTGAGTTTTGATATGCGTACTTCATAACATCTTCATACGCATATACAAATGTGCACAAATTATATTAAACTATATATTATTCTACGATTTTCTTACACTTGATTCAGATGTTTCTAAAGGTCTTCTTTTCTGAATAACTTTTTTCTTCTGCCAGTTGTTATTAATGGGTGGCAGTGTTTCCAAATTTTTCTGTAGTTTTTCGTTTATGCCTTTTTCAGTATTACTGTCATATTCCTGTCTTTGCATCCTCCCCCATTTCAGTCTACTTTACCAAATTTCACAAACTGGTACATCTGAGCAGTTCTACTTTGTAAGCATCAGTATACTTACTTGGCTATTTTATATGTGTGTATTATATTATACATATTTGTATTTGCATAAAATAGTCTGAGAAGATACTTTTTTTTCTTTAAAAAAAAAATTTTTTTTTTTGAGATAGAGTCTCACTCTGTCACCCAGGCTGGAGTGCAGTGGTGTGATCTCGGCTCACTGCAGCCCCAGCCTCACGGGTTCAAACGATTCTCATGCCTCAGCCCTCTTGAGTAGCTGGGATTACAGGCACACACCACCACATTGGGCTAATTTTTTTGTATTTTTAGTAGAGATGCAGTTTTGCCATGTTGGCCAGGCTGGACACAAACTCCTGGCCTCAAGTCATCTGTCCACCTTGGCCTCCCAAAGTGCTGGGATCACAGGCATGAGCCACCACACCTGGCCCCCAAATGCTTTAACAATAATTTTCTTTGGGGCCGGGC
Source organism: Homo sapiens (assembly GCF_000001405.40). Taxonomy (NCBI): domain Eukaryota; kingdom Metazoa; phylum Chordata; class Mammalia; order Primates; family Hominidae; genus Homo; species Homo sapiens. Next base: position 237,475 of record NW_015495299.1, on the reverse strand, counting down.
GCGGTGGCTCATGCCTGTAATCCCAGCACTTTGGGAGGCTGAGGCGGGTGGATCACAAGGTCAGGAGATCAAGACCATCCTGGCTAAACACGGTGAAACCCTGTCTCTACTAAAAATACAAAAAATTAGCTGAGTGTGGTGGCAGGCACCTGTAGTCCCAGCTACTTGGGAGGCTGAGACAGAAGAATGGCATGAACCCAGGAGGCAGAGCTTGCTGTGAGCCAAGATTGCACCACTGCACTCCAGCCTGGGCGACAGAGCGAGACTCCATCTCAAAAAAATAATAATAATTTTCTTTGGGAAGGGAGTTGAATTAGGGTTGAGGTGGGCTTTAATTTTTATTACTTCACTACTGTTTCATTTTAGTTTTAAAAACTTTTGTGACTTTACAAAATGGGATTTAAAATGATATATACTATCTTCATGTACAGTAGAAAATCAGTTTTTAATAAAATTTTGGTTTACCATTTTCCATCTTTGTGCAGGACATCATGGTGATGTTGGGGCTCCCATAGCTGATGTTATTCTCCCAGGAGCTGCTTACACAGAGAAGTCTGCTACATATGTCAACACTGAGGGTAGAGCTCAGCAGACTAAGGTAGCAGTGACACCTCCTGGCTTGGCAAGAGAAGACTGGAAAATTATAAGAGCACTCTCTGAGGTATAATTTCTGAGTCATTTCTTAGTGATGCTACTAAAGGCATATTTGATATTTTAGCCTGTTAGAATGATTTTCAAAGTCAAGGAAGATGCCAGTCTGAAATGCAGAGATGATTTGAATAATTTCTATAGAAAACATGTATTCAGAAACAGGAATTCAAGGTTACAGTGAGCTCTCATTGCACCGCTGCACTCCAGCCTGAGGGACAGAGCAAGACCCTGTCTCTTAAAAAATAAAGGAACTTGAAATTGGTGCTTTTATTTTATTTTATTTATTTTTGAGACAGAGTTTTTCTCTGTTGCCCAGGCTGGAGTGCAGTGGCGTGATCTCAGCTTACTGCAACCTCCACCTCCCGGGCGCAAGCTTCCTGAGTAACTGGGATTACACGCATGTACCACCAAGCCTGGCTAATTTTTATATTTTTAGTAGAGATGGGGTTTCGCCATGTTGGCCAGGCTGGTCTTGAACTCCTGGGCCTCAAGCAGTCCTCCCACCTCGGTCTCCCGAAGTGCTGGGATTACAGGTGTGAGCCACTGCACCTGGCCTGAAATTGGTGCTTTTATTGTTGAAAATTGTTGACTTGTCTTTTGCCTGAAAATACATCTGTTAGCTCTTTATTGATGTAAAAGTAAGCATCCTGACTTTTAAAATAATAACACATTGTAAACTTTATGTATTTTAATAACAGGTTAGCAAAAACATTTGGATTTAGCATAGTATTGTCTCTTCATTTCATAGAGTCACTAATGTACTGACAGCTGTGAATGAATTAGAATTTTTGATATTTGTGTTCCCTGCTTAACTGCTTCCTTCATAAATGTATGTCTACTAATGGACACCAATAGGTTTTTCAGTAGTGCTGCATTATTTCACCATAGTTACAATTATCTATTATTTGATATTTTTAAGTATTAAAGCTTTTTGTTGTTTTTGGGGACCTGACATGTTGTAGATTGCTGGAATGACTCTTCCATATGATACTCTGGATCAAGTAAGGAACAGATTGGAAGAAGTCTCTCCTAATCTTGTTCGATATGATGATATTGAAGGGGCTAATTACTTCCAGCAAGCAAATGAGCTCTCAAAGGTAACAGCTCGCCTATGAGCAGTTTTCATAATGTTGTATCTACTGGTGTAACAGTACTAGTTTTCCATATTATTGTTGATCTCTTCTTTTTTGTGCAGCTAGTGAACCAGCAGCTTCTTGCTGACCCACTTGTTCCACCTCAGCTAACTATAAAAGACTTCTACATGACAGGTATGTAATTGTCAACATGACTCTGCCAAATACGAAAGGTAAGAAGTAATCAGATCACCTCATTTGGTGTTATAATTCCAATTTGTGATTGATAGTGTTTGCAATTCTTAATCTTTGAAGGTTTTCAAACATTGGAACTAACGTAAGCATATTTTCTGATTCTACTCTAGTTTTTTTGTTTCTGAAATGTAAGCAAAGTTTGAAAATCCAAGCAATTAATAGATTTTAAATATAAAATTTTGCTGTTGTAAGGAAAGTCACTGTGTAGCAATTTATGGTGAATTTTCCAAAGTGGCAAATAACTGCAGGTTTTTCTGAGAATTATAGGTGGAAGAATCAAAACATTTAAATGTGAAACATGTTAAACAGTGCTTCTGATGTAAATTGTTAGGAATGTTTTTAAGGAATGCAGACAAACTGAAACTTGTTTATTGCAGATTCTTAGAACAGTTGATACAACATCTAGGTTATGAGGTAGTTAATAGTTGATAGATTATTTTGACTAATTTTCTATCTAAAAGCACATAGAACTCTTAATTTTTTTATATAGTTTGTATCTAAGATTTTTTAAATAAGTATTTTAGTTAGATAATAAAGATTACCTTCATTGTAAAATAATACCTATGCTCAAAAGCACAACAAAAAATCACTTCTATGGTATTTATCTGCGAACTTATGAACACAAAGAAGGAAACAACAGACACTGTAGTCTACTTGAGAGTGGAGAGTGGGAGGAGGGAGAGGTGCAGAAAAGATAAGTCTTGGGTACTGGGCTTAATTCCTCGGTGATGAAGTATTCTGTACAACAAATCCCTGTGACATGAGTTTACTGGTGTAAAAAGCCTTCACATGTACCCCTGAACCTAAAAGTTTTTTTTTTTTTAAAAAAAGAAAAATCACTACCCTCCCACTATCAAGAAATAACTATAATTATTTTTAACATTTTAGTCACTCTTCCTCCAGGGACATACATATGCATTATACACATATATATTATATTAATTAACTATTGTTATTTATATGTAATTATTACTGTTTACATGTACGTGTGTGTGTGTGTGTGTGTGTATAATTTTTGAGATGAGATTTTACTCTGTCACCCAGGCTGAAGTGCAGTGGCACAATCTTGGCTTGCTGCAACCTCTGCCTCCTGAGCTGAAGTGATCCTCCCACCTCAGCCTCCTCGGTAGCTAGGACTATAGGCGCATACCACCACATCCAGCTAATTTTTGTATTTTTTGTAGAGATGGGGTTTCGCCATGTTACCCAGGCAGATCTCAAACTCCTGGACTCAAGCAGTCCACCCACCTCAGCCTCCCAAAGTGCTGGGACTACAGATGTGAGCCACCACCCCTGGCCTATATATTTTTTAGTGAAACAGAAGGTGAGATTAGGCCTGGTGCAGTGGCTCATGCCTGTAATTCCAGCATTTTGGGAGGCTGAGGGGGGCAGATGGCTTGAATCCAGGAGTTTCAGACCAGCCTGGGCAACATAGTCAGATCTGGTCTCTTTAAAAAAAAAAAAGTGAGATTATTCACTTGGGGGTTGATAGCTTTATTGAAATATAATTCATGTACCCTAAAATTTACTCATGAAGTGGACAATTCAATGTATTTTAGTACATATGCTGTTTTGTAACCTTTTTCAATAATAGTATTGTACACATTTTTCCTATATTTATTTATTTATTTATTTTTTTGAGACAAGAGTCTTGCTCTGTCGCCCAGGCTAGATTGCAGTGGTGTGATCTCGGCTCACTGCAAGCTCCGCCTCCTAGGTTCACACGATTCTCCTGCCTCAGACTCCCGAGTAGCTGGGACTACAGGCATATGCCACAACACCTGGCTAATTTTTTGTATTTTTAGTAGAGATGGGGTTTCACTGTGTTAGCCAGGATGGTCTCAATCTCCTGACCTCGTGATCCACCTGCCTCGGCCTCCCAAAGTGCTGGGATTACAGGTGTGAGCCACCGCGCCTGGCCTTTCCTATGTTTTTAATACTTTTCTATAATTTTTTAATGGCTGCATACTGGTGCACTGTCTAGCTGCTCTATAGTTATTTGATTGTTTCCAGGGATAGTTATTGAAAGCATGTGGCCAGTAAGGGGTTTATCGTTGGAATCTGTTGGTTACATATAATTATATATACTTGCATAGGGCCTTATAATCTTTTTTCCTCCTGAATATGTGCACCATTAAAGTTTTAGTATGTGCTTTTTAAAAAGTTGTATTATCAAAATGACATTTTCTTAATATCTTTCAGATTCAATTAGCAGAGCCTCACAGACAATGGCCAAATGTGTCAAAGCTGTCACAGAGGGTGCCCAGGCAGTAGAGGAACCATCCATATGCTGAAGCTTCTACTAGGATCCCAGTTTTGCCGCAGATAATTAATGGACAACTGTAGTGCAGTGATCCTTTACAGGTTTATTTCTTTGTAAAAAAAAATAATAATAATTTGAATCATGTAATATTTAAGGTTATACTATGCCTATTTGAAAATGATATTAGTTATCAACTTTGCAGTTTGAAAAACATGTATTGTGTGTAAAGGTTAAATAACAAAACTATGCAGATGCTCTTAAAAGCATTGATAACCTTTGTGACGAACATAAAGAGATCCTTAAATTATGAGTTGTTGGCTTATCTTCATAAATAATTTGTCTGTAAAATGGATGAAATGAAAAGAGGTTCAATTAAAACCTACTTTTTTCTAGTGCTAAAGAAAAGATTTAAGCACCTTGTCAAGCTGGGTAAATAGGAAAAATACATAATCATGCTCAGATATGTATCTAGGATAATTATAATTAATAATAATCATAGTAACAATGGCTAATGATAATTTAGCTTTATTATATGTGCTAAGCACTCTGGTTTTACATGCATTATCTTCTTTTGTTCTTGCTACAACCCTGTGAGATAGTAGTATTATCTCATTTTACTGATGAAGACTGAAGCCTAGGTATATTAAATAGCTTGCCCAAGGCCACACAGCAAAAGTCACCAACTCAAACCTACTTCTTATTTACTCCAAAGCCTGTTGTTCTTAACTGCAACATATTATTTCGTCTCATTAATGTTGATTCTATAGGTTGTTACTTCTAAAAATTAGTATTGAGTTTAATGGTGAACACATTTTTCTATTTTCTCTTGAATCTGCTTCTATAATGTCATGGTGATTTATGTGGCTTTTTTTTTTTTATAAGTTATACATGTATGCATGTATACTTATGAGACCTCCCTTGGAATGAGGGAGGTCTCAAGAGATATAATTTAGATTCTCATTGATGTTCTGTATTCATTATCCTAACACCATCTGTAGTGTTAAATCAACTAAATTATTTCAGCAATAGGAGACAAAACAACCAGCTTTCATAATTTTTAATTGTCAAAACCAAAAGGAATCAGAATAAGGATCACTGAGAATTTAAAAAAATAAAAAAGGAAGTAAAAATTTTACAATTAGGAGATAATTAAAAATAGATAATTTTTTTTTTTAATCTAAGGTTGGGTGTGGTGGCTTACACCTGTAATCCCAACACTTGGGGGGCCAAGGTGGGTGGATCGCTTGAGCCCAGGCAGTTGGAGACCAGTCTGGGCAACATGGTGAAACCCCATCTCTACAAAAAATACAAAAATTAGCTGGGTGTGGTGGTGTACACCTATAGTCCCAGCTACTCGGAAGGCTGAGGTGGGAGGATCACCTGACCCAGGAGGTTGAGGCTGCAGTGAGCCGTGATTGCGCCACTGCATTCCAGCCTGGGCAACAGAGCAAGACTTTGTTTCAAACAAACAAACAAAACTATGTTCACAATTTATTTGTTTTGTAATCCTTATTCTTTTCTGCTTTCACTAAAGACTCAGCCCAAGTATAGGATGCCCTTTTTCCCTTTGTTTTTTTTTTTTTTTTGAGATGGAGTCTTACTCTGTCACCCAAGGCTGGAATGCAGTGGCATGATCTTGGCTCACTGCAATCACCACCTCCCTGATTCAAGCGATTCTCCTGCCTCAGCCTCCCCGGTAGCTGGGATTACAAGCGCACGCCACCACACCTGGCTAATTTTTGTATTTTTAGTAGAGACAGGGTTTCACCAATTTGGCCAGGCTGGTCTTGAACTCCTAACCTCAGGTGATCTACCTGCCTTGGCCTCCCAAAGTGCTGGGATTACAGGCGTGAGCCACCGCGCCCAGTCTAGGATGTCGTTTTTCTGATACAACAAAGGATAAGGTTTTAGAATAATAGTATGTTACAATATCTTTAAAAACAGCAGGTGCAGTGGCTCACACCTGTAAGCCCAGCATTTTGGGGGTTCAAGGCAGGAAGATCAGTTGAGGCCAGGAGTTCAAGACCAGCCTGGACTGCATAGCAAGATCCTATTTGTACAAAAAAATGTAAAACTTAAAATTGCACAAAATTTGTCACCTGTACCAGCTTTTAGAACTGTTTATCTTATCCTCCTCAGTGATACATCATGAAGTTGTGTGCTTTGCCTAAAATGCCCAGTTACCTGAAATTGTATAAATTCTTGCCAAAAGTGTTTGAACTTAATACAAACTTCCCATCTCTTACCTCTTAGCACTGTGCTCATCTTGAGGGGACATAGTCCCAATTTTGTATTTTATATAATACTGTTAATGAATATGTGTAGACTTCATATGGTTGTGGGTAAGAGAATACTGCATTCAGATAGAAAAGATGCTATATAGCTAAGTTGATCCAGGATCCTTGGGCTACCTGCTAGGCAGCTTGTGGTGAACAATCATAATCTCTAAAAAATACCTTGTCTGGACCGGGCGCGGTGGCTCACACCTGTAATCCCAGCACTTTGGCAGGCTGAGGCGGGCAGATCATTGAGGTCAGGAGTTTGAGACCAGCCTGGCCAACGTGGTGAAACCCTGTCTCTACTAAAAATACAAAAATTAGCCAGGCATGGTGGCACATGGCTGTAATCCCAGCTACTGGGGAGGCTGAAGCAGGAAAATCGCTTGAACTGAGAGTCAAGGCGGAGGTCGCGGTAAGCCGAGATCACACCATTGCACTGCAGCCTGGGTGAAGAAACAAGCCTCCCTCTCAAAAAATAAATAAATAAATAAATAATACCTCCTCTGGGATAAGTAGTGCTCCGTCTGTCTCATGGGCACATATTAGTGTCGTAATGCCAAATACTAAGGTTATTGTAAGCATAAACATTGAAGATAATTGCTAGAGAAAAATAGACTGAAAAAGATGTAAGAAAAATACACGTAGATGAGAGTAACCTGTCTGGTGGAATCATGACATTCTAAGCAGTGAAGGAATCACCAATGAGAAAATCTACAAAGGCTCAAGATCAAGTCTCTTTAGGTGAATAAGGCAATCTAGAAAGACCTTGGAATAATAATACCATTTCCTGAGGACCTTCTAAATAAGTGCCATTAAAGCTTTAAATACATTAAGACTATTCTTCACAAAATCTCTGCTAATAGTAGGTATTAATTGAGACTCAAGAAATATCAAATAACTTATTTATGGCTACACAGCTAGATACTAATGGCAGGAGTGTTTAATTAGAAGTACTTTTACTATCCCAGGTTGCCTCAAATGAAAACATTTTGGACAGCAATGTAAGGTGAATAGCTGAGCATGATGGCACAAGCTATAGCCCCAGCTACTTGGGAGGCTGAGGCACAAGGATTGCTTGAGCAAATGAGTTGAGTCCAGCATGGACAACTGTATTCCTGCAGCCTGCTTGTATTCCTCTCCTCAAAGTGCTTTTTCCTTCTCTGCCACATGACTAGTCTGTGAATTTTCCAAACTTCTACGCTCTGCTTCCCTTTTAAATATGTTCCAACTTTAAGTTATTTCTTTGCTTCCATATCTGATTGTAGGCTGCTAGCATCAGCCAGGCCACATCTTGAATGCTTTGCTGCTTAGAAATTTCTTCTGCCAGATACCCTGATACCCTAAGTCATCACTCTTAAGTTCAAACTTCCACAGATTCCTAGGGCCTGGACACAATGCACCCAAGCTATTTGCTAAAGCATGACATAGATGTACCTTTATTCCTGTTCCCAATAACTTCCTCATTTCCATCTGAGACCTCATCACTCTGGACTTCACCATATGTCTATCAGCATTTTGGTCACAACCACTTAACTAGTCTCTAAGTTCCAAACTTTCCCTCATCTTTCTGTCTTCTGAGCCCTCCAGATTCTTCCAACCTCTGCCTGTTACCCAGTTCCAAAGCTGTTTCTACATTTTCCAATATGTATAGCAGTGCCCCACTGTCAGTACTAATCTGTTTTAATCTGTTTGCATTACTGTAAAGGAATATCTGAGATTGGGTAATTCTTGCAAAAGAGAGATTTAATTGGCTTACAGTTTCTGCAGGCTGTACACAAAGCATGGCACCAGCAGCTGCTTCTGATGAGGGCCTCAGGAAGCTTACAATCATGGTAGAAGGCAAAATGGGAGCGAGCATATCACATGGTGAGAGAGGGAGCAAGAGAGAGGAGGAGGTCCCAGACTCTAAACAACCAAATTTCACATGAACTAAGATCTCACTCATCACCAAGGTGATGGTGCCAAGCCATTCATGAAGGATTTGCCCCATGATTCTATACCTCCCACGAGGCCCTACCTCCAGCATTGGGGGTTACATTTCAACATGAGATTTGGAAGTGACAGCCATCCAAACCATATCAGCAACATAACAAGACCCCCAACTCTTAAAAAAAAAAGTTGAATATATATCCAAAAATATCTTGAATTCCATATGGAAAGCCTCCCCCCTCAAATTTGTAGTAAATTGTATTATAATGAATACATTAATTAAAAATATACTTGGCCTGGCACAGTAGCTCAAGCCTGTAATCCCAGCACTTTGGGAGGCCGAGGCAGGCGGATCACCTGAGGTCAGGAGTTTTCGAGACCAGCCTGTCCGACATGGTGAAACTCTGTCTCTACTAAAAATACAAAATTAGCCAGCCATGGTGGCATATGCCTGTAATCCCAGCTACTCACTCAGGAGGCTGAGGCAGGAGAATCACTTAAACCCAGGAGACGGAGGTTGCAGTGAGTCAAGATTGCACCGTTGCACTCCAGCCTGGGTGACAGAGTGAGACTCTGTCTGAAAAAAAGTAAAAATTAAAAAATATATTTGACAATACCCAGTACCAATTTATTGTTTGTTGTTGACATTAACATTTTCTTTAAGAGTATTTCTTCATCTGTAAAATGAGGATAAAAATTGTAAAATTGTACCTACTTCCAGCCTCATAGAATTGTTTTGATGATTACATCAGAAAGCTTGTAAAAACCTTAGGCCTGTTTCCTGACATATACTAAATGCCCCATGTGCTAACTGAGGATGATCATTGTAGGAAAATTTCATAGACTATGAGGGAAAGCCATGCCTAAAATAATCTCCAGCTTATTAAGAAGTGCATTCCTTTTTGTTTCTTTGTTTTATCTTAGATTGAGTCTCACTGTATTGCCAGTCTGGAGTGCAGTGGCGCAATCTCAGCTCACTGCAACCTCCACCTCCTGGGTTCAAGCGATCCTCCTGCCTCAGCCTCCTGAGTAGCTGGGACTACAGGAGCACACCACCACGCCCAGCTAATTTTTGTGTTTTTAGTAGAGGCGGGGTTTCACCATGTTGGGCAGGATGGTCTCAAACTCCTGACCTCAGGTGATCCACCCGCCTCAACCTCCCAGAGTGCTGGGATTACAGGCGTGAGCTATCCGTGCCCAGTCAATTTTTGTATTTTTAGTAGAGATGAGGTTTCACCATATTGGTCAGGCTGGTCTTGAACCCCTGACCTCAGGTGATTCACCCGCCTCAGCCTCCCAAAGTGCTGGGATTCCAGATGTGAGCCAGCGCACCCAGCCTGGCCATCTTTTATAAAAAGATGAAGATGTCAGAATTCCCTAATAAGATTCTGGCTCTGTTACCCAGACTGGAGTGCAATGCATGGCATGATCTCAGCACACTGCAACCTCCATCTCCTGGGCTCAAGCCATCCTCCCACTTCAGTCTCCCAAGTGGCTGGGACTACAGGCACACGCCACCACACCTGGCTAATTTTTGTATTTTTTGTAGAGACGAGGTTTCGCCATGTTACCCAGGCTGGTCTTAAACTCCTGAGTTCAAGTGATCCACCTGCCTCAGCCTCCCAAAGTGCTGGGATTACAGGCATGAGCCACTGTACCCGGCCCCTAATAAGTTTTAAATAACCAATATTTTAAAATATTTTAATAGTTACATAGCACTTTAGTTTGCTGATTTAATTTATCCCAAGGGACAAGGATGTTAATGAGAAAACTGACTAGATTTCAGATCACAGATTTTAAGAGAACAAGGATCTCAAAACCAAATACCCTCTGCTTAAAGTGTTTTTTGTGTTTTTCACTACTGAAAATGTTTAGAGATTGACTTACCTATTGCTGATACTCAAAACATCTGATATCTTAATATTTTTAAATAACTCACTAAAAGCATATGTTGAAAATGGCAATGTATAGTCTGAGACTGGTGATTAGACTGGACTAAAAGCATATGTTGGAAATGGCAAATATATGATCTGAGACTGGTGATTAATTTACAGTATTGGCACCTAAAGAGATACTGAGATGAATAACTTATTAATTTCCTTCTTAAAATCATAATTTTGGATCTGTAAAGGACTATACAAAAAAAAATTTTAGTATTATACCTGCATTTTATAATTGTGGAAATGGAGGCCAGAAAGAATAAGAGGCAAGTTAGGGGCAGATCTTGGGTTTGGATCAGCTCTTCTGATGCCTGGTTCTGTGACATTACAAAGCCTGAAATTCAGCTCCAACATCTATTAAACATTTGCAGAGTATCAGCTGGGTGCGGTGGCTCTCATAAGGCCAGGAGTTCAAGACCAGCCTGGCCAAGATAGTGAAACCCCATCTCTACTAAAAATACAAAAATTAGCCGGGCATGGTGGCAAGACACCTGTAATCCCAGCTACTCTGGAGGCTGAGTCAGAGAATTGCTTAAACCTGGGAGGCGGAGGTTGCAGTGATCCCAGATCGCGCCACTGCGCTCTAGCATGGGCGACAAAGCGAGACCCCATCTCAAAAAGAAAAACAAAATTTTTTTGCAGAGTATCTACTGTGTGTCAAGTACATTACCCAAGACTACAAAGAGAAATACAATTTAGCTAATGTCCTCAAGAAGCTAACAGTATACTAAAAGAGATATGTAGGCATCAATTATAGTAATGACATAACATATTCTAATAGAGGTAAGTACATAACACAGTGGGCATGTCTAGTTGTCTTTGTTTCTGCTGTTAAAACAGAATATCACAGACTGGGTGATGGGTTGATTGATTGACTGATTGAGGCAACTCTGTCACCCAGGCTGGGGTTCAGTGGCATGATCACAGTTCACTGCAGCCTCAACCTCCCTGGATCAAGCAATCCTCCTGCCTCAGCCTCCTGAACAGCTGGAACTACAGGTGTGAGCCACCATGCCCCACTAATTTTTATTTATTTATTTTTTTTTTCTGAGACGGAGTCTCAGTTTGTCGCCCAGGCTGAAGTGCAGTGGCACAATCTCAGCTCACTGCAACCTCCACCTCCCGGGTTCAGTTTTCCTGCCTCAATCTACTAGGATCTAGCTAGGATTACAGGTGTGCGCCACCATGCCCAGCTAATTTTTGTATTTTTAGTAGAGACGGGGTTTCACCATGTTGGTCAGGCTGGTCTCAAACTCCTGACCTCATGATCTGCCCACCTCGGCCTCCCAAAGTGCTGGGATTACAGGCGTAAGCCACCGCGCCCAGCTAATTTTTAAAAATATTTTATAGAGACAGGTCTCACTATGTTGCCCAGGCTCGTCTTGAACCCCTGGGCCCAGGCGCTCCTCCCACCTTGACCTCCCAAAGTTCTGGAATTACACATGTGAGCCAACACACCAGGCCCAGACTGGGTAATTTATAAAGAAATTTACTTCTGCCCACACCGCCCCGCCTCCCCGCGCGAGTGGCTGAGGCGTAGCGCTGCCATCCCCGCACCCCTGGGAACATGGCGCTGCGAGTGGTGCGGAGCGTGCGGGCCGTGCTCTGCAGCCTGCACGTGGTCCTGGCACCTGCCGCGCCCTGCCTATCGAGGCCCTGGCAGCTTGGGATGGGCGCCGTCTGGTTACTGTAATCTGCCTGAAGTTGGGACAAAATTGAACAAACAAGATGAGTTTGGTGCTTTGGAGAGTGTGAAAGCTGCTAGTGAACTCTATTCTCCTTTATCAGGAGAAGTAACCGAAATTAATGAAGCTCTTGCAGAAAATCCAGGACTTGTAAACAAATCTCGTTATGAAGATGGTTGGCTGATCAAGATGACACTGAGTAACCCTTCATAACTAGATGAACTTATGAGTGAAGAAGCATATGAGAAATACATAAAATCTATTGAGGAGTGAAAATGGAACCACTAAATAAGCTAGTATGAAATAACGCAACCCAGCAGAGTTGTCCTAAATTAGTGGTGGATAGAAGACTTAGAATAGCAACTTTTAGCATTACCCATGGGAAAAAAAAACTACTGTTAACACTGCTAATGAAAGAAGATGCCTTTTAACTTTCTAATGATTGTAGATAAACATAATATGTGTCTTTTTCACAACATCCTATGATTTTTAGACTAGGCTCTAGTATTCATGAAATTATCCATGAAATTATCCATGGTAAAAATTAGTTACAAAAATTACATAATTCAAAGATAATGTTGTTATTCTTAAGCCTTATATAATATTGTAACTTGTGTATGTCCATACCTGGACTTGGGATGAAATACTTAATGATCTTTCCATTGGAAATAACTGGGAGTGAAGAAGTTTTTGTTGCTTGTACAGTGTCAGATGAAGAACAACACTATCTTAATTTTGCAATACACTGCATTTGCTGGTGCTGTTTTTATATAGTGAAGCAACAGCTGTACAGCAAAATAATAAAATACTCACTTCTTCGTTAAAAAAAAAAAAAATTTACTTCTTACAATTCTGGAGGCCAGGAAGACCATGATCAGGTGCCAGCATCTGGGAAGGGCCTTCTTGCTGTCCTCCCATGGCAGAAGATGGAAGGGCAAGGGAGAGCTAACATGCTCCCGCAAACCCTTTTTATAATGGCATCAATCAAATATGAGGCCAGAGTCCTTGTGACCTAATCATCTCCCAGAAGGCTCCGCCTCCCAACCCTGTTGCATTGGGATTAAGTTTCCAACACATGAATTGTGGAGACAACACATTCAAAACATAGCATTCCACACCTTGGGCTCCCCAGATTCATGTCCTCACATGCAAAATAAATTCATTCCATCCCAATAGCCCCTAAAAAGTCTTAACTTGTTCCAGCATCAACTTTAAAGTCAAAGTCCAAAGTCTCATCTAAATCAGATATGAGTGAGACTCAAGGCATGATTCATCATGAGACAAAGGATGTACATTTGCAATGTTTGTCATGTCAGACAAAACAAAAATATGTAAATATCCATCAATAGGGAACTGCTGAAAAATTTTTTTGTATAATCATAAAATGAAACATGCAGATGTTTAAACCAATGAGCTAGATCTCAACGTGCTGATATGGAAAGTGCTTCAGAATGTATTAAGGACATAAATTAAGTGTACAATAATGTGTGTGTGTGTATATATGTATATGCTTACGTGTGTATGGAAAGTATCTCAGCAGATACAATAAAAACTTAATTGTGATTACCCCTGGATCAATTAACATGTGGTATAGTATAAGGAAATGAATTTTATACCTTGATCAAACATTTGAAAAATTTTACAATATACTGCTTTATAATTTTTAGAAACAACATATTGTGGCCAAGTGCGGTAGCTCACGCCTGTAATCCCAAAGGCCAAGGCGGGCAGATCACCTGAGGTCAAGAGTTTGGGACCAGCCTGACCAACATGGAGAAACCCCATCTCTACTAAAAATACAAAATTAGCCAGATGTGGTGGTGCATGCCTGTAATCCCAGCTACTTAGGAGACTGAGGCAGGAGAAACGCTTGAACCTGGGAGGTGGAGGTTGCGGTGAGCTGAGATCACACCATTGCACTCCAGCCTGGGCAACAAGAGCGAAATTCCATCTCAAAAAAAAAATTGTTTAAATGAAGAATCTGTAGGAAAACAAAATGTTGATAAAAAGTAGTCCAGGCACGGTGGCTCACGCCTGTAATCCCAGCACTTTGGGAGGCCGAGGCAGGTGGGTCACCTGAGGTCAGGAGTTTGAGACCAGCCATAGCCAACATGGTGAAACTCTGTCTCTACTAAAAATACAAAAAATTAGCCGGGCATGGTGGCATGCGCCTGTAGTCCCAACTACTCAGGAGGCTGAGGCAGGAGAATTGCTTGAACCCAGGAGATGGAGGTTGCAGTGAGCCGAGATCACACCACTGCACTCCAGCCTGGATGACAGAGTGAGACTCTCTCAAAAAACAAAACAAAACAAAACAAAAAAATACAAAAATTAGCTGAGCATGGTGGCACACGCCTGTAATTCTAGCTACTCAGGAGGCTGAGACAGCAGAATCACTTGAACCCAGGAGGCGGAGGTTGCAGTGAGCCAAGATCGCACCACTGCACTCTCGCCTAGATGACAGAGTGAGACTCTATCTCAAAAAAAAAAAAAGTAAAAATATAAGTATACAAAATCTTATGCATGGTATGTGTGGTAGGAAGACTCTAAAATGGCCTCAATGATCCCTGCCTCCTGGGATGACCTTGGGTAATCCGCTACCCTTGAGTGTGGGCTGAACTTACTTCTAATGAATAAGGATGTCGCTACTGAGATTAGGTTTTAAAACCTAATTCTACTGAGATTAGGTTTTAAAACCTAATTCTACTGAGATTAGGTTTTAAAACCTAATTCTTCTTGGGTTTCGTTTTTGGGTTCTCTATGGTTCTCCCACGCTTGATCACCACCTTCCATGTTCTGAGGTCCCATAGGCAGCTTCCTCCTTGGTCTTGAGGAATACTCTCATGCTCAGAGGGGCATCCTGTGGTAAGGAAGGGGCCTACCAGCAACCACGTGAGTGAGCTGAATCCTTTGGCCTCAATAGAGTTGAGATGACTGCTGCCCCAGCTGACAGCTTAACTGCAACCTGAAATATCTTCAGTCAGAAGCACCCAACCTCATGCTTCTGGATTTCTAGCACACAGCAACTGTGAGATAATAAATGCATGTTTTTAGTCACTAAGTTTTGGATTATTTTGTTATGCAATAATAGATGACTAATATATCCTGATTATAACTTTGCAAAAGCATATGCCAGGATGACCCCCATCCAATGACTGATACCTGTGGAGGTATAAAGGTCTAGCCATCTCAGCCCAATGAGGGACAATTCTGAAGGACCACTTTAGCTCCTGACCTCTCTGTGGGGTTGGCTGAGGCTGCCATTGAATCTGCATTGCAGCTCAACTTTTCCTTTTGCCCGCTCTTGCTTTTGTCCCCTCCCTTACACAGGTGTTGACTCCCAGGGAACGCCTTAATAAATATTCTGCATGCTAAACTGCTCTGAGTCTGCTTCCTAGGGAATCCAATCTGTGACAGCCGTCCTTAATATCTGTGTACCCCAGGTCGGTGTGCCAGAAAGAAGCGGTGAGGGAATGCAAGCGGAGAATGAGCACTTAACATTTTATTGATATGACTTGGAAATTGCATCTTCCATTCACATACCCTACACAGGACTTACAGCCACGTTCACCCGTAAGTGAGGAGGCTGGGAAATGCAGTATCTAGCTGGGCAGCTATCTCCCCAACTAAAACACACAGATTCTGAGAGGTGTTCCACTTACCTATTGCTGCACAACAAACTACCCCAAAACTTACTGATGTAAAACAACCATTTTGTTAGGTTCCTGAGAGTCCATGGGTCCAGAATACAGAAAGGGCACAGCAGTTAGGGGGGCAACTCTTCTCTGTTCTACAAGGCCAGGGCCTCAGCTGGATGACTGGAATATTTAGGGATGACTCAAACAACTAGGGACTGAAGAAGTTTGAACAGTTCTGGCTGGAGGATTCAGTTCCCACATGGCATCTTCACTCGTATGTTCAGCTCCTAGGCTGGAATGGTGGAATGACATGATCAGATGGGATTGCCTTCCAGAAAGGATCTTCCTGTGGCCTATTCAGCAAGTCAGCCTCTGGTTAGTTGGACTTCTTATAGGGTAGCTCAAGGCTCCAAGGGCAAGGTAATTCTTAGAGATCACAGAGGAAGCTGCGAGACTTTTTATGACTTAACCTCAGAAATTATATGACATCACTTCCATTGAATTTTATTGGTCAAGCCAGGCTCTGAACCCACCAGGATTCAAGTGGGGGAAACATACACCTCACCTCTTGATGAGAGGAGTATGAAAGAATTAAAACTGCCCTAACGAAAGAATAGATATTAGTTCTTGCTAGAGCCCTGTAGTATGTATCACAGTGGTAAAGAGGGACATAAAAAGAGAAAACAGGCTGGGCACCATGGCTCACGCCTGTAATCCCAGCATTTTGAGAGGCCAAGGTGGGAGGATTGCTTGAGCCCAGGAGTTGGAGACCAGTCTGGACAATGTAGTGAGACCTCATCTCTACAAAAAATTTTTAAAAAATTAGCCAGGCATGGTCGCATGTGCCTGTAGTCCCAGCTACTTGGGAGGCTGAGGCAGGAAGATAGTTTGAGCCTGGGAGTTCAAGGTTGTGGTGAGCCTTGATGATGCCACTACACTCCAGCCTGAGTGACACAGTGAGACTTTGCATCAAAAAAAAGAGAAAACAGACAATAATACATTAAAAATGAAACCTCTGTAATTTATCAATCTATAACTATTTTCTCATCACTTACCGCATACCAAACTCTACTGCACTTGTGTCCAGTATAAAGTTGGTGAGTCTTCTGTTGTATTTAGGATAGAGTTGAGGCCCTTCCCTTCGTTTCAAATTATTTAAGCTTTTATTTTATTATATCTTCCTGAGTGAGGTTCTTGCTCTGCCCAGGCTGGAGTGAAGTGGCAGGATCATGACTCACTGCAGGCTCAAACTCCTGTACTCAAGTGATCCTCCTGCCTCAGCCTCCCAAGTGGCTGGGACTACAGGCATGTACTATGATGGCCAGCTAATATTTTTGTTTGTTTATTTGTTGTTTGTTTTTTCTTTTCTTTTCTTTTTTTTTTTTTTTGAGATGGAGTCTCACTCTGTTGTCCAGGCTGGAGTGCAATGGTGTGATCTTGGTTCATTGCAACCTCCGCCTGCTGGGTTCAAGGGATTCTTCTGCCTCAGTCTCCCAAGTAGCTGGGATTACAGGTGTGCACCACAACACCCAGTTAATTTCTATAGTTTTAGTAGAGATGGGGTTTTGCCATGTTGGCCAGGCTGGTCTCAAACTCCTGACCTCAAGTGATCTGCCTGCCTCAGCTTCCCAAAGTGCTGGGATAACAGGCGTGAGCCACTGCCTCCAGCCTGTTTTGTATTTTTTGTAGAGACAGGGTTTCACCATGTTACCCAGACTGGTCTCCAACTCCTAGGCTCAAGTGATACACCTACCTCAGCCTCCCAAAGTGCTGGGATTACAGGTCTGAGCCACCATCCCTGGCCTTTTTAAGCTTTTAAATATAGTTCAAGAACCTTGGCACATAATTGTCCAGTCTCTGCTGCTATAGAGTAGTTAAGTACTAGGCCCAAATGAAGTAATATTCCTCAAATAACATATTTAGTATTATAGTTTCAGTAAAATGGTACTATAGTTTGAGTACAGGGGTGAAAGCCAAACTAGTTTTACAGTTTCTCCTGTTTCATTTCCGCTTTATGAGATTTACTGTATCCTTCAGCAACATAAGTAACCTCCCTGCCAGACTATGTACTGTACATTATTAATATAAATTATTTTCTGAATTAAAGAAAGTGTCAAGTCACAAGGCAAACTAAGACAGAAACTGAGCCTCTTGAGATCTTTAAACCCTTCCAAGACTTTGGGATTTTCTTCATGTTCCTGTGGGTAGGGGGACCTTGCCCCATTGTTGTAGAACAAAAGCATCTACTTTGCTGATGGGAAGTCCTGGGATAGTGTTGAAGTCTAAAAGAAACAAGAAAGCATGACTGAATTTCACTAATCTCAATTTTCCCTGCCAAGAAGAATAAAGGCCCTCCCAAGTTTGCCTGTTGGCTTCTTTTTTCTTTTCTTTTCTTTTCTTTTCTTTTTTAGACAGAGTCTCACTCTGTTGCCCAGGCTGGAGTGCGGTGGTGCAATCTCGGCTCACTGCAAGCTCCGCCTCCCGGGTTCATGCCATTCTCCTGCCTCAGCCTCCCCGGTAGCTGGGACTACAGGCGCCCGCCACCACACCTGGCTAATTGTTTTGTATTTTTAGTAGAGACGGGGTTTCACCGTGTTAGCCAGGATGGTCTCGATCTTCTGACCTCGTGATCTGCCTGCCTCGGCCTCCCAAAGTGCTGGGATTACAGGCGTGAGCCACCGCGCCCTGCCTGCCTGCCTGCCTGCTCGCTCTCTCTCTCTCTCTCTCTCTCCCCCCTCCCCTCCCCCACCCTTCCCTCTTTCTCTCTTTCTTTTTCTTTCTTTCTTTTCTTTCTATCTTCTTTCGAGTCTCACTCTGTTGCCCAGGCTGGAGTGCAGTGGCACGATCTCAGCTCACTGCAGCCTCAGCCTCCCAGGTTCAGGCAATTCTCCTGCCTTAACTTCCCGAGCAGCTGGGATTAAAGGCGTGGGCCACCACGCCTGGCTAATATTTGTATTCTTATTACTAATGAGACAGAGTTTCACCATGTTGGCCAAGCTGGCCTCAAACTCCTGACCTTAAGTGATCCGCCAGCCTCAGCCTCCCAAAGTGCTGGGATTATAGGCATGAGCCACTGTGCCCCACCTTTTCTTTTATCTTTAATTTTTTTTTTTTTTTTTGAGACAGGGTCTTGCTCTGTCACCCAGGCTGGAGTCCAGTGGCACGATCACAGCTCATTGCAACTTCAACCTTCCAAGTTCAAGTGACCTTCTTACCTCAGCCTTCCGAGTAGCTGGGACTACAGGTGTATGCCACCATGCTTGGCTATTGTATTTTTTTGTAGAGATAGGGTCCCATTATGTTGCCCAGACTGGTCTCAAACTCCTGGGCTCAAGTGATCTGCCTGCCACAGCCTCCCAAAGTGCTGAGATTACAGGCATGAGCCACCATGCCTGGCCTGTTTCTTTTTTCTTTTAAGACTGGGAGAAGGCCAGGCGCGGTGGCTCACGCCTGTAATCCCAGCACTTTGGGAGGCCAAGGCAGGTGGATCACGAGGTCAGGAGTTAGACACCAGCCTGACCAACATGGTGAAACCCTGTCTCTAT
The DNA here is from genome assembly GCF_000001405.40 of Homo sapiens. Classification (NCBI taxonomy): domain Eukaryota; kingdom Metazoa; phylum Chordata; class Mammalia; order Primates; family Hominidae; genus Homo; species Homo sapiens. Next base: position 218,217 of record NW_015495299.1, on the reverse strand, counting down.
TAAAAATACAAAACAATTAGCCGGGTGTGGTGGCGGGCACCTGTAGTCCCAGCTACTGGGGAGGCTGAGGCAGGAGAATAGTGTGAACCCAGGAGGCAGAGCTTGCAGTGAGCCGAGATTGCGTCACTGCACTCCAGGCTGGGTGACAGATCGAGACTGCCTCAAAAAAAAAAAAAAAAAGGCTGGGAGCAACCTAGCCTTGATCTGAGGTATATCGTTATGTGGATAAAGTTAAATAATAATAGAACATATGCCTTTCTGTAGCTCCTCCAGCTACAATTCCCATAAAGCATAAAGTGGAAATGTATTGTGTACTTAGCAGGAACTAAACAGCCACACCCTTTCATGGGATGGGGCTTATTTTGTATCTGCAAACCTGGGGGAAATGGAGTAAGGGAAGGTGTATGCGTGGGCAGCTGCATTCCCTTGGGAAAATGGGGTTATTCCTCCGTAACTCCTGTGTGTGTCCTCTGTGACCGTTACTCTCTCCTTGTTTATCCATCACTCTCCTAGCCAAGTGCATGTGTCAATCTTTTTTCAAACCTTTTAGTTCCATATGAGATGGGATGGGCTCCTTACTCCTTTTACTCCCCATATCTCTGATGGTTTTCCTCTAATGTGCTTACCTAATAATTTCCTCTCACATCATTCCCAGTCATACATGAAGTGCATCTTCTACAGGTTCATTGACATCGTGTGTATTATAGAAGTGATAAACAACTATTAAAAGTTTACTTTGTCTGCACATCCTTCATTTGGACTTGACTTATAAAATATATTGCCCTAGCCAGACGTGGTGGCTCATGCCTGCAATCCCAGCACTTTGGGAGGCTGAGGTGGGTGAATCACCTGACATTAGGAGTTTGAGACCAGCCTGGCCAACACGATGAAATCCCATCTCTACTAAAAATACAAACAAAACAAAACAAAATGCCGGTCATGGTGGCAGGTGCCTGTAATCCCAGCTACTTGAGAGGCTGAGGCAGGAGAATCACTTGAACCCAGGAGACAGAGGTTGCAGTGAGCCGAGGTCGCACCATTGCACTCCAGCCTGGGCAACAAGAGCGAGACTCTGTCTCAAAAAAAATAAATTAAAAAAAAAAAATATATATATATATATATATACACAGACACACATATATACATACACACACGTGTGTGTGTGTGTATGTGTGTGTATATATATATGTATATATATATATATCCCTTTGGTAAGACTGAAATAATTCTCATTTAAAAACAGGATATTAGGCCGGGCATGGTGGCTCACGTGTGTAACCCCAGCACTTTGGGAGGCTGAGGCAGGCGGATCACTTGAGGTCAGGGGTTCAAGACCACCCTGGCCAGCATGGCAAAAACCCTGTCTCTACTAAAAAAAAAAAAAAAATACAAAAATTAGCTGGGCGTCGTGGTGGGCACCTGTAATCCCAGCTACTCAGGAAGATGAGGCAGGAGAATTGCTTGAACCCAGGAGGTGGAAGCTACAGTGAGTTGAGATCATGCCACTGCATTCCAGCCTGGATGACAGAATGAGACTCTGTCTCAAAAAAAATAAAAAAATTAAAAAATTAAAATGGGGTATTAGGACAAATATCTTGTAAAGAATTGGTACCCCATATAAATCTGAGTGCCAGAAAAGATTTCAAATTATCTTTAATAATATATTTGGGTCTTGCCGGGCACCGTGGCTCACGCCTCTAATCCCAGCACTGTGGGAGGCTGAGGCAGGCAGACTGCTTGAGGTCAGGAGTTCGAGACCAGCCTAGCCAACATGGTGAAACCCCATCTCTACTAAAAAAATACAAAAATTAGCCGGGTGTGGTGGCACACGCCTGTAGTCCTAGCTACTCAGGAGGCTGAGGCAGAAGAATTGCTTGAACCCGGGAGGCGGAGGTTGCAGTGAGCCGAGATCGCACCACTGCATTCCAGCCTGGGCAACAGAGCAAGACTCCGTCACAAAAAACAAAACAAAACAAAATAAAATATATGTGGGTCTTGAGAATCCACATCTTATTCCACTTAATTTTTTGGTTGGAATTGATTCTTCCATTCATGTTTGTGGTTTAATTCAGTAAGTACATGTGTAACAATAGCAATTTTCAGAAAGAAAATGAAAAACACCCTAAAAAGGGGCAGAAACCTTTTATGCTTCTAATACAGTGACTGCAATTCTTCACAGCTTTACAATTCAGGTTACTAGGCAAGGACTGTGCCTACTTGAAATTGTACCCTGGGCAGTATTCAACATGCTCTTAAATGTGAACTTTCTGATGTTAACCCTAATTATTATGCCCCATCCTTACTGTTGAGTAAAGGAAGTCAACTGCTCACTCCTGGGGGTAATAGTTAATTTTTCCCAGGCATCAAGATACTGATTAGGGCACTAGGCAAGGAATTTTACTAAATAGATCCTCTTAGGCCGGGCGCGTGGTGGCTCACGCCTGTAATCCCAGCACTTTGGGAGGCCGAGGCGGGCGGATCACGAGGTCAGGAGATCGAGACCATCCTGGCTAACAAGGTGAGAGCCCGTCTCTACTAAAAAAAAATTTACAAAAAACTAGCCGGGCGTGGTGGCGGGCGCCTGTAGTCCCAGCTACTCGGGAGGCTGAGGCAGGAGAATGGCGTGAACCCAGGAGGCGGAGCTTGCAGTGAGCCGAGATCGCACTACTGCACTCCAGCCTGGGCGACAGAGCAAGACTCCGTCTCAAAAAAAAAAGATCCTCTTACCCAGGAAGAGATCATTCCTCTCTCCTTGTGAGCACTTTCCTCCCAGAGTGGGGTTGACGCACCCTCTGACTCAGCATGGTCACACACAATAAACATCTGAGAAATTATTGTTTTTGCTAGAGTCTCTGATGCAATCTAGCTTATTTAGTGACCAAAAAGATTCCAGATATCAACTTCCTATTGGGCCCATAGTTCTTTCCCTCAGCGTCTTTTTTTCCCCTGAACTCCCCGCTCCCACCAAACTAATACATCAAAGGTGTTGGTCACCATTTTCTCTCCCATCCAAGTGATAAGTTCACTGTCAATTAGAACTCCTTTACTAAGCAGGTTTGATTAATAATCAGCTATATTCTTTTTTTTATTTAGATGGAGTCTAGCTCTGTCACGCAGGGTGGAGTGCAGTGGTGAGATCTCGGCTCACTGCAAATTCCACCTCCCAGGTTCAAGCGATTCTCCTGTCTCAGCCTCTGGCGTACCTGGGATTACAGGCACCAGCCACCAAGCCCAGGTAATTTTTTTATTTTTAGTAGAGACGGGGTTTCACTGTGTTGGCCAGGCTGGTCTCAAACTCCTGACCTTGTGATCCGCCCGCCTCAGCCTCCCGAAGTGCTGGGATTACAGGTGTGAGCTACTGTGCTCGGTCCAGTTATATTCTTACATGCAATTATTGTATCATGCCTTAAACTTTTCTTCTTCTGGCAAAGCAACTATAATCATTAACTATTCCTATTTGTTCACCATCTTAGTACTGGTGATTCATGTAAGCTTGGTAGCCACTTGGATTCCCATAAGGTTTTTTGCTCTGTTATCAACTAGTAACCATTTCCATTTATCATACTGTGCAATTTATTGGTTCTTCAGGACACTATCTTCTATTTCTTTAAATTTGTTGATAGGAGACCCAAATTTATCAAAACCTCTTCCAAATGATTAGCAATTCAGTAGAAGTTAGTTATGTGGCCGGGCATGGTGGCTCATGCCTGTAATCTCAGCACTTTGGGAGGCCGAGGCAGCCGGATCGCCTGAGGTCAGGAGTCTGAGACCAGCCTGGTCAACATATTGAAACCCCATCTCTACTAAAAAGACAAAAATCAGCTGGGCATGGTGGCGGATGCCTGTAATCCCAGCTACTCTGGAGGCTGAGGCAGGCAAATCACTTGAACCTGAGAGGCGGAGGTTGCAGTGAGCCGAGATCATGCCACTATACTCTAGCCTGGATGACACAGTGAGATTCTGATTCAAAAAAGAAAGAAAGAAATTAGTCACGTGTAGTCATACATATGCTGACAAAACTTACTTTAAAATTATAAAAAACATAAACATATTTTGAATATATTTTAGACAGTGTATTTTACTGGACTAAATAATTCACATTTCTTACATTTTATTTTCTATTTTATTCTAAAATGTTTAATTATCTTGAATAATATTCATTCTTGTTAACTGTATCCATATTTAAAACACTTGTACAATTGTGGATGTAAATTGAAATAATTTCCTTTCCTACTTATCTGGCTTTTTAAAAAAACAATAGAGATAGGGTCTCACTATGTTGCCCAGGCTGGTCTTGAACTCCTGGGCTCAAGCAGTCCTCCCACCTAAGCCTCCCAAAGTGCTGGGATTATAGGCATGAGCCCCGGCACCTGGCTAGCCTTTTTTATTACAGACAGGGCCTCATTCTGTTGTCCATGCTGGAGTGCAGTGGGGCACTGCAGCCTCAACATTTTGGGCTCAAGTGATTCTCCCACCTCAGCCTCCCAAGCAGCTGGAACCACAGGTGCATACCTCCACACTTGGCTAATTTTTGTATCTTTTTTAGAGACAGGATCTTGCCATGTTGCCCAGGCTGGTCTTGAACTCAGCGCAAGCAGTCCTCCCACCTCAGCCTCTCAAAGTGCTAGGATTACAGATGTAAGCCATTGTGCCTGGATGGCTTTTTTTTTTTTTTTTAAGTAAGGTTGGGAAGCTCCATGAACTTCATCATGGAAATATTATAAACTCGAGTGTCCTGGATTAGAAAACATCACGTTTCTATGAATGAAATATTTAAGTATTCAAATATAGAAATAAAGCAAACATGAAAACCATTCTTTCTGATTAGGTGTGAATTGAATATACTTTTAAGAATCTAGGACTAGTCATGGTGGCTTACGCCTGTAATCCTAACACTTTGGGAGGCTAAGGTGGGAGGATCACTTGAGGCTAGGAGTTTGAGCCCAGCCTGGGCAACATAGTGAGACCCTGTCTCTACAAAAAATTTAAAAATTAGCCAAGTGTGTGGCTGGGCACGGTGGCTCACGCCTGTAATCCCAGCACTTTGGGAGGCCAAGGCGGGTGGATCACCTGAGGTCAGGTGTTTGAGACCAGCCTGGCCAACATGGTGACACCCTGTCTCTACTAAAAATACAAAAAATTAGCCGGGTGTGGTGGCAGGCACCTGTAATCCCAGCTACTTGGGAGGCTAAGGCAGGAGAATTGCTTGAATCTGGGAGGCGAAGGTTGCAGTGAGCTGAGGTCATGCCATTGCACTCCAGCCTGGGTGACAAGAGGGAAACTCCATCTTAAAAAAAACAAAAAAAGAATCATCACTAGGCAGCCAAAATTTATTTACCTAAGTATTTTCTTCAGGAATTTTCTAAGAACTGGAAAAATAATAACTAAATTGACAGCAGTCTGTCTCAATTATGGGAAAGTAATTGCTAATGGTAAAACAGGCACTAGAATATAGTTACCTTATTCTGAATAACTGTGCTGAAGCTGCATTCTCCCTGAGTCATGCCATCAAATTAAAGAGGTGATTTCAACAGCAGCAATGATGAACTTGAATCAGCAATGTCCTGGGTGCTAGTTATTGTATGTATGTTTAACAGGACTTTGATTTACTAAGTCTGTGTGGCACTTAGGCTCCTTCTGAAATTTCCATACCTGCATGTTTTACAAGCCATCGAAGTTATAGTTTTTCAGTGATATTTCAAAATTGGGGAAAATGATCAATCTATGAGCAGGATTTGGAGCAATCATTATATCCTACACTATTTACTGAGTGGCAACACTATGAGATACTGTACACACTGATGTGTGCGTTAAGGGAGGAAGTAATGGGATCAGTTCCCCAGATTTAAATTCTGGCTCTACCACTCCCCAGCTACGTCATCTCTATTACTAATACCTGCGAAATGGGGATGTTGATAATAATAACACCTACCTCATAGAGGTGTTTGAAAGACTAAATAATCTGTGTAAAGCTCTGCGCAGGAGTAAGTGCTTAATAAATGTTAATTGTTTTTATTGTATTACACTTAAAAAAATTCTTCTGGGCCAGGCATGGTGGCTCATGCTGGTAATCCCAGCACTTTCAGAGGCCGAGGCAGGCAGATCACCGGAGGTCAGGAGTTTGAGACCAGCCCGGCCAACGTGGTAAAACCCCGTCTCTACTAAAAATACAAAAATTAGCCAGGTATGGTGGCGCACACCTGTAGAGGCTAAGGGAAGAGAATCGCCTGAACCTGGGAGGCGGAGGTTGCAGTGAGCCGAGATCACACTACTGCACTTCAGCCTGGGAAACAAGAGCGAGACTCCATCTAAAAAAAAAAAATTCTTCTAAGAATTTCATCTTTTAAAAAGTATGAGGCCAGACATAGTGCCTTAAACCTGTAATGCCAGCACTTTGGGAGACCAAGGCGGGAGGATCACTTGAGCCCACTTTGAGACCAGCCTGGGCAACGCAGCAAGACCCTGTATCTAAACAAAAAAGAAAGAAAGAAAGCGAATACTGAGTATCCTGTGAATTAGTATGCAACCAATCTATAGTTCAGTACTAGAAATATAAAGCATTAAATGACTTTTTACACATAATATATTTTGTTTTTTACACATAATACTTTATATCAAAAATTTTATTTCCAGTCAGTCAACAGTAATAAGAATGAGAAAACCTTGGTTTTAGAAACTACCTCCCAGACAGAAAGTAAGTATATAGGCTGGGGTGGCTCACACTTGTAATCCCAGCACTTTGGGAAACCGAGGCCAGTGGATCACTTGAGGCCAAGAGTTTGAGACCAGCCTGGCCAACATGGTGAAACTATGTCTCCATAGTTTCACCCCATCTCTACTAAAAATACAACAATTAGCTGGGTGTGGTGCCACACGCCTGTGTCCAACTATTCTGGAGACTGAAGCAGGAGAATTGCTTGAACTCAGGAGGTGGAGGCTGCAGTGAGCTGAGATCACGCCACTGCACTCCAGCCTGGCCAACAGAGCGAGACTGTCTCAAAAAGAAAAAAGAAAGTAAGTATATAAATATGAGATAGTACTTGAGTTATTACTTGAGGTTAAGCTACTAAAAGCAATATCCCCATATTTTGAATTATGACCTTATAGCACCAATACCTATTGCAGTACCTTGCACAGATATTCAATAAACATTTGTTCAATGAATAAATGAATGAAAAGTAAAAGCATACTTATAGCCAAGAATATGAAGAGAATGTTTACTTTTTTTTTCATTTAGGTCTGGCAATGTAATTTCCAACCAATGATCTGAATACAGGTCATATAAACTGAGCTCTCTGGACAGAAGAGTAATGCATCATGGCAAATTATAATCGTTGCTTTTATAACTGGTAAAAATCTGAGCTGACAGACAGATGGATTAACAACAGTTCTTCACTGTTGCTGGAGGACAAATGAAAGCCAATGTGCTACCAATGGAAGATTAATGACATTACTTTTTATGGAGCTAGATAAATGTGCAAATGTATTGCAAATTTAAAAAAAGTTACCCATGGCCAGGCGTGGTAGCTTACGCCTGCAATCCTATCACTTTGGGAGGCCAAGGTGGGCAGATCACCTGAGGTTGGAGTTCGAGACTAGCCTGGCCAACATGGTGAAACCCCATCTCTACTAAAAATACACACACACAAAATAGCCAGGCACGGTGGCTCATGCCTGTAATCCCAGCTACTCGGGAGGCTGAGGCAGGAGAATCGCTTGAACCTGGTTGGCGGTGGTTGCAGTGAGCTGAGATCGCATCACTGCACTCCAGCCTAGATGACATAGGAGGACTCTGTCTTGGAAAAAAAAAAAGCTACTCACTGGAATAAGAAGGAAGAGTAAAAAGAAACATGTTATTTAAGGACATTTTACCTTTGCCTGATTTATATGGACTGATTGTCTTATTAGTCTAAATATATTCATGTGGTAGGCAGAATAATGGCTCCCAAAAGTGCCCATGTTCTAATTCCCTAAACCTGTGAATATGTTACCTCATCTGGCAAGACGGATTTCTGTAGATGTGATTAAAGTAAGGATCTTAAAATGGGGAGATGATCCTGGAGTATCTGTGCGGACCCAATGTAATAAGAAGCATCTGTATGAGTGAGGCAGGAGGATCAGAGGTAGCAGATTAGAAGATTCTATGCTGTTGGCTTTAAAGATGGAAAAAGGGAACATGTGCCAAGGAATGCAGGTAGCTTCTAGAAGCTGGAAAAAACAAGGGAATGGATTCTCCCACAGCCCCCAGAAGGGATGCAGGCCTTTTGAGATCTTAATTTTAACCCACTATAACCCATTTCAGACTTCTATCATCCTGAATTGTAAGAAAAAAATTTGTTTTATTTTAAGCCTCTCGATGTGGTAACTTGATAGAACAGTAAGTGGAAACAAACTCATTAATCTGCATCTAACCTATGAAGATGCTAATTTGAGATAGTAAACGGGTGTTGTTGTAAGCTGCTAGGCTTGAGGTAATTTGTTACAGCAGCAATATAAAACTATACAACTGGTAGCCAGGCCCACTGGCTCGCACCTGTAATCCCAACACCTCGGGAAGCTGAGACGGCAGGATGGCTTGAGCCCAGGAGTTCAAACTCAGCATGTTCAACATAGTGCAACCTGTCTCTACAAGAAATAAAATATTAGCTAGGGTTGGTTATGCATGACTGTAGTCCCAGCTATTCAAGAGGCTGAGGTAGGAGGATCACTTAAACCCAGGAGGTGGAGGTTGCAGTGAGCTGTCATTGCCCCACTGCACTCCAGCCTGGGCAACAGCACAAGACGCAGTCTCAAAAAAAAAAAAAAAAAAAAAAAAGGAAAAAGAGAAGAGGAGAAAGAGGAGAGGAGAAAGAAAGAAAGAAAGAAAACAAAACTACATAAACTGTCTGTAATAACACATTTTGACATCATGTACTCCCTGATAGGACATCATGTCTGAGATTCTTGCCAAAAATATATTAACTCATCTAATCATGAGAAAACATAAGACAAGCCCAAACTCAGGGACAGTTATACCAAGTAACTGACTAGAACTCTTCAAAAATGTCAAGGTCATGAAAGACAAGGAAAGATTAACTCTCTGGAAGAGAAAAAGGACATTAGGTCAAATGTAGTGGCTCATGCCTGTAATCCTAGGACTTTGGGAGGCTGAGGCAAGAGGATCACTTGAATCAAGGAGTTCAAGAGCAGCCTGGGCAACACAGCAAGACTCCATCTCTACTAAAAAATAAAAAATAGCCAGGCATGGTGGTTCAAGTCAGCAGTCCCAATTACTTGAGAGGCTGAGGTAGGAGGATCACTTGTGTCTAGGAGTTCAAGGCTGCAGTGAGCTGTGATTGTGCCACTGCACTCCAGCTTGGCAACAGAGTGAGAACCTGTCTCAAAAAAAGAAAAGAAAAAAGAAAAAGAACATTAGTGGGAAACTGGTGAAATCTGAATATGTCTGTACTTAACAACAAGATGACAATAAGATACACTTGAATTATTTCTCTCTAGAATTGGGCTAGTCTATGTAATCTTAAGCAATTCACTTGCTAGTACTTGTTTTTTCCAATTGTTAAGATGAAAAGTGTCTGTAATGTGCTTTAAGATTCTTAGCTGAAATAGTAACAGTTATGTTGCTTACTGTTTTCATTTTAATAATTCTATTTTCCTTTAAGGGAGCTTAATTTTGGAAGAGTTAGTGTGCTTCAAGAGCCTTTTTTTTTTTTTTGACGGAGTCTTGCTCTGTCGCCCAGGCTGGAGTGCAGTGGGGTAATCTCGGCTCACTGCAACCTCCGCCTCCTGGATTCAAGAGTTTCTCCTGTCTCAGCCTCCCGAGTAGCTGGGATTACAGGCGCACACTACCACGCCCAGCTACTTTTTTGTATTTTAGTAGAGACGGGATTTCACCGTGTTGCCCAGGCTGGTCTTGAACTCCTGAGCTCAGGCAACCCAGCCACCTTGGCCTCCCAAAGTGCTAGGATTAAAGGCGTGAGCCACCGCGCCCGGCCTGCTTCAAAAGACTTAACATGCAGTCCGCGAGGTGGCTCACGCCTGTAATCCCAGCACTTTGGGAAGCCGAGGCGGGCGGATCACTTGAGGTCAGGAACAACCTGACCAACATGAAGAAACCCCGTCTCTACTAAAAATACAAAATTAGCCGGGCGTGGTGGCACGTGCCTGTAATCCTAGCTACTCCGGAGGCTGAGGCAGGAGAATCCCTTGAACACAGGAGGCGGAAGTTGCGGTGAGCCAAGATTGCGCCATTGCGCTCCAGCCTGGGCAACAAGAGTGAAACTCTGTCTTAGAAAAAAAAAAGACTTAACATGCCACAACATTATAATAATTTTGATGCAGTAGTATAGATTAATGAAAGTAAATATATGCTGGGCATGGTGGCACATGTCTATAATCCCAGCTAATTGGCAGGATTGCTTGAGCCCAGGAGCTCGAGACCAGCCTGGGCAACGTATTGAGACCCTGTCTCTACAAAAAGAAAAACAAAAAAATTAGCCATGCATAGTGGGGCACCTGTGGTCCCAGCTACTCACCGCTTAGGAGGCTGAAGTGGGAGGATCACTTGAGCCTGGGAGGTCGGGACTGCAGTGAGCCAAGATCTGCACTCCAGCCTGGACAACAGAGCACGACTCTGTCAAAAAAAAAAGAGTTCTTTTTTCTTTTTGAGACGGAGTCTCGCTCTGTCTCCCAGGCTGGAGTGCAGTGGCCCGATCTCGGCTCACTGCAGGCTCCGCTCCCCAGGTTCACGGCATTCTCCTGCCTCAGCCTCCCGAGTAGCTAGGACTACAGGCGCCTGCCACCTCGCGCGGCTAATTTTTTGTACTTTTAGTAGAGACAAGGTTTCACCGTGTTAGCCAGGATGGTCTCGATCTCCTGACCCCGTGATCCGTCCGCCTCGGCCTCCCAAAGTGCAGGGATTACAGACGGGCACTTGCACCCGGCCGATTCATTGAGTTCTGTACTGAAAGACAGAATAGTTGTATGGTTACCATGGTAAAGCTGAAAAATCCTAAGTCAAACCATGGTAAATCAGGGACCATCTGTACTAAGTCGTCCAGTTTTTTTTTTTTTTTTTCTTTTGAGACACAGTCTTGATCTGCCGCCCAGGCTAGAGTGCAATGGCACGATATTGGCTAACTGCCACCTCCGCCTCCTGGGTTCAAGCAAGTCTCCTGGTTCAGCCTCCGGAGTAGCTAGGAGATTACAGGTGCCTGCCACCACGCCCAGCTAATTTTTGTATTTTTAGTAGAGACGTGGTTTCACCATGTTGGCCAGGCTGGTGTCGAACTTCTGACCTCAGGTGATCCACCTGCCTCAGTCTCCCAAAAGTGTTGGGCTTACAGGCGTGAGCCACCGTGCCCGGCCCAATCTTCCTGCCTCAGTATCCAAGTGATGGGATTATAGGCATGAGCCTCTGCGTCCAGCCAACACTTCATTGTAAAATGACTTTGTGTTTAATGATTCTGCCCAGTTGTAGGCTATTGTAAGTGTTCCAAGCTCATTTAAGGTAGGCTAGGCTAAGCTATGATGTTTGGTGGATTAGGTACATTAAATGCATTTTTTATTTAAGAATATTCCCAATTCGCAATAGGTTTATCATGATGTGACCCCATAACACCTGTACATTGTGGAGGCTTTTTGTTATTGGTTTGGTGTTTGCTTTTTGCTTTTATTTCAGAATAAGGAGTTAGCATGTGTGACATAGTAAGAAATAGATATATATGTGTATATATATAGAGAGAGAGATATGTATATATATGTGTATCTATCTATCTATCTATTTGGACTTTGTCCCTGATTTTTGACACAGAGCTCTTAAAACTGCCATTTCTTGAGTGATAGGGATGATAGGAGCGTCGTTTGTTCTAATATTTGGTCTCTGTCCCCAGTTTCCGACACAGAGCTCCTTAATCTCTTGGAATTTCCTGGTTGATAGAAGCATCTTTTGTTCTACTGAGGTTTCTTGCTGGGGCCCTAGATAGCTTCAGGATGGGGCCTGGTCACCAGAAAGACTAGACCTTGATGAGAAGCCTGGAACTTTCAGCCCATCCCCTCAATATGTGGGGAAGTGTGAAGAGCTGAAGACTGAGTTAATAATTGGTCATCCTGATTTGACAAAACCTCCATAAAAACCCCTAATGACAGGTTCAGTGAGCTTCTGGGTTGGTGAACACATCAAATTGCTAGGAGGGTGGTGTGCCCAGAGAGGGCGCGGGGCTTCCAACACCCCTGCCAATATCTTGCTCTCTGCATCTCTTCTGTTTGGCTGTTCCCAAGTTATATCTTTTATAAAGAGCCAGTAAATATTAATATAAGAGTGCTCCTGAGTTCTGTGAGTCATTGTAGCAAATTATCAAGCTGAAGGGGAGAAAGTTGTGGGAACTCCCTGACTTTGTACCCAAGAAGTGTGTGTGGGTAACCTGGGGACCCAATACTTGCGAATGGCATTGGAATTGAGGACTCTTTAAAACCTGTGGAGTCTGCTGCTAATGCTGGGCCGTTAATGTTAGAATTGAATTGAATTGTAGGATACCCCGTTGGTGTCCGGAAAGTTGGAGAATTGGTTGGTGTGAGAAAAAATTCACACATTTGATGTCAGAATTTCTGAGGAAAAATAGCTCGGCATGTAAAACCATAAATACACAAAATCCTTTCAGACAGCTTAAAAGAATGCACATGTTCCAAGTTTTCTGAACTCAAGTCAAGATAAAGAGATAGAAGCAAAAATGAACTCAGTAATGTATTACTCTAATAGTTTGATTCAGAGAAAATAAAAACTCCCTTCTAACAGGAAAAAAAAAAGACAAATGGCCTGCATAGTGCAGTTACGTGAGCTTTCTAATAATGCAAACGGCAGTCTGTTATTTCCCTACAATTTTTTTTCTTAGCTTCATTTCAGAGAGGACACAAACCGTAGAAATTGAATGATAACTTATCATATCATTGATCATCATTGTATGAAGTGTTCAGTTTGCAGCTCATAAATTTAGGTAACATCATTTTTCCCCTCCTCCTCAATAGAGAGAGACATAATGGTTACTGTCTAGCTCAACGCTGGCTTAACGGCCTCCTCTGAGGTTAATGTTAACATCATTCTGGACAGGGCAACAGGAAGCATCTGTATATCTTACCACAAAATGAGATGATCCATTTTCCCCCCATTTGAAATATAAATTCTGTTGGTATTAAATTACTTAATTGCTCTTGCTTTATATATACATTTAAAATATTTAGATATATTGTAGTAATAGCCTTAGAGAAAATTAAAATGACTTATGATTATGTAAATATTCCTTTAGTTTTTCCCAGTTGGTCAATATAGGTTCTTATTTTTTTTCTCTCTATGATTTAAAGGAAACTTGGGTTATGAAGGCTATTCTTACAATCTTTTTTTGTTCTTATGTTCTAGAACCACTGATGGTGACAACAGAACTCAGGGAATGTTAGTCAATTAACAGCTGCCAAGTTACCCAGAGAAGCAGATGGTATATCTGATCATGTCCTACAAAATGTGAAAAGGGAATACTCAAAGATGTTTGCTCAAATATGCTAGAGTTTCCACACAAAAGGCTATAATGGCAACCATATATATTTTTACATCTTCTATGTTTGCTTTTTACTCCAGGTGATTCTCTTATATTCCATTTTTAAATTTTTTGACCTGTACGGCTAGTCATCTTAAAATAACCTAGGATATGCACACGTTTTAAGTATCTTTGGCAATAGAAATGCACAACAGAAATATGTCAATAGAAAAGAAAAAGAATACTTAATACCACTCCCAGGTTTTTAAACTAGAGTATGGCCAATTGGAATATAATGCTTGAGGGTGGCTGAAATAACTAGAATTACACAGATATTTTGCTAATCATCTTGGACTTTTGTAGTGAGATGGTTAGAAAGTCCATGCTCAATTCCTCAGAGTCCTTCTCATTTAACCATCTAAAAGCCATACCTTAATTATCAAATAGTAAAGAATCCAAAATCTCAAATATTCATTAATCCAACAAATATTTACGGTGTATATTTCATCCCAGGCAGTGTTCAAGAGGCCAAATGAACAAACTAGACAAAAACAAAACAAAAAAAGACAAAATCTCCAGGCTTCGTGGAGCTTATATTTTCAAAAGCTTATATTTATAAAAGCTTACATATCAAGAGGATCTATATAAAAATAAATAACCCTAAAACAATAATTCTTTTGTCTCTTGCCAGACTGAAGACACTCGCAGGCAGGAGCTGTTTCCCCAATATCCTTACCACCTGTGCCTAGCACACTGTAAGTGATTTATAGACACTTCTTGAATACGTATGTATGTATCTATTATTATTAAAAAAATTTTTTTCAACCTTTTCAGCTCAAGCGATCCTCCTGCCTCAGCCTCCCAAATAGCTGGGACTACAGGCTCATGCCACCACAAGTGGCATATACACACACACACACACACACACACGTAGACACACACACATATACACATACACATATACACACATACATATATACATATGTGTGTGTGTGTGTGTGTGTGTGTGTGTAGAGTCTCCTCTATTGCCCAGGCTGGAGTGCAGTAGTGTGATCTACGCCCACAGCAACCTCCGCCTCCCAGGTTCAAGCGATTCTCCTGCCCCAGCCTCTTGAGCAGCTGGGATCACAGGCGTGCGTCACTACACCTGGCTATTTTGTAGAGACGGGGTTTCACCATGTTGGCCAGGCTGGTCTCGAACTTCTGACCTCAGGTGATCTGCCTGCTTTGGCCTCCCAGCTGGCTAATTTTTAAAATTTTTTATAGAGACATGGTCTCACTATGTTGGCCAAGCTGGTCTCGAACTCCTGGCCTCAAGTGATCCTCCCACCTCGGCCTCCCAAAGTGCTGGGATTGCAAACATGAGCCACTGTGCCTGGCTTGTGGTGTATTCTCTATGTACTATTTCTGAACCCCCTTTTATATTTTAAGACCTTCATTGATTCTGAAGGGCACCAAAATCTCAGCTAAACTTAAAATTATCCGGGTATTTAAGAATATCTGGGGCTGGGCGCGGCAGCTCACACCTGTAATCCCAGCACTTTGGGAGGCTGAGGCAGGCGGATCATGAGGTCAGGAGATTGAGACCATCCTTACATGGTGAAACCCCATCTCCACTAAAAGTGCTGGAGCCTTGTGCTTTATCTACTATGCCATTTAATCCTCAGAATACCCCAGTGAGGCAGGTACTATTATTATCTCTAGTTTTACAAATGAGGAAACTGAGAGGGTAAGGAGTGCTATGGTCTGAATGTGTATCCCAAGGTTTATATGTTGGAAACTTAATCCCCAAAGCAAAGAGGTTGAGAGGTGAGACCTTTATGAGGTGATCAGGTCATAAAAGCTCTGCCCTACTGAATGGATTCATGCTGTTATCACAGAAGTAGGTTAGTTATTGTGGGAGTGGGTTCCTGATAAAAGGATAAGTTCTGCCACCTTCCTTTCCTTCCTCCCCGCTTTCCCCACTCATACATGTACTCTCTTGACCTTCTGCCTTCTGCCATGCGATAACACAACAAAAAGACCCTCTTCAGATGTCAGCGCCATGCTCTTGGACTTCCTGTCTCCAGAAGTGTAAGAAATAAATTTCTCTTCTTTATAAATTTCTCAGTCTATGGCATACTGTTATAGCAGCATAAAACAGACTAGACTAGGAGCTTGCCCAGGGTTACACAGTAGGAAAATGGTAGAGCCAAGTTTCCAAATCAGATGGCCTTGACTCCAGAGATGAAGCTATTAATCACTACAGCTCCTGTTGCACATGTAGAAAAAAACCCAAAAAACTAAGAAAAGCTAGAAAACAACTCAAGGTATTAAATTAACAATAAGGTCAGTATAGACTCAACTTGGCCTCAGAAGGCTTCAGGGACAAGACTGTGAGCAAGTCATCAAGCAGAGTGGGATTTAATTGGCAGAGCTGAAAACAGAGAGCATCAGAACAAGAATAGAGGCATGAGAACAAGAATGGCCATGACTTGCTGTGTGGTGCCAAAAGAGCATTAACTTAGTAGAACGATGAGATCTAGTAATTTTTAGTAGAATCTTACCTGTTTTTTCTTTAAGAATAGAAGAAAATGCAAATACCTATAATACTATCATATGGCACCCAGGTATGCATAAACAAACTTCAAATTAGCTGCGCGTGGTGGCAGGCGCCTGTAATCTCAGCAACTCAAGAGGCTGAGGCAGGAGAATCACTTGAACCCTGGAGGCGGAGGTTGCAGTGAGCTGAGATTGTGCCATTGCACTCCAGCCTGGGTGACAAGAGCAAGACTTTGTCTCAAAACAACAACAACAAACTTCAATGTATATGGAGTAAATAGTACAATTTTCAGTTATTGAGGTCTTTTTTTCCTTCCTGGTGTACTAGAACTGGCTTTACCATTTAATATCTTTGATAATCTTTCCCTTGACCTGAGTTTAAGTCAAGCTATTTAGGTTGTCTTCATAGTTACTCCTTTTTTGTTTGAGAGGATTTTCCCTGTATTTTCCCATTCTTATCATCGAACTCTGGCAGTCTATAACAACTACATGGAGAAGATGTTATAGCACAGGAAGTCCAAACTTATTAATGGGCTGTGTTCCCATGAACATCACTGTAAATTAGTTGTTTGGAACCTGGAATTTGTTTTCCCATGGAAATAGTGGTTAAATTCCCAGCAGGTCTACAAAAGCTTGCTTAGCCAGGAATGCAGCAGAAATGAACACTGTCACCTTTGTGTTAACCTCTGCCTATTATTCAGAGGTCTCAATGGATTTCTCGCCTTACTTCAATGTTTTAGCTAACCACCACTTTTGGGACAGTTTTTAAAATTATATGGAAAAGGCTGACTATCACTTCTGATTCCACCACCCAATCATTCATACTGCTTTGGGGTGTTTCTTTTTACTAATTATTACTGAAAACATGACTTCAGTTGGGGAGTTGTTTTCCTTTTTCCAAGGTTAGGAGTCAGTAAAATAGCCCAAGAATGCCTATGGTATACAGTGTCTAGAATGTCACATTTTCTGCCTTTAGTATGATGAGAAGGCAGCACAAAATTGACCATCTGGTTCCTGGAGGGTATCTTTTGGCCTTTGTGGGGATTTAAAAACAAAACCAGGCCAGGCGCGGTGACTCACACCTGTAATCCCAGCACTTTGTGAGGCCAAGGCAGGCGAATCACAAAGTCAGGAGTTTGAGACCAGCCTGACCAACACAGTGAAAACCCGTCTCTACTAAAAATACAACAAATTAGCTGGGTGTGGTGGCAGGCACCTGCAATCCCAGCTACTCGGGAGGCTGAGGCAGGAGAATCACTTGAACCTGGGAGGTGGAGGTTGCAGTGAGCTGAGATCGCACCACTGCACTCCAGCCTGGGTGACAGAGTGAGACTCCATCTCAAAAAAAAAAAAAAAAGGCAAAACAAAACCAAACACCCACTTCTTGGTTTCTGGTATGAAATCAGAGGTCTAACTGCCCCAGGCTAGATATTAGCATTAGGGAGATTACCTGATCAACGCTCATGTTTGACTACAGCTGAATATATAAATATATATAGTATTTTTTTATATATACACATATATATGTGTGTGTGTATATATATATGTGTATATATATACACACATATATGTGATATACATATATATGTGTGTGTGTGTATATATATATATATATATATATATATTTTTTTTTTTTTTTTTTTTTTTTTTTTGAGATGGAGTCTCACTCTGTCGCCCGGGCTAGAGTGCAGTGGCGTGATCTCGGCTCACTGCAACCTCCACGTCCCAGGTTCAAGCGATTCTCTTCCCTCAGCCTCCAGAGTAGCTGGGATTACAGGCCCCTGCCACTATGCCCAGCTAATTTTTTGTATTTTTAGTACAGACACGGTTTCACCATGTTGGCCAGGCTGGTCTCAAACTCCTGACCTCGTGATTCACCCGCCTCGGCCTTTAAAAGTGTTGGGATTACAGGTGTGAGCCACCATACCGGCCTTTTTTTTTTTTTGAGACAGGCTCTCACTCTGTTGCCCAGGCTGGAGTGCCGTAGTGCGATCACAGATCACTGTGACCTCCAACTCCTGGGCTCAAGTGATCCTCCCTCCTCAGCCTCCTAAAGTTTTGGGATTACAGGTGTGAGCCACCACGCCCAGCTTTGAATCTTTATTGAAGAAATTTCATAGTCAATCTAAAGCTATGATGTGTATGTCTGTCTGCCAAATACAGTGTTTATCTCAGAAACACTTTCTTGTAACCACAATAAAACCAAAATCTTTATTTTAGGTAGAAACATTACCAACAAATGTTTGCAAAACAGAAAGGCTTTAAAGTGAAAAAAATTTGAGTCTATGGCCATCATAATAGTGTGGCTTTGAAAACTTTCAGGCTATGTACATACCCTATTTCTACTCCCTCACCTCCTTGGGAGTTTTTAAATTTTATTTATTTTATTTTATTTTTTTGAGACAGAGTCTTGCACTCCAGTCTGTTGCCTAGGCTGGAGTGCAGTGGCGCGATCTCCGCTCGCTGCAACCTCCGCCCCCTGGGTTTAAGTGATTCTTCTGCCTCAGCCTCCCTAGTAGCTGAAAGGCTAATTTTTGTATTTTTAGTAGAGGTGGGGTTTCACCATGTTGGCCAGGCTGGTCTTGAACTCCTAACCTCAGGTGATCTGCCTGCCTTGGCCTCCCAAAGTATTGAGATTACAGGCATGAGCCACCGCGCCTGGCTGATATTTTCTTAATAATTTTAGCTGGGCATGGTGGTGCATGCCTGTAGTCCCAGCTACTCAGGAGGGTGCGGCAGGAAAATCGCTTGAACCCGGGATGCATAGGTTGCAGTGAGCTGCGATCACACCACTGCACTCCAGCCTGGCAACAGAGTGAGACTCTGTCTCAGAAAAAAAAAAGAAAGACAGAAAACTAAAATAATTAATACCAAAAGGTAGATCAATGAAAGAGTCTAATGATACTAAAATTATTAAGGTTGTTGGGGAAGGTGGTTCACGCCTGTAACCTCAGCACTTTTGGCAGGCAGAGAGAGGAGGATAGCCTGAGCTCAGGAGTTTCAGACTAGCTTGGGCAAAATAGCAAGACCCCATCTCTATGTAAAAAAAAATAATAATAAAAATAATTTTTAAAAAATATTGCCCGAGTGCAGTGGCTCACGCCTGTAATCCCAACACTTTGGGAGGCCAAGCTCAGGAGTTTGAGACCAGCCTGGCCAACTTGGGGAAACCCCGTCTCTACTAAAAATACAAACATTAGCCGGGTGTGGTGGTGGGCACCTGTAATCCCAGTTACTTGGAAGGCTGAGGCAGGAGAATAGCTTGAACTCAGGAGGCGGAGGTTGCAGTGAGCCGAGATCGCGCCACTGCACTCCAGCCTGGGCAGAGCAAGACTCTGTCTAAAAAAAAAAAAGAATTAAGGTAAGCATTTCCTACTTCAACTAACGGCCAAACAGCTATTTGTGAAATGAAGGTATAATAGAATAAGTTAGTGCTTTATACAATATACTGCTCATTTTCAGGATCAGGAACAAAGTCTCTGTTAATCATAACGCGTTTATTTTTGTTATTTATTCGCATTCCTCAAAACAACTGATAGATTAGGTGCTAGACTTCACGAAAGTGAAATAAGCCACTGGTTGCCACCCATGAATGAAGGGGGCTCCAATAGCTGGCTACTCAGTTTGTTTTTGGCAAAGAGCATAGAGCACGAACCTAGCACTTCAAGCATAGTGCACAGAATTGTGACAGGCACCTTGGACACTCTAAACCAGGAGAATTGAGAATCTTATTGGAAAGCTTTTGGGCCGAGAAGGTACATGATCCCTGACAGGAAAGACAATTATCCCATCTTTATTTTTTTTTAAAAAAGAAAAGAAAAATGTAATACTTTTTGGAGCTCTTACAGGAATTAAATAAGAAAACATAGAGAAAAGTATCCAATAAGGTCATAAAGATGCATTAAGTGCTCAATAATGTAGCCAAATTTGAGTAGTGGAAATTTTATTGGGAAAAAAATAGCTTCCTCAAATTATATCAGTAGTTTTAGCCCAGGTGTGGTGGCTCACACCTGTAATCTCAGCACTTTGGGAGGCAGACGCAGGCGGATCACCTGAGGTCAGGAGTTTAAGACCAGCCTGGCCAACCTGGTGACACTCTGTCTCAAAAAAAAAATTAAAAAAAAAAATTATATCAGTAGTTTTGTTAGCATTTGCAGATTCTATGAATCAGACATAGCAATTTTTTTGCGACAGCGTTTCACTCTTGTCGCCCAGGCTGGAGTGCAATGGTGCAATCTCAGCTCACTGCAACCTCCGCCTTCCAGTTGAAGTGATTCTCCCGCCTCAGCCTCCAGAGTAGCTGGGATTACAGGCATCTGCCACCACACCCAGCTAATTTTTGTATTTTTAGTAGAGACAGGGTTTCACCATGTTGGCCAGGCTGGTCTCAAACTCCTGACCTCAGTTGATCCACCCACCTCTGCCTCCCAAAGTGCTGGGATTACAGGCGTGAGCCACTGTGCCTGGCCTCAAGTCTTGAATATTTTGCTCAATTGATGGATAAATATCATAGACTATAGCTAAGCAGAAGTCAAACTTTATAAAGAGAAAAGCACTGAAATGCTAAGCTGATGCAGCATAGCCCTATCCACTGACAGACAAGTTCCTTTGGTCACAAGGGGCATTGCAAAAAAGGGTGCAGCCAGCTTAATGCAAACAAGCACATTTTATTTTAATTTTTGTTTTTGGAGAAAGGGTCTGGCTGTGTTGCCCAGGCTGGTCTCAAACTCCTGGGCTTAAGCAATACTCTCACCTAGGCCTTCCAAAGTGCTGGGATCACAGACATAAGCCATGGAATCTGATCACATTTTAATTTCTTGAAAAATTCAAAACATATCTATAAAGTCATGTCATATATAAAGAAAAATAAGTTGTTAGAAAACATGTTTTTCAATTTCGCCAGAGGTCTAGTTAAGGGATTTTCCTTGTGATAACTAATGTGTTTGATGTCTAAATGTTTAAAAAAAATATTGTAAATAGAACATAGCTTCACAATTGAGGTTTCCAAGATGATGAGAATCAGTTAATTTTACTTAACTTTTTCCACCAAACAAAGAGGAAGAAAACCACAGAAGAAAATCCAGAATAGGCCGGGCGCGGTGGCTCACACCTGTAATCCCAGCACTTTGGGAGGCCGAGGCGGGCGGATCACGAGGTCAGGAGATCCAGACCATCCTAGCTAACACAGTGAAACCCCGTCTCTACTAAAAATAGAAAAAATTAGCCGGGCGTGGTGGCGGGCGCCTGTAGTCCCAGCTACTCGGGAGGCTGAGGCAGGAGAATGGCGTGAACCCAGGAGGCGGAGCTTGCAGTGAGCTGAGATCGGGCCACTGCACTCCAGCCTGGGCGAAAGAGCAAGACTCCGTCTCAAAAAAAAAAAAAAAAAAAAAAAGAAAATCCAGAATATTTAGGTAAGTACTATATTCAAAGTTATATGATAAAGATAAGGTTCAGCTAGAAACTAATAAATATCCGATATATGCATTACATGAACTCACTTTTAAATCAGGACAATTTCTAAATTTGGAAGTTATTTCTAAATGTTGTGTAATAAATTTTACAAAGAAATTAAATATTCTACTGATTCAGGGCACTAATATAACAAATTCATTCCTGCCAGGTTAGTCAACATGTGTTAGAAAAATAACTTTTAATACAAGATTTAAATCATCATCCCCAGTAGAACATACAAAGATAGTCGGTTCTTTTTCTATTATTTTTCTCTTTCTTCACAAAAATAGAAAAATGTCTCTGCAATTTATCCTCCAATAAGCGTTCTATTGGAATCGATGTAAATGGGTACCCTTTGTCCCTCTCACCTCTGTGCTAACAGCATTGTTTAACTCTGATCCCATTTATCTAGTAAGCTTTGCTCATTTAAAAAAGTAAATTCATGACATCCACTGCAATATACAAAAAGTCTATCATACAGGCTGGCAGCACATTGGAAGTTCTGAACTAACATAACTAACAAAAATAGCCACATTTCTCAATTCTGTGACACAAAAAGCAGATAGCAACATGTGTAATGCACCAAAGATCTAGCTAGAGTTTAAAGAATCTAAATAAATAAAAAAATTAAATGCCCGGATATAATTCTTAATAAGCTATTTTACCTCAAGAAAAATCTAAGGCTGTCTTTAAAATCTCTTTCCAGTTTTACTGTATCCTTTCTGTATGGGCAGCATAACAGAATTTCCAGAAACAGGGGCCGTTTTTAAATCCCCAGTGATAGCTGCCTTTATCTGCACTGTGGAAAATGACACACTGTATCATGCCTTTCTGGACAGTCCATAGGTTTTATTTACATTGCTTTGAGAAACAGACGAAAGACATGTTTTTTTACAATTGTCTTACAGCAATCTGTTCTGAGAGTAACATGTAACACAAATTTTTATATGCAATATATGAAAACATAAATATTTATATATACAATAACATAACCAGACAAATAAATGAAGTTACTATTAAGTCTCTTTAAGTATAAATTTACAAACTGACCACCAGCCACAGAACTTAGCCCTGTAATGGAGAAAAATTATTACTGGCTTAAAAAAATATTAAAATATCACTGTCACTAACATGAAAAAAATTAAAAACAGAAAATAAAAAACAATAACCACCGGAAAACCTGTGTCTTGTAAAGATTTCTTTCCATCAGAAGATGCAGAAACATTTTTCCCCCTGGAGCAAATGAAAACGTTTCTCATGCACCCCCCGTTTCTTCCCTGCTTTCTCCCCCAGGCGCGGGTGTAGACGGCCGGTGTGGACTTTTTTCCAGAGATGAGAAGTAAAAATTTGTACTTTATCGGGAGCGGGTGCACTTTTCCCCCTGGCCCCCCTTTGCTCTGCCTCCAAGATGGTAGGAAAGTTGTCGTTTCGGAGGGCAGAGGAGCAGCTCTCTGGTGTTATGTCCTCGCAGTGCCTGTAGTGGTGCTGTAGGAGGCTGCTGCCTCTTCTTGTACAGCCCCGGCAGCCCTGCCTTCTTGGCTGGAGAGTATATTCAGGGATTTCCCCTTAATAATCACCGACCCTGGGAGCACTTTTTAGTTTCCAAAATAAAAATATGATCCTCACCCCTCTTGCTTGACAGGGAAAGGCTCTCGCCGGAGCCCAGGGGGGAGCAGTAGCAGCGGCAGCCGAGCTTCCTAGTCCATTGCCAGCGCCTCTCACTCTGATCTGTCAGCCCAGCCGAGGGAACAGGGGGGAAGGAGAAAAAAAAAAGCAGCTGAAAGGTAAGCAGAGGCGGCCCCAGGCCCGGCCCACATCCCCGGGCTCCCGTAGGGCGGCGGGCTGGGCCGCGCAGGCTGGGCGGGCGGCGAGCGCGCTTACGTGAGGCCGGGGATTCGCCGGCCCACGCCAGGCCCCGGGCGGAGAATGAAAGGGTGAGTGGGGCCGGCGCCCGGGTGGTGGAGGCCGGGGGCCTGAGGGCCTCCGGGGCGCCCGCGGGCGGCGACGGCGGGCGGGCAGGGGTCCAGCCGGAGCCGGAGTGGGGCGAGCGGAGCGGCCTGCGCGGGCCAGGTGGGGGTGTGCGGCGGGAGGGGGGGGCGCCGGTAGGCCTCGGGCCGGTAGGCCCCACGGCAGCCGCGCCCTGCCCCCGCACCCCGGGCCTCCGCGCGCCCCCTCGAGTCCCCCGGGGTCTCCGGGTGGGACGGCGGCGCTGCTGGGCCGAATCCCGCGCCGGCCCGGAGGCTTTCCCGCGGGGCGGCAGGCCCGGGCTGCCGGGACAGGGGCGTCAGGGCCTAGGAGTGGGGAGTGGGGAATGGGCGCCCGGCTCCCCTTCCCCCGGGTCTCTCGCAGACGGCCCCCAGATTCCGGTAAGAGTTGAATTTATTTATCCCCCTCCTCCGCGCTCCGGACGGCCAGGCCGGGGCGGGGCGGGGCGGGCGGCCTGGCGGGCGTGGGGTCGGGTGGAGGGGCGGTGAGGAGTCAGGTGCAGCCGCGGCCCAGAAAGTTTCCTTTTAGGCCCGAACTGGGGGCCGCTGTCTCTCCGGGGAGCCCTGGTCCTAGCGCCCGGGACCCCCCAGGGCGTGGGGGAGCGCACTCGGCTATTTTGAAACTCTTTGCCAGTTCCTGTCCATTGAAGAAGGTACTCCGCCCCTGCACCCCTCGCCCGCGCCCCACCCAACTCCCCGCGAGCCCATTCGGGGCTGCTAACTCCAGCCCCTTCCCCCTAGAGCCCCCCAGGTTGGGGAGAGGGCCTTCTCTTCCGGTTTGGAAAAGTTTGCAAGGGGCTTTTCTTAGCTTTATTAGTTAGTGACTGGGTTTTTGGGGTGGGAAGGAGGAGGTAAACTCAGGTGGTGTTTCTGCCGGACAATCTTTCCCTATTGCCTTTTTTAGCCCTTACCCCACCAACTGGGGGTGTTATTTTCAGCTTGAGTACCCACCCCCTTTCATCCCGATTCCTTTGGGTCCAAAATCCCCCTTCTGGACAGCTCCGGCGGAGAGGAAGATGTAGGGAGCAGCGAGGAGACTGTCAGTGAGAGGGGCAGGATCAGGCAGGGTTTCTGGAGCAGTCCCCAGATGTAGGAGTTTCCCCTCCTTTTTGGTCACTGTCCGGTAAAACCAACACCGGAACAGATCCCAAGGGGGAGACGTGGTTGTCAGATGGCTTGGAAGCCTCCGGGATTGGGAGGAGGGAGAGGAAGTGGGCAGGGCAGCTCCCGAAACAAGGTCTACAGTTTAAGGATCAGTAGTTCATTTATTCTGATAATCACTGTTTAGTTTTATGTGACATTCTTGTATTCGACCTAGAAATAGAGTAATGGAGATTTTAAGGAAACCTAAACTTGTTATTGCTACAACTCAGAAGGGTCTGTGGAAGAGCCCTCGGAACCTAGCAAAACTACTTTGGTTTTGGGGTGTGTGTGTGTGTGTGTGTGTGTGTGTGTGTGTATGTATAACATTTAAACGAAAAAAAAATATATGTGTATGTATATATTTTATATGCATATATAAACACATATATATTCATACACACACACGTATGTTTTCTGTTTAAATGGATTCAATTTTAGCTATATTTTGGTGCCCTGAGCTCTGAACGTTAAAAAAAAAAAAAGTGATAAACATAAATTTCCAAATCTCGATTTTCTGCTTTTCAGGGACAGGATGTTTCCCGTGGCTATGCTTACCTCCTTGTTGTTCTTGAGTGTTGACATTGAAATGTTAATAGACCCTGCCACCCCCCACTGCCAGTCCCCAGTGTGGGCGTGTTTGGAGAGGTTATTTTGCATCGTTTAATTGTTGGTTTTTTCCTTTTTTTTTTTTTTTTTGGTGAGCTTAGGGCAGAGTGTTGTGTTTATGTGCGGTGTCCTGCTTGGTAGCAGGCTGGAGTTGCTGGCAGGAGATGTCCCACATTCTGCCCACTCAGTACCCCCAGCACTGTTGTTAGTGAAAAGCTACCACTTGCAGGGCAATGGGTCACCCACGACTTTCAGTGCTGACTTCCGTGAGGCTTCGAAATGAGACTCATGTGATTCTTCTAGGTGTGTGCCTTTCTTTTCCTTTCGTCTGCCTAAGATCAAACTCTGTTTCTCCACAATGATAGATATCCGGTCATTTAGCATTGAGCTTAAGAAAATCTTGATATTTGAGATTGTATGGATCTGATACAAAAATGCAAATTACATTTAATGGTTGTTTTAAGTTTATTGATTAATTGAAATTGTTTATTGACATGGACATTTTTTTAAACATGTGTACCAAAAATCGTTACTTCTATTATAGTTTGTCCTTATTTTTAGAGCATATACTGGATGGAAAAAAATCATTCTTAGTCATTTTTCTTGGAACATTTTAAGGTTTGAAAAAAATTGTTATTGCCTTATAATTTGATATTTTAAAGGTATATTGTTGACTTCACATTCCTAAGCTTTCCAAAACTATGTGTACAAATACCAAAAAAGTTTTGTACTTTTTCCCACCCTACCTCAAACATGTATTAATTTCCTAACCTGATCGCCTAATGGGCTACTTTATTTCCTGAAGGAATGACAGGTTTGATGTTTTTAAAAGTTACATTCCATTTGAAATTAATAAAAGATTTTCAGGGCAAATACTGAATTAACTTTAAACTACTAAGGGAATATGCTTTTTTATTATTAAGTGTTAGTTTAAAAAGTAAATGGTTAGTATAATTACAAGTCTGAAATAATCAAGTTTTCTTTCCTCTGGAAGATTTTTAGGAGGAAATTTGTATATCCCATTCCAACTTTTTCTCAGCAAATCATGTTGCTACTATTTTTAGAGAAATAAAAATTTTAGTTTAGAAGGAATTAAACATTTCTGAGAGCACCCAAAATTAATGACATTTCAAAAAAATGCTAAACTATTTATTCATACCTGAGATGTTCTCTGAGGGTTAGCAGCTCTCACTATCCAGGTTTGGTACAATGGTTATGGCTAATGAAAAGTCATTTATATTTGAATACAGTTAGAGCAATATTCTCAGACACTTTTCTTTCCCCCTCCCCCACACCTGGTAACTGGTAAAACAATGGTTGAATAGGTGAGACTGGGTTGGAGGCAGCAAATTGTCCCCAGTGCTAAGTCAGTTTAACTTACACATGCAGCTCTGTGCTAGGCAAAACAAACAGCAATAGAGTCTCCTCACTTCTTCAAGCAAGAGTTTGTCCCAGAAGTCCTGACTGTAAAGGCTGATTTTTGACAATGCTCCTGGCTAGTTTGAGATACTGAGGAAATACTCAATTTAAAACCTTAAGCCTCCCTCTTTTCCCTCCTTGCACGTAAGGTGACAGACTACTTGGTTCTCATCCTTTCACAGAATGTGATTTGTTTTTAAGATGAGTTTTTAGGCCGGGCGTGGTGGCTCACGCCTGTAATCCCAGCACTTTGGGAGGCTGAGGCGGGCGGATCACCTGAGGTCCGGAGTTCGAGACCAGCCTGACCAACATGGAGAAACCCCGTCGCTACTAAAAATACAAAATTAGCCAGGCGTGGTGGTGTATGCCTGTAATCCCAGCTACTCTGGAGGCTGAGGCAGGAGAATCACTTGAACCTGGGAGGCGGAGGTTGCAGTGAGCCAGGATTGCACCATTGCATTCCAGCCTGGGCAACCAGAGCAAAACTCTATCTCAAAAAAAATAAAAGATGAGTTTTTGGTGAAATTTTATTTGTAGCATGACTTCCTGCAGTGACACCTTTAGACTGGGCTTTGAGTTCTGATCCCAGTCCTTCCGCTGGGCAAGTTATTTAGTCTTTGGTTTCTTTAACTTAAAATGGGAATAAAATTCTTTGATATAAGGGTTAGATGAGATAGCCATGTGTTTGGCCCATAATAGTATTAATTAAATGTTAATTCCACTAGCCCACTTTACTTTTCTTTCTTTCTTTCTTTCTTTCTTTTTTTTTTTTTTTGAGACAGGGTCTCACTCTGTTGTCGAGCCTGGAGTACAGTGGCATGATTACAGCTCACTGCAGCCTCAACCTCCTGGGCTCCAGTGATCCTCCCACCTCAGGTGTGCCTGTAGTCAGCCAGGACTACAGGTGCTTGCCACCATGCCTGGCTAATTTTTGTATTTTTTGTAGAGACAGGGTTTCCCCATGTTGCCCAGGCTGGTCTCAAACTCCTGGATGCAAGGGATCCGCCTGCCTCAGTCTTTCCAAGTGCTGGGATTATAGGTGTGAGCCACCAGGCCTGGCCTCCACCTTACTTTTCTAGTAGTAACATCTAAATACTATTTCTCTTGTTTCCTTTTTTAAATAACTGAAAGTAATACTGTACTATACATACTATAGTAGGCTTATGCTATATTTGGAGAGTAGACCTGTTTTTCCCACTCAAAGGATAACCACTGTTTAACACTTTCGTGTGCTTTTTCTCTTTATGTGTATGCATACAGCAGAAACAAAGAGGAAAAACGTAAGGGTAGGATTGTCCATGTAATGGTAGTTGTGTCGTTTTGTATTGGTTAAAAGCTTGGGCTCTGGAGCAAATAGGCCTTGCATCCTGACTGTGTGACCTTGGATAATGACAATTACTTAATCTGATTAAGTCTCAGTTTTCTTCGTCTGTAAAAGGGGGTAATAATAGTACCTACTTCATAGGGTTGCTGTGAAGACTAAATGAGGAATTGAACATAAAGCCTTTAGAATGGTTCCTGAAGCATAACCTTTATATTTTCTTGGTGCATAACTTTTTCTGGTGCATAACTTTTCTATTTTTTTCTAAAGATTTTTAATATTCTTTTTTTTTTTTTTTTTTTTTTTTTGAGACTGAGTCTCACTCTGTCGCCCAGGCTGGAGTGCAGTGGCACGATCTCAGCTCACTGCAAGCTTCACCTCCCGGGTTCACGCCATTCTCCTGCCTCAGCCTCCCAAGTAGCTGGGACTACAGGCGCCCGCACACCCGGCTAATTTTTTCTATTTTTAGTAGAGACGGGGTTTCACCGTGTTAGCCAGGATGGTCTCGGTCTCCTGACCTCGTGATCCGCCCGCCTTGGCCTCCCAAAGTGCTGGGATAACAGGCGTGAGCCACCGCGCCCGGCCAGATTTTTAATATTCTTGATGTGAATTTTTAATGAGTTCTTGCCTCAGTATATATTAATAATACTAATAAGTATTTGAGTACAGAGAGAATATTATAATTACTTTAATGGGGCAAATAAATATATTTTTGCCAGTAAAAAATTGTGCAGTATATTCCATTTCAGCAGCTTCATGTTAGCATAGTCTCTGCTGTTTGAATTTGGAATTGGCCAATATAAAGGTATAGTAAGTACACCGAGGGCAAAGGAGCACAGGGTGGGTTTGCTTTACTCCTCGTTCCGCTCTTTCAGGTTTTGAAGTGTTTTTGTGAGTCCCCGTGGACGGTAGTGTTGCATGGTTTTGAAGGCACTGAGCAGTTTGTAGAATTGATAGGCTCACTTTAGAGTCCTGGGCATGTTTACCTGACTTGATTGGTAGGAGCAGCTGCTGGTTCATTCATTTAACAGATTAGCTTCTCTGTTGTAGCTCTGAGCTTTGCAATAGAGACACGTTCTCTGCCCTTGAGGAGTTTTTAGTCTATTGGAGAAGAAAAATAAGCTGACATTTACAATGCCAATGTGAATGTTAAGTAATAGCTTAGCCTGGAGGAATATTCTTCTATTCTGGCCTAAAGGGCAGGCTAGGTTTTAAAGTGAGGGCTTTGCAGGGGAAGTTTCTGTCCTAAGCGAATGGGAGGAGTTCGGCATTCCATAAGGTGTGACCTGTAAGTAGGAATCAAAGTTTAGGGACAAAAGAGTATCCTGTGTTGCAAATTGTGGTTCTGTTACCTCCCAGGAGTTGGAGGAGGAGGGGAATAAATAGTGAGAGGGAAAGGTCAGTCTGGCCAGGTCCTAAGGAGTTTCTGTGTTAGGGGAAGGAGTTTGGATTTCTTTTACGTGACAAGCAGACCCTGAAAGTCTTTGGCCACATAAATTACTTGAGATTTAGAGGATTTGAGTTATACAGAGTAGGAAAAAGGAGGACAAGACTGTAATTAGACCAGTGAGGCAGCTCCTGACAAGAGATTTGAAGAGGGTTTGAACTAAGGTGGTGGCAATGGCAATTGAGAGGAGGTAGCAGTGGCAGAGGCATGTTAAGGAGGTAAGGCGATCTCATAGGTGGACTGGATGTAAATGTGGGACTCATCCTCACAGACGGCTGCTGAAATGGTAGAAGTAGACAAATTTGGGCTAGTCAGTGGTTCTTAGTCTTGGACACTTCTCCAGAAAAATCCACATATGCAGTTGTATACATTTGGTTTGAAACCTGGGGTAGGCTTGGTACCATGGCTCACAACTGTAGTCCCAGCACTCTGGGAGGCCAAGGTGGGCGGATCACTTGAGCTCAGGAGTTTGAGACCAGCCTGGGCAAAGTGGTGAAACCCTGTCTCTACAAAAAATACAAAAATTAGCCAGGTGTGGTAGTGCATTTTTGTAGTCCCAGCTACTCAGGAGGCTGAGGTGAGAGGATCGCTTGAACTCAGGAGGTCAAGGTTGCAGTGAATCTTGATCACACCACTGCACTTCAGCCTGGGTGGCAAAGGGAGAACTTAACTCAGAAAAAAAAAAAGATAAAGCCTATAGAAATGTTTTGTTTGACCCACACTTTTTGTGATGGTTTCTGATTTTTCTTCAGTACCTTTTCATACATGAGGAAACAGATTTATAAAATAACTTAGGGTTACATGTCTTTTTCTTTTCTTTTTTGAGACAAAGTCTCACTCTGTTGCCCAGCCTAGAGTGCAGTGGTGCGATTGGCTCACTGCAATCTCTGCCTCCCAGGTTCAAGCAATTCTCTGCCCCAGCCTCCCGAGTAGCTGGGATTACAGGCGCCCACCACCACACCCAGTAATTTTTGTGTTTTTAGTAGAGACGGGGTTTCACCATCTTGGCCAGGCTAGTCTTGAACTCCTGATCTCGTGATCCACCTGCCTTGGCCTCCCAAAGTGCTGGGATTACAGGCGTGAGCCACCGCGCCTGGCTGTCTTTTTCTTTTTTTGTTGTTTTTGTTTAAATGGAGACAGGGTCTTACTATGTTGCCCCAGGCTGGGCTCAAACAAAGGGGCTCAAGTGATCCTTCTGCCTCAGCCTGCCATAGTGTTGGAATTACAGGTGTGAGTCACCACCCCCGGCCTTCATATGTTCAAAAGTTTAAAGGAGCTGCTGACATGAAAACAATTAAGGTATTTTGTGGGGAAATTTGGATTTTTATCTTCTTTTATTTATTTTTTTGAGATGGAGTCTCGCTGTGTTGCCAGGCTGGAGTGCAGTGGCACGATCTCAGCTCACTGCAATCTCCACCACCCCGGTTCAAGCGATTCTTCTGCCTCAGCCTCCTGAGTAGCTGGGACTACAGGCGCGTGCCACCACGCCGGCTAATTTTTGTATTTTTAGTAGAGACAGGGTTTCGCCATGTTGGCCAGGCTGGTCTTGAACTCCTGACCTCAGGTGATGCACCTGCCTCGGTCTCCCAAAGTGCTGGGATTACAGGCCTGAGCCACTGTGCTTGGCCCTATCTTCTTTTAATAACATGGAAGAGCTGGAAGTTCTGGGTCAACCTTTTTTTTTTTTTTTTTTTTTTTTTTTGTAAACATTGCAACAACTTGCTGGAAATGATTTGAGCAAAGTATGCCAAAGAATGCCCCTGGCCTACTCTTCCAGCCCATGTAGGCATTTCATCTTGCACCCCTGTAAAGTAAGATTAAACGAACCTTGGAGTATATTGGCATGGAAGCAAGGGGGTCAAGAGAAAAGAACTCACTGACTGGTCAGAAAGGAGAGATTTTCAAGAAAGAGAAAGTGGTCAGCAGTGTCAGATGCTGCAGAGAGGTCCAGTTAGCTGAAGGCGGAAAAGTGTATGTGGAATTCAGTAACAAAGAGGCCATTAGTTTCAGATTTTTAGCACAAAAGAACTTTGAGGAGTAGAGCTACAACTTAGTTTTTCTTCTTTCCTCTTGTCCTGTAATGCAGGGTTTCTGTAACAACAGAGAATGACTGTGACATGGATCGGAACTTAGAAAGCATTTGTTGTGAAGGATTATTAACTGGAACTAATAAATACTGTACCCAGATCAGTCAAACAGTGCTCATTCTGCTAGTGTTTTCCATCACAAGAACATTAGTATTTAAGTGCTCTATAGAATGTAGGAAATATTTTGGATATTAGATTTTTAATGATTATAGGAAACTATTCAGAAAACCACTAACAGCTGGAGAATGTATTTTAGTCCTACAGATTCTAGATCAAAATGATAATACAAATAAACCACTACTTACTGCTTCTAATGGTAGTTTGTTTTTTTTTTTTTGAGACAGAGTCTCGCTGTGTCGCCCAGGCTGGAGTGCAGTGGCGCGATCTTGGCTCACTGCAAGCTCCGCCTTTCGGGTTCACACCATTTTCCTGCCTCAGCCTCCCGAGTAGCTGGGACTGCAGGCGCCCGACTCCCGGGTTCACACCATTCTCCTCCCTCAGCCTCCTGAGTAGCTGGGACTACAGGCGCCCACCACCATGCCCAGCTAATTTTTTTTTTGTATTTTTAGTAGAGATGGGGTTTCACCATGTTAGCCAGGATGGTCTCGATCTCCTGACCTCGTGATCCACCCGCCTTGGCCTCCCAAAGTGCTGGGATTACAGGCGTGAGCCACCGCGCCCGGCTTCTAATGGTAGTTAATATTAAGTGATTACTATATGCTGGGGTTACAGTTCATGAAATACCTAATTTAATTATCCTAGGCAACTCAATGAGATACATACAATTACAATCTTCCCTTTACAGATGAGAAGACTGAAGCCTAAATAACTTGCCCAAGGTCTTATACTTAGTAATTAGCAAAACCAGATTTGATCCCCCTCTCTGATACCTACCAGAGCCAGTGAGTGATCTTTCTGCTGCATAAACTATCCTTACCTTTCTAATATAGCAGGGAAGGAACTAGTGTAAAGTTCATTGAAATTCCTAATGCAAACTTACTTGTACAGTGCTGTCTGAGTACAGTATATGGCACATACTAGACATTCAATAAGCATTATTTTAAAATATTCTGGTTCAAACTTGATTATAATGAATGTTGTTTATATTTTCGAGTGATAAGCAGTTTTCTCACTGCTTCTTTCTCTTCCAGTCACATCAGTTGATAGATTTTCATCATTCCTCAGTCTGATTTTACTATTTTTTACATAGGTAATATAGATGTTTGGTTCTTAAAATCAATATAGTCATCTGTTTAGTGTCTTATTACATTCTTATGCTTCATCAAGTTGAATTAAAACTCATTTAAAAAGTACATAACATGGAAAAACGTTTTTAAGACTTTATGATACTCTAAATATGATTTTAACAGTATCCACTCTTTCTGGGATAAGTAAATATTCTTTTCATTTGCATTAAGTATATTGGAAAACAAACATTCTGATAATTTAGTAGGCTCATGTTAGTTTTATTTATTTTATTTTTTGTCGAGGGTTTCATTACATTGCCCAGCCTGGTGTTGAACTCCTGGGCTCAAGTAATCCTTCTGCCGTGGCCTCCCAACCTTCTGGTATTACGGTATGAGCCACTGTGCCCAGCCTCACACTAGGTTTTTTTTTTTTTTTTTGAGAGGGAGTCTCACTCTATTGCCCAGGCTGGAGTGCAGTGGTGCTATCTTGGCTTACTGCAACCTCCACCTCCCGGGTACAAGCAGTTTTCCTGTCTCAGCCTCCAGAGTACCTGGGATTACAGGTGTGCACCACCAAGCCCAGCTAATATTTGTATTTTGTAGAGACTGGGTTTCACCATATTGGCCGGGCTGGTCTCGAACTCCTGACCTCAAGTGATCCGCCTGCCTCAGCCTCCCAAAGTGCTGAGATTACAGGCATGAGCCACTGCACCTGGCATCTCACGCTAGTTTTAAAAAAATTATAAGGTATGAACTGGGCACGGTGGCTCATTCCTGTAATCCCAGCACTTTGGGAGGCCGAGGTGGGCGGATCACTTGATGTCAGGAGTTTGAGACCAGCCTGGCCAACATGGTGAAACCCTCGTGTCTACTAAAAATACAAAAATTAGCGGGGCATGGTGGTGCTTGCCTGTAAATCCAGCCACTTGGGAAGCTGAGGCAGGAGAATCACTTGAAAATGGGCAGCAGAGGTTGCAGTGAGCCAACATCGTGCCACTGCACTCCAGCCTGGGCAACAGAATGAGATTCTGTCTTTAAAAAAAAAAAAAAATTATAAGGTATGTTGTAGATCTAGGCTCTTTAAAAGTGGTAGGATATAAAATTACAGATGGCAATTAGAGAAAAATGGTGTGGCAGTGAAATGAACATGTTTCTGAAACAGGAGAATCAAAAGAACAGCAGTGACATAGAGATTCCACATGGAGGTGATCAAGTGGTAGTCCCAAAGAGAATAATGTTCATATTTTTGTCAAATTGTTTTGTGGTTATCATTGGAAGACTGAAAGGGCTGCTGGCTGCTTTTGTTAAAAGTGTATCTTCCTTACTTTTCTCCTTGCTAATGTCTTATTCCTCTGTATTTGTAAGAAGTAAGAAACAATGGAAATGAATTGTTCAATTTTCCTATTAAACTTGGTGTATAATATCAAAGAGGAATTTTTTTTTTTTTTTTGAGATGGAGTTTCGCTCTTGTCATCCAGGCTGGAGTGCAGTGGAGCGATCTCAGCTCACAGCAACCTCTGCCTCCTGGGTTTAAGCGATTCTCCTGCCTCGAGATGGAGTTTCGCTCTTGTCGTCCAGGCTGGAGTGCAATGGAGCGATCTCGGCTCACAGCAACCTCTGCCTCCTGGGTTTAAGCGATTCTCCTGCCTCAGCCTCCTGAGTAGCTGGGATTACAGGCATGTGCCACCACACCTGGCTAATTTTGTATTTTTAGTAGAGACTGGGTTTCTCCATGTTGGTCAGGCTGGTCTTGAACTCCTAACCTCAGTTGATCCTCCCACCTCAGCCTCCCAGAGTGCTGCAATTACAGGCGTGAGCCGCCATGCCCAGCCCCAATGAGGATTTTTTAAAAACCTAAACCTAATCATATTTCCTACTGTTTTTTGTTTTTGTTTTTAGACAGGTTGGAGTGTAACGGTGTGATCTCGGCTCACTGCAACCTCCGCCTCCCGGGTTCAAGCAGTTTCTCCTGCCTCAGCCTCCTGAGTAGCTAGGATTACAGGCACCCGCAATCATGCCCGGCTAATTTTTGTGTGTTTGTAGAGACGGGGTTTCAACATGTTGGCCAGGTTGGTCTTGAACTCCTGACCTCAGGTGATCCGCCTGTCTTGGCCTCCCAAAGTGCTGGGATTACAGGCGTGACCCTCCGTGCCCGGCTATTTCCTACTCTTGAATTCTAGTATATGGTTATGTTTGCTGTTGAAATATTTTTTCTACAGCAAGTGAGACTTGAGTATTTTCTGTTCTCAGTAATGGTTATTTCCATTTTTTGGTAATAACAGTGTATATTCTGCTGCTGCTCTAAAGTGCTTTAATTACCTGCATTCTCTCCTTTAAGGGAGCATAGGTCTGTTTATATGCTAAGCAAGTTGTCTCCACAGCTGAAGATGGTATTTGCTAGAACTGTTAATAAATTTAGTTTGGCTAAGGTTTTTTTTTCTTTTTAAAGTGATATTCATCATGTATTAAAAAGTAGAGTTTGGCTGGGCATGGTGGTTCACGCCTGTAATCCCAGCAGTTTGGTAGGCTGAGGCAGGAGGCTCACTGAGACTAGGAGTTTGAGACCAGCTGGGCAACATAGTGAGACACCCCCCTTTTCTAAAAACAAAAACAAAAACAAAAAAAGATAGTGCTTAGTTTTAGCCTTTTGTTTGCATGGATTAGGAAATGTGATAGGCTGAGCATGGTGGCTTAGGCCTGTAATCCCAGCACTTTGGGAGGCTGATGCTGGTGGATGGCTTGAGCCTAGAGGTTCGAGACCAGCCTGGGCAACACGGTGAAACCCCATATCTACTAAAAATATGAAAAATTAGCTGGGCGTGGTGGCATGTGCTTGTGGCCCCAGCTCCTTGGGAGGTTGAGGTGGAAGGATCACTTGAGCTGGGGAGGTCAAGGCTTCAGTAAGTCGTAATCATACCACTGCACTCCAGCCTGGCCACAGAGCAAGACCCTGTCTCAGAAAAAAGAGGGAAAGGAAAGAAAGGAAGAAAGAAAATGCGATAGTATTTATATATCAGGGTCTAAAAGACATTTGATTAAGATTATGTGGGCTTTATATATTGTATATTTCCATTCTTATTTATATCTTGCACTCAATGCCAAAGAGTGAAAGTGATGTGAACTTCACCTTTAGTAAAATCAGGGTAAAAAACGCCAGCTGTGGAAGGCTAGGGGTAAAGAGTGAAAAATATGTAGGATTTTTTCTGAGAACTGCCTCAGTGCGTTTGTCATAACTTCTTCTTTATTTAAAAAGGAGAAGTTTATTAATGTAGAGAAGACCAGATATTGATCTGTTTCCAGTTTACAGAACAGTGATTTTGATACTACAATAATACTCAATTAGAAGAAATTCAGGCTGGTTGTGGTGGCTCACGCCTGTAATCCCAGCACTTTGGGAGGTGAAGCAGGAGGATCACTTGAGGCTAGGAGTTCAAGACCAGCCTGGGCAATGTAGTGAGACTCCATCTCTACAATAAATTAAAAAATTAGTTGGGCACAGTGATTAATGCCTGTAGTCCCAGCTACTTGGGAGGCTAAGGTAAAAGGATCAATTGAGCCCAGGAGCTTGAGGCTGCTATGATTGTGCCACTGTACACTCTAGCCTTGACAAGAGAGCAAGACTGTCTCTTAAAAAAAAAAAAAAGAGAAGAAAGTTAGATTTTTATAAAATTATTACAAAAGTAATGCATTTGTTGTAAAAAAATTCTATAATAAGTATGCTTTATGGTTTTGATATTATTGTGGAATAGTTTATTCAAAATTTAAAAAGATATTTGTGGTTAATGATAGCAAGTACTGAGATCTCTATTCTTCCTTCTCCAAACCAACTTTAAAAATAGGGAGAATTAGAAACAGAAACTAAACTGCAACTTTGACAATTACTGTAACCTTGTAATCAAAATATATGAATTACGGCAGGCGCGGTGGCTCATGCCTGTAATCCTAGCACTTTGGGAGGCTGAAGTGGATGGATCACCTGAGGACAGGAATTCGAGACCAGCCTCGCCAACATGCTGAAACCCCGTCTCTACTAAAAATACAAAAAAATTGGCTGGGCGTGGTGGCGGGCGCCTATAATCCCAGCTACTCAGGAGGCTGAGGCAGGAAAATGGCTTGATCCAAGGGGCAGAGGTTGCACTGAGCTGAGATTGTACCACTTCACTCCAGCCTGGGTGACAGAGCGAGACTCTGTCTCAAAAAAAAACCAAACAAAACCCTCCCAAAAAACCCAAAATATATAAATTAGTGCTATTAAGTGCAGTGAAAATTGAACCAGGGCAAGAGAGGATGCCAAGAGAGGATGATTTCCTCTGTAGAACCAGGCAAAGCAAAGGAAGAAGCTTTCTCTCAAGAAAGTGACACACCCCGAGGACAAAACCAGTAATCCCCATGCATGGATGGCAAAGTTGGATATATGTATGTTGGGCTCCCTGAGTGGCAGGAGAGGTGGGGCTGAGTTGCAAACTGTGCAGTCCTACCAGTTTTGTAGGAAGTTCAGAGTGGAGGAGAAACTGGCAGCAAGCAGCCTTTCAGCTCCTGATCTTGGTCATGTGAAGAGAAGTAAAGCCTAAATTATCACCCCACCCCCAAATCTATGCCATGTGGGCTCCTGTGAGTTAGGGAACATAGTCCAGCATGGAGTCAAGCCTCAAGGGAAAGTGAAAAAATAGTTCCTATGGTGGAAGGTGGGGGTGAGACATACCTCCTCTGAAACTAGAGTTTAAAGATGAGATATAAAAGCTCGAGAAATAAAAGAAGACAACAGAAGTATTGTAAGAGTGAGCTGATGGAATCAGGGTACAAAATAAGAGAAAAGTAACATTGCAGAAACATTCAAAGTGCAAATATCAACTATAGCTGGGGGTAATGGAAGCAAGCTTGAGAAATTTGAGCAACCCAAAATGGAACAAATAAAAATGAAGAAAGACTAGAGAGAGAGTGACAGATAGGGAATACAGTCAATCTAGTATGCCAATAATTGATACCCCTGAAGCTGTCGGAGAATAAATCAAGCAGAAAGAAATGTCAATACATTAAGGAAGAGTTTCCCACAATAAAAGATTTGAAGGCAGGTGTGGTGACATGCACCTGTAGTCCCAGCTATGGTGGAGGATTGCTTGAGCCCAGGAGTTCAATCCAGCTTGGGCATTATAGTGCAACCTCATCTCTTAAAAAAAAAAAAAAAAAAAAAAAAAAAAAAAAAAAAAAAAAAAAAAAAAAAAAAAAAAAAAAGGCCGGGCGTGGTGCTTATGCCTGTAATCCCAGCACTTTGGGAGGCTGAGGCAGGCGGATCACCTGAGGTCACAAGTTCGAGACCAGCCTGACCAATATGATGAAACCCCATCTCTACTAAAAATACTAAAATTACCTGAGCATGGTGGCATGCACCTGTAATCCCCGCTACTCAGGAGGCTGAGACAGGAGAATTCGCTTGAACCCAGGAGGTGGAGGTTGCAGTGAGCTGAGATCGTGCCATTGCACTCCAGCCTGGGCAACAAGAGTGAAAAAGAAAAGAAAAGGATTTAAAATTTTAGAACAGTTTCTAGTCTTTAAATAGACTTTTATTGTTAGGTCAACATGCAAAAAAAAAAAAAAAAAAATCAAGTCCCCTATAAAATCAAGAGACTGGCTTCAGGCTTTTTCAGCATGAAACAATATATACAAAGTCAGTAGATAAAAAAAAGCACAACCCAAGAATTTTATTTCCAGACAAGCTGTTGTTTAAGTATAACACCAATTGACATGTTTTCTTTTCTTTCTTTTTTCTTTTTTTTTGAGACGGAGTCTTGCTCTGTTGCCTGGAGTGCAGTGGCGTGATCTTGCCTAACTGCAACCTCTGCCTCCTGGGTTCAAGCGATTCTCCTGCCTCAGTCTCCTGAGTAGCTGGGACTATAGGCACATGCCACCATGCCCGGCTAATTTTTTGTATTTTAAGTAGAGACAGGGTTTCACCGTGTTAGTCAGGATGGTCTCTATCTCCTGACCTCATGATCCGCCCACCTCGGCCTCCCAAAGTGCTAGGATTACAGGCATGAGCCACCGCGCCTGGCTCTTTTCTTTTTTTGAGACAGAGTCTCATTCTGTTGCCCAGGCTGGAGTGCGGTGTGGTGCAGTTTTGGCACACTGTAGCCTCGACCTCTCAGGCTCAAGCAATCCCTTCACCTCAGCCTCTCAAGTAACCAGGACTACAGGCACATGCCACCACACCCAGCTAATTTTTGTGTTGTTTTGTTTTTAGTAGAAATGGTGTTTCAA
This sequence comes from Homo sapiens, assembly GCF_000001405.40. Taxonomy (NCBI): domain Eukaryota; kingdom Metazoa; phylum Chordata; class Mammalia; order Primates; family Hominidae; genus Homo; species Homo sapiens. Next base: position 179,252 of record NW_015495299.1, on the reverse strand, counting down.
CATGTTGGCCAGGCTGGTCTCGAACTCCTGACCTCAAGTGATCCGCCCACCTCACCTCGGCCTCCCAAAGTGCTGGGATTACAGGCGTGAGCCACTGCACCTGGCCTAATTTTTGTATTCTTTGTAGAGATAGGGTTTCGCTCTGTTGCCCAGGCTGGCTTCGAACTTCTGAGCTCAAAGCAGCCTACACGCCTCAGCCTCCCAAAGTGCTGGGATTACAGGCGTGCACCATCATACCTGGCCAACGTATGTTTTCAAATAGAAAAATCGTGGCTTATAGTTTCCACAAATCTGCTCTTTTCGGGGAAAGAAAGGAGAGGAGACTGTGTTGTAAACTATTGAATCAAGAAGTGAATGGAAGACTAAGTTAAAAAAAAGCATCATTTTGCATTGAATAAATTTAAATGTAGAACTAAGAACAACAACAGGAAAAAGCCTTGAGAGTTAGGGATGGGTAGGTAGTTGTAAGTCTGGAAATTTTTCTCGTTTATAACATGGGATCAGTTGCAATAATGCTGATAAGTATACTAATTTTCTTAGTGTGGAGTAAAGAAATGTTATCTAAAGGAGACAGACTACAGTTTTTCTAAGAAAACAGACTACAGTTGACCCTTGAACAACTTGAAAGTATAGGTACCAACCCCACATGTTGAGAATCTGCATTAGAACTTTTTTTTGAGAATCTGCATTAGAACTCCTGACCTCAGGTGATCCACTCGCCTTGGCCTCCCAGAGTGCTAGGATTACAGGCATGAGCCACCACACTTGGCCATATTAGAACTTTTGACTACCCAAGAAAGTTAACTAGCCTACTGTTAACTAGAAGCCTTGCTGAAAACGTGAACAGATTAACACATATTTTGTATATGTATTATATATTATATTTTTACAATACAGTAAGCTATAGAAAAGAAAATGTTATTAAGAAAACCATAAGGAAAATATATTTAGTATTAAGTGGAAGCAGATCATCATAAAAGTCTTCACATTGAATAGATGGAGGAAAAAGAGAAGGGGTTGGTCTTACTGTCAGGGTAGCAGAGGAGGAAAAAAAATCCATGTATAAGTAGAGCTACACAGTTCAAACCTTTGTACTGAATATAGTGAAATGTATAATGAAAAGATTAAATTAAAGGCTAAAGGCAATACAAAATATAATAGGATTAAGATGAAATATGTCATAAATACAAAATTATAAATTGGATAAACTCATTTATTAAAAGAAAATGACTTGGACCAGGCAGGGTGACTCAGGCCTGTAATCCCAGCACTTTGGGAGGCCCAGGCAGGGAGATCACTTGAGACCGGAAGTTCAAGACCAGCCTAGGCAACATGGTGAAACCTCGTCTCTACAAAAAATACAGAAAATTAGCACTGTGTAGTGGTATGTGCCTTTAGTCGCAGCTACTCAGGAGGCTGAGGTGGGAGGATTGCTTGAGCCCTGGAGGTTGAGGGTGCAGTGAGTGGTGATTGTGCCACTACACTCCAACCTAGGTGACAGAGTGAGACACTGTCTCAAAAAAAAGAAAAGAAAAAAAAATTGCTCAAAAGTAAAATGATTCAGATTGGAGCAAAAAGTCAAACCCAACAAGAGTTGCATCTAAAAGGGATCAACAAATAACATGTTAGTAAATAGTTTTATTTTTGTGGCCATATAGTATCTGTTGCAGCTATTAAATTTTACCATTATAGCACAAAAGTAGGCATGGACAGTATGTAAATGAATGAGCATGGCTGTGTTCCAATAAAACTTTATTTACAAAAACAGACAGTGGGCCACATTTGTCCTGTAAGAAATAGTTTAGTTTGCTGACCTGAGATCTAAAATGTAGTGTGGCCAGGCACAGTGGCTCATGCCTGTAATCCCAGCACTTTGGAAGGCCAAAGCGGGAGGATCTCTTGAATGCAGGAGTTTGAGACCAGCCTGGGCAGCACAGCAAGACCCAGTCTCTACAAAAAATTTAAAAAATTAGCCAGATATGGTGGCACATACTTGTAGTCCTAGCTACTTGGGAGGCTGAGGCAGGAAGATCTTTTGAGCCCAGAAGTTTGAGGTTGCAGTGAGCTATGATCATGCCACTGCAATCCAGCCTGGCAACAAAGTGAGACCCTGTCCTCAAAATAAAAAATAAATAAAAATAAAACACAACACAGTGCCTCAAAAGTTGGGAACAGAAGTACGGGCAAAGACTCAATTGATAAATTCAAACCAAAAAAGCAATAGTTCAAATATTTGTGTAAGACAAGGTTGAATTCATCACAAAATGCTCAGTTGAGTTGCATTTTTTTTTTGAAACAGGGTTTCCCTCTGTTGCCCAGGCTGGAGTGCAGTGGCACGATCTCGGCACACTGCAACTTCACATCCTTCCATCCCTGCCCTCAGATTTCTTTCTATGATTTGTAAAATGCTCTCATACCTACAGACATGTAGATTGCTCTTTTTTCTTGATGTTCGTATAGGTTTCTTTGAACTAATTTGTGAAAGATACGTGTGTGTTTGGCTTGTGGGTGAGTAGAGAAAAGATGGTGAAAAATGAAAAATGGCATGGATTTGCTTTGAAATATTTCCTGTCCCAAACATCCAGGGCAGCTAAATTTAAATGTTTATGTTTTATAATTTTCAAATTAAAAAATTTTAATGGACACAAAATAATTGTACATATTTGTGGGGTATATAGTGATGTTTTGATTCATATAATGTATAGTAATCAGCAGGGTAATTAGAACAGCCATCATCTCAAGCATCATTTTTTTGTGTATTGGAAACATTCAATATCCTCCTTCTAGCTATTCAAAACTGTATAATAATTATTGTTAACTATAGCCATCCTACAGTGCTATAGAACACTAGGGCTTATTCCTCCCATCTAGCCATAATTTTGTATCCTTTAACAAATCTCTCCATATTCTCTTCTTTCCCCTACCTTTCCCAGTCTTTGTCTTGTAGCCTCTAGCCTCTGTTCTACTTTTTACTTCTTTTTTTTTTTTTGGAGACGGTTGCACTCTGTTGCCCGGGCTGGAGTGCAGTGGTGCGATCTTGGCTCACTGCAACCTCCGCCTCCTGGGTTGAAGCGATTCTCCTGCCTTAGCCTCCCAAGTAGCTGGGATTACAGGCCCCCACCACCATGCCCGGCTACTTTTGTATTTTTAGTAGAGACAGGATTTCACCATGTTGGCCAGGCTGGTCTCGAATTCCTAAGCTCAAATGTTCCACCTGCCTTGGCCTCCCAAAGTGCTGGGATTATAGGCATGAACCACTGCGCCCAGCCTACTTTTAGCTTCTATGAGATCAACTTTTTTATGTGACTACATGAGTGAAAACATGTATGTTTAATTTTCCATACCTTATTTATTTCACTTAAGATAATGTCTTCTAGTTCTATCCATATTGCTGTGAATAAGAGAATTTCTTTTTCTTTTTTTTTTTTTTGTGATGGAGTCTTGCTCTGTCACCCAGGCTGGAGTGCAGTAGTGCGATCTCGGCTCACTGCAACCACTGCCTCCTGGCTTCAAGTGATTCTCCTGCCTCAGCCTCCCGAGTAGCTGGGATTACAGGTGTGTGCCACCACACTGAACTAATTTTTGTATTTTTTGTAGAGAAGGGTTTTGCCATGTTGGCCGTGTTGGTCTTGAACTCCTGACCTCAGGTAATCTGCCTACCTTGGCCTCCCAAAGTGCTAGGATTACAGGTGTGAGCCACCACGCCTGGTGCCCAAGAATTTCATTCTTTTTAATGGCTGAATAGTATTCCATTGTGTATATATACCACATTTTCTTTATCCATTCATCTGTTGTGGGACACCTAGTTTGATTCCATATCTTGGGTATCATCAATAGTGCTTTGATAAACATGGGAGTGCAGATATCTCTTTGATGTATTATTTCCTTTTCTTTGGAAAAATGCCTAGTAGTGGGTAGTTCTATTTGTAGCTCTTTGAGGAACCTTCATACTGTTATTTTATTTGTTTATTTTTTTTTTGAGACATCGTCTCGCTCCATCACAGGCTGGAGTGCAGTGTTGCGATCTCAGCTCACTGCAGCCTTGACCTCCTGGGTTCAGGCGATCCTCCTGCCTCAGCCTTGAGTAGCTGAGACTACAGGCGCATGCCAACAAGCCCAGCTAATTTTTGTATTTTTAGGAGAAACAGGATTTTGCCATGTTGACCAGGCTGGTCCTGAACTCCTGACCTCAAGTGATCCACCTGCCCTGGCCTCCCAAAGTGCTGGGATTACAGGCGTGAGCCACTGCGCCCGGCCCATGCTGTTCTTTATAGTGGCTATACTGGTTCACATTCCCAAACAGCGTACAAGAGTTCCCTTTTTGCTGCTTCCTCACCAGCATTTGTTATTTTTTGTCTGTTTGATAATAGCCATCCTAAGTGGGGTAAGAGGATACCTTACCCCAATTTTGATTTGTATTTCCCTGACGATTAGTGATGTTCAGCATTTTTTCCAAATATTTGTTAGCCATTTGTATGCCTTCTTTTGAGAAATGTCTGTTCAAATCATTTGCCCATTTAAAAATTGAATTGGTTGTATTTTTTTCTTTTGAGATGTTTGTTTCTTATATATATACTGGATGTTAATCCCTTGTTGGTTCAATAGTTTGCAAATATTTTCTCCCATTCCGTAGGTTGTCTTTTTGTGCTGTTGGTTGTTCCTTTGCTGTGCAGAAGCTTTTTAGTTTAATATAATCCCATTTGTTTATTTTTACCTTATTGTCTGTACTTTTCAGATCTTTTTTTCTCTCTTTCTTTTCTTTTTTTGAGACAGAGTCTCACTCTGTTGCCCAGACTGGAGTGCAGTGGCGTGATCTCGGCTCACTGCAACCTCTGCCCCCAGGTTCAAGTGATTCTCCTGCCTCAGCCTCCCCAGTAGCTGGGATTACAGGCATGCATGACCATGCCTAGCTGATTTTTGTATTTTTTAGTAGAGACAGGGTTTCACCTTGTTAGTCAGGCTGGTCTCGAGCTCCTGACCTCATGATCCGCCTGCCTCGGCCTCCCAAAGTGCTGGGATTACAGGCATGAGCCACCGTGCCCACCCTGTACTTTTCAGATCTTAACTCATAAACCCTTTCCCCACATCAGTGTCCCCTGTGTTTTCTTCTAATAGTTTTATAGTTTCAAGTCTTACAATTAGGTCTTTGATCCATTTTAAGTTGATTTTCGTATGGGGTGAAAGGTGGGGGTCTAGTTTCATTCTTCTGCATGTGGATATCCAGTTTCTTAGCACCTAAATTTAAATTTCTAGTCCAACTTTTTTTTCTTACATTCTCATAAGGTGAAAAGAGAAAGCTCTTATTTTTTACATTAATGTGTGATTAATTTACTTAGTAATGAATGTGATTTTTTTTCCCTCCAGAAGAGAAAATATGATTTTTATTAACTAAGTTAATATTTTGAGTTTTTTTTTTTCCTACTACAGTAAGTGAAGTATGTCTTGAGAAGACTACAAATTCTCTACTTTCATTACTGGCAGGTGGAATGTAGTCTTGTATTACAAGAATGAACACTTGTGAATAGTAATTTGTTTCTCTAGTATTTACCATATACTAGGGATGATACTTAGTATGTTGGATGCTTTGTATCATTTGATCATTCCAGTATCCTGATAACATAGCTACTATTATTATCCCTGTTTTACAGATGAGAAAACTGACATTCAAATAGGTTAAATGATTTGTTCAAGGTAACACAGCAAGTGGCAGATTTTGGACTTGAACAACCGTGTCTTCTGACACCTCCAGCATTTATGTATCTTGTCATTTACTGGTAAAACAGAGAGTATTTCTGGACTTTTTCAGTAGCTGATATCTGAGCTGTTCCATCAGCCATCTTGATGGCTGGAAGTGTGGAAGAGGATGGGTGAGACTCCATCAGCTCACTAAGATCCTGACTTGGCAAAATAGATTCAGTTTCATGATAGACTAGATGGTGTTGTAATATATAAATCCTACCACTGGGCCTTTTGCGTGTAGATTGGTAGTGAGTATTGTGTAATTCCCTCCTTCCATTTTCTCACTGACTCTGAAAAGACTCATAAGCCACGATTATTTTACTATTTAGTGTGACTGGAAGCACCATGTGGTGCAGAACTTTGAAATGAATGATATAAGTGTGGTCAGCTGACTAGTCTTTGGGCCTGAGAAGTTTATTGTGATTGGATGGGATAGGTGTGGGGAAATATTATAAGGGAAAGAACATTTTTTAATGACAGAAATTTAAATACAAAATTTATTTTGTATTTCATAGAAAAATTTATAAATTGCCAAATATTTTACCATCATATCAAAAGAAGTAGAATTTCTGAGAGAAGTTTTAGGTCTACCATTTATTCTGCTGGCATTGTAAAGGGATGTGGGTTCTGAAAATGAGTATAGCATGCAAACATCAGTAATGAAAAAGAGACCTGCTACCTGTGACATTCATTTGGTGGAAGAGTTTTGCTGCTTTGAGGTATTTATAGAACTTAACCAGAGCAAATGTTATTTAGTTCAATTTGGGGGGATAAGGTAACTTACTTTTTTTTTGTTTTGTTTTTGAGACAGATCTTCACTCTCACCCAGGCTGGAGTCCAGAGGTGTGATCTCGGCTCACTGCAACCTCTGTCTTCCGGGTTCAAGTGATTCTCCTGCCTCAGCCTCCCAAGTGGCTGGGATTACAGGTGCCCGCCACCATGCCTGGCTCAGTTTTGTATTTTTAATAGAGACGGGGTTTCGCCATTTTGGCCAGGCTGGTCTCAAACTCCTGACCTCAAGTAATCCACCCGCCTCCAAGGTGCTGGGATTACAGGCGTGAGCCACGGCGCCCAGCCAACTTAATGTTTTATAATGTCTCTTATTTTCTTATTTAACCTCGTTATTGGGATGTTGATTTACAGTGAAGAATCCATTGCATTAGTAAGGGTGATATCTTAGTATTTTGCTTCCTGGGTGAGCTAGCTTTGCTTATTTCTGTTTGTTAACTAGGCCTTTTGATATTTTTATAGACAATCTGCTTCATCCTGATTCTGCGGCATTCCAAACTGTGGTATCCTTGGGGGTTCTCTTAACATTGCTATGGTGCAGAAGATTTAAAATCAGGTATGGCTGTGGGGCCAGAAGTCCCTCAGTGAAATTCTCAACTTAAATCTGCCTTATACTCTCTGATTTATCATTTGGGTTTCTTTTTTTGTGGTGGCCTTTTAGCTGATGTTCACAAGGAATAGAGTCACGTGATGTATGAAGGGAAACATATACACTTCTCTGAGGTTGACAATAAGCCCTTGTGCTCATATAGCCCCAAACTGTGCAAGCAGAGGCGACTCAACGGCTACGCCTTCTGTATCAGACACGTTCTGGAGGACAAGACTGCCCCCTTCAAGCAATGTGAATATGTGGCCAAGTATAACAGCCAACGCTGCACCAACCCCATCCCCAAATCAGAGGATCGTAGGTAAGGGCTAATCATGAGAATCAATCCTTGATTTCATTAACAGGCTTGGAATTTTTTCTTTTCTTGTTTTTTCTTCTCTTTTCTTCTGTCCTTCATTTCTCCCTCCCTCCCTTCCTCCACCTATATAAATGTTGAATTCTGGGGGTAATCTAAGTAATCTATGGAATACTTTTAAAGATGAAATATGGCAATTTTTTAAAATAGAGTAATAAATTTGGGGAATTACTTAAAGTATGTTTGAGTGTCTTCTATTTAATTGATTTCATGGACTTCTAGAATTTTTAAAAGATTTTTTTTCCCTCAAAGTTGCTGCTTGAAGTCTTGAAACGGATTTGTTTGGTTTATGGCCTTATAAAGTAATTCCTGACTTTTCTACCTAGTTTTCTCATTTGCCTAAATGAGAGAAATTTAAATAACTAATTAGGTGTTATAATTAATGATAGCAATTTTGGAGTTTAAAATCTATGCCTAGAAGTTAGTAAAGGATATATACTTACTGAAGAAAATTTTAAAAAACTACTTGAATCAGTTAGATTTATTTCCTATCAGACTTCTCACCAGTGTTTGGCATGTTTTATAACCTTACCTTTTTTGGTTAAAAAGTGTTCCAAATAGAGTATGTTTGCCATAATTTGGAAACACTATTTTCACATTAAGGGTCGGTTTTGCCACTAGAATGATGAGTTTATGCTTCGCTAAATTTAGAAAAGAGTGGAATTGTTTTTAAAGGAGTCTTATACTGGTTATTCATCTTTCATATTGTTAGGAAAATTCACACTATCTTTCATATATAATCTCTTCTCTGTGCTTCTTTTTCTTCAATTCTCCAGAAACTATATAGATCACTGTGGGGCTTCATGGAGAGATACATGCTTGTTTTCCAAAAGTTTCAAGATACTTGTTATCTCTAGGTAGAAAATTTGAACCTTTCACTTCTATCTTAAAACACACACACAACCTTCATCCATGTTTCTATACATTAGCAAATGTCACTTGCATAAATTGGTTGGAAAGGAATCAGATATTTTGTGTCATGAATACTTTTTACACTTGCAGTATGAAATAAATAATTTGTGTTGGTGCTGATCTCACCAAAATGAGTACAAATAGTTTAATGGGGATTTAGGAATACTCTCTTAGAATTTCTAATGAGCATTGAGGCTTCAAATTACAATACCTGAAAGTTAGAAACAGCTGCTTAGTGAGGCAAGGAATAAAATTTTAATCTCAGGTGAGAAAGGGATGTATGTATTAGGCTAAATATATCTGTCTAGTTAGTTTTTAGCAGACTGAAAATGATAATTTCTTACCCTGCCTTTTTTTAACTTGAAGAATGGATGAGCTTGGATTAATTTTTTTTTACATCAAGCCCCATCGTAAACACATTTCTAAAATTTTGTCTTAAAATTAGCTTATCATGGTTACAGTTGTCAGTGTTGGATTTTTTTTCAGTTGAGCCAAAGCAAGAATTATCTTAATAGCAGCAAGGACTGGGTGTGATGGCTCACGCCTGTAATCCCAGCACTTTTGGAGGCTAAGGCGGTGGATCGCTTGAGCCTAGGAGTTCAAGACCAGCCTGAGCAACATGACAAAACCCCATCTCTACAAAAAATACAAAAATTAGCCAGGTGTAGTGGTACACGCCTAGAGTCCCAGCTAATTGGGACTGAGGTGGAAGGATTGATTTAGCCCAGGAGGCCGAGGCTGCAGTGAACAGTAATTGTGCCACTATACTCCAGCTTGGGCAACTGAACAAGACCCCCTATCTAAAAAAAAAGGCAAGAATTCAAGTGAGAGTCCTTATGAATCTCTTCAAAATATTCTCTGAAGCATCTGTATACACCTTTGTCTTTGAAATAGTTTGCTCTTTTGAGAACAAGATAAGGGAAAGGACTTTCATGTTTCTATCTCGAGAAGCTGTGCTTAATAAGTACTAAGTTGCCGGGCACGGTGGCTCACGCCTGTAATCCCAGCACTTTGGGAGGCCGAGGTGGGTGGATCACCTGAGGTTGAGAGTTTGAGACCACCCTGACCAACATGGAGAAACCCCGTCTCTACTAAAAATACAAAATTAGCCGGGTGTGGTGGCACATGCCTGTAATCCCAGCTGCTCGGGAGACTGAGGCAGGAGAATTGCTTGAACCCAGGAGGCGGAGGTTGCAGTGAGCGGAGATCGCGCCATTGCACTCCAGCCTGGGCAACAAGAGCGAAACTCCGTCTCAAAAAAAAAAAAAGCACTAAGTTGTTGTTGTTGTTTTTTTTTTTTGACGGAGTCTCGCTCAACTGTTGCCTAGGCTGAAGTACAGTGGCATGATCTTGGCTCACTGCAACCTCTGCCTCCTGATTCAAGCAATTCTCCTGCACCAGCCTCCCCAGTAGCTGGGATTACAGGTGCACACTACCACGCTCGGCTAATTTTTGTATTTTTAGTAGAGATGGGGTTTCACCATGTTGGCCAGGCTGGTCTCGAACTCCTGACCTGAAGTGATCCTCCTACCTCTGCCTCCCAAAGTGCTGGGATTACAGGCATGCTCCACTGCGCCCGGCCATAAGTACTAAGTTATAAATTTGTCTTTCTTTTCTTTTTTTTCTTTGAGATGGGGTCTCATTCTGCTGCCCAGGCTGGAGTGCAGTGGCATGATCGTAGCTCACTACAGCCTTGAACTTTGGGCCTCAAATGATCCTCTTGCCTCAGTCTCCCGAGTAACTAGGACTACAGGCACAAGCCACGTGGCTGGCCGAGTTTTGAAAACTTTTTGTGGAGATGGATCCTTACTAGGTTGCCCAGGCTTGTTTCGAACTCCAGGCTTCAAGCAATCGCCCTGCCTTGGCCTCCCAAAGTGTTGGGATTATAGACATGAGCCACCACGCCAGGCCAAATTTATTCTTTATTAAAATTTTTTCTTGTTCTTGGGAAACTTTTTGGTTAGTGCAGTTATCCCAGACGCCTCTTTCTTTGCTGGCCATTGCTTTGTGAATCTGTTCTGTTTAAGATATATATGGGACCTAGCTCAAACCTGCTAGGGAAGCACACAGACACACAGACACACACACACACGGTGTAGATTCTCTTTGCTGGCTAGAAACCTTTTTCGCTTTTTCAGTGACTGCACATGACAAAGAAAGCTTTTTCTTAAGAGGCCTACGTTAAAGAGTGCCTCTGATAGATTTATTTCTAAGACGAAGCAACAAAACACACCCACACATATTCTGTGTGTGCTTGAGATTTTCTGATTATTTGGTGAATCTGTATTTTTAGCAATTACTAGAAAAACACTTATATGATGAAGCCCAGTGAATTTGAGGATTGACATTTTTTACCTCAGTGGTCTTTTCCCAAACTATGTTTTTTGGAGCTATCACCTATATGCTACAGTAAAAATAGGTTCTCTGTTCTTTTTTGTTTTTTTTGTTTTTTGAGGCTGAGTCTCACTCTGTTGCCCAGGCTGGAGTGCAGTGGCACAGTCTCGGCTCACTGCAGCCTCTACCTCATGGGTTCAAGGGATTTTGCTGCCTCAGCTTCCCAAGTAGCTGGAATTACAGGCGCACACCACCACACCCGGCTAATTTTTGTATTTTTAGTAGAGACAGGGTTTCACCACGTTGGCCAGGCTGGTCTCAAACTACTGACCTCAGGTGATCCACCCACCTTGGCCTCCCAAAGTGCTGGGATTACAAGCATGAGCCACTTTGCCCGGCTGGTTCTGTTTTCTTTGATTTTTTTTTTTTTTTTTTTAACTGAGACAGGGTCTTGCTATGTTGCTCAGGTCGATCTTGAACTCCTGGCCTCAAGGGATCCTCCTGCCTCAGCCTCCCAAAGTGCTGGGATTACAGACATGAGCCACCACATTTGGCCCTGGGTTTCATTTTCAAATAACTTTGGGAAACACTGCCAGATGGGTACAGTTTCCTCTTGGAACTTCATAATGCATGTTACACAAAGTGCTTTGAGTAGTTGCACATCAGTAACAAAAAACAACAAAATCATTCTTTAATTTTGTTTAAGCCAGCATTTTCCAAATTTATTTAAGCATGGAGTACTGTTTTTTTTTGTTGTTTGTTTTTTGAGACGAGTCTTGCTCTGTCTCTCAGGCTGGAATGCAGTGGTGCAGTCTCAGCTCACTGCAACCTCTGCCCCCGGGTTCAAGCGATTCTTGTACCTCAGCCTCCTGAGTAGCTGGGATTACAGGCATCTACCATCATATCTGGCTGATTTTTGTATTTTTAGTAGAGATGGGGTTTCACCATGTTGGCCAAGCTGGTCTCGAACTCCTGGCCTCAGGTGATCCACCTGTCTTGGCCTCCCAAAGTGCTGGGATTACAGGCGTGAGCCACTGCGCCCGGCCCTTTTATAGGTTTTTTTTTTTTTTTTTTTTTTTTGAGACAGAGTCTGGCACTCTCACCTGGGCTGGAGTGCAGTGGCACCATCTCGGCTCACTGCAAGCTCTGCCTCCGGGGTTCGCGCCATTCTCCTGCCTCAGCCTCCCGAGTAGCTGGGACTACAGGCTCCTGCCACCACGCCCGGCTAATTTTTTGTATTTTTAATAGAGACGGGGTTTCACCGGATTAGCCAGGATAGTCTCGATCTCCTGACCTTGTGGTCCGCCGCCTCAGCCTCCCAAAGTGCTGGGATTACAGGCATGAGCCATTGTGCCCGGCCTTTATAGGTTTTTAAAATAGCATGAAGAGTGTGAAGACAACAATAAATACCTAACTTTTCAATGCCCACACAGACGAAAATTCACAAGCTTCAAGACCATCCAGGAAAACATGACATCAACAAATGAAATACATAAGGCACCAAGGACCAGTTCTGGAAAAACAGAGATATGTGATCTTTCAGACAGAGAATTCAAAATAGCAGTTTTGAATTTAATTTTGCTCTTTTTTTTTTTTTTTAAACTTTCCACAGGAAAAGTCCATGTCAGATGGCATCACTGGTGAATTCTATAAAGCATTTTTAAAATTATTAGTTTTTATTATTTTATTTTAAAGTTATTGAGGTACAGGTGGTATTTGGCTACATGAGCAAGTTCTTTAGTGGTGATTTGTGAGATCCTGGTGCAACCATCACCCAAGCAGTATACTTGCTTATTGTTGAAGACTAATGAGAGTCTTCATGAGCTTTGATTTTAGTTGGTCTTAGCTCTGACTCTTTCCAGCTGGAAAGAGTCTCAGGCAAGTTCATCAATTTCTGTAAAGCTTAGTTTCCTCATCTGCATTAAGGGAATTATTTTAGCGCCTACTGCAGGTAGGTACTACAGGAGATAATTCATGTACTTACATCTGGCTATTGAAAAAGGCATTTCACCTATAACCCCACGAACCATCTTTTACTTTCTTATTTCATTCTCTCTCTCTTTCTCTGTCTCTCTCTGTATATGTGTCTAAAGCACAGTAGACACTTGACATTCTTGAGGGTTTTATGTCATAAGAGCTTTGTGAATCTCCGAATACTTTAATGGCATTAGAAAATATATATATTTTTTCTCATAAGAGAATTTTAAGTGATCTTTTAGACTCTTGATGAGTTACTTTGTATGCTATGAATAGAGAATAACAAAGCCATGTGAGAAGCAGTAGCTGAGCAGTTATCCAGGGCCACTCAGTAACTGAATGACTTGCTTCTGTCTGGCCACCCCTGTGCATGTACAGTTCACATATTTGCCTCATCAAAATTACACTGACTTTGAGGACTGCTTGAAAGTAGTAGAGGTTTGCATGTTAAGTTGCTGGCTGCCAAGAGTCACTATAGTGACGCAATTTTTAACATTAGGATTCTCATGTAGTTTTATGTTCTACTTTTAAAAAATATGTATCATGACTGTTTTCCCATGTATGTGTGTATTTTAAAGGTACTGCAACAGCCACTTGCAGGTACTTGGCTTTATCCCGAAAAAAGAGAGGAAGAAAAAGAATGATCCTATAGATGAGGTGAAGGTCAGGCACCAGATGGATACCATGGCCTTTAGCCTGACAGTGCCCACGTTGGCCTTGAAGATGCCCAACGGACTGGATGGAATGTCCCTCTCTCCACCTGGGGCAAGGGTCCCTCTCCACTACCTGGAAACCGAATTGGAAGACCCATTTGCTTTCAATGAGGAAGATGATGACCTAAAGAAAGGGGCAACTGTGAGAAAGAAGTTGCAGAGCAAGTTGGCCCAGAATCGGCAGCGCCAGAGAGAGACAGAGATTTTAAAAGTTCGACAAGAGCACTTTAGTCCCCCTCCTGCACCTTCACAGCAGCAGCCTCCGCAGCAGCACTCCCACCTGTCACCTTTATCTACTTCTTTAAAACCTCCAGCGCCACCGCAGGGTTCAGTCTGCAAGTCACCTCAACCTCAGAACACCAGCCTACCAATGCAGGGAGTGGCACCCACCACACACACTATAGCACAAGCACGGCAGTTGTCTCACAAGAGGCCTCTGCCCCTCCTGCCATCCAGTAGGGCTCCCACTGTGGACCCACCCAGGACTGACCGGATCCTCATGAAAGCCACAGCCTTCTCTCCACACTTCTCATGTATAAGCCGACTGCAGAGACTGGTGAAACTGTGCACCCAGAAACATCAGTTGGACACTGATCTGTTTCCCCATTTAGGTGAGTTATCTATTTTATCGTATCATAGACACATAATATGACAAAATGTGTTCGGTTGTGTGGAGCTTCCCTTTCATAATTACCCCATATGTGATGGGGGTGGAATCACAATGAGGCAGAGTGGTGCAGTGAAAGATTCTGTATTTAGGTAGACCACCTTAAAATAAACACAGTCGTCCCTCTACATGTGTGGTGGATTGGTTCCAGGTCTTCCCTCAGGCACTAAAATTTGAGGATACTCAAGATCCTGATATAAAACAGCATAGTATTTGCACATAACCTATGTACATTCTCCCATATTCTTTAAATCATCTCTAGATTACGTATAATACCTGATATAATGTAAATGCTATGAAAACAGTTGTTATAATGTATTGTTTAGGGAATAATGACAAGAAAAAAAGTCTGTATATGTTCAGTACAAATGGAATCTTTTTTCTCAAATATTTCTGATCAGCAATTGGCTGAATCCACAGATGTGGATCCCATGGATACAGAGGGCCAACACTGGAGGGTGTAACACTTGCTGAATAGGATACAGAAATAGGAGTTGGGAATTTAGAATTCCACACGCAGCTTTTATTTGTAGTGATAGCAGCATTAAAAGGCAGTTGTGTTTGGTTGTATGCTTTTATGAGTTTAACACCTGTGCATCTAGTGAAGTTCTTGGTGTGTCTTATTCTAGGAATGATCATAGCATTGTTGATATCTGCTGACAGTTTTAAAACATTTTTTCCTGTTTAAAAAATTCTCAAGGCAATACCTGTTAATGATTTAAGAGTGAGAAAATACAGGGAAAACTTGTAATTTAATGTAGTCACATGTCTATTTTTCTTTTGTTGCTTCTGAATTTCCTGTTTTGCTTAAGAAAACTTCCTCGATTCCAAGTTTATACAGATATTCTATGTTTTCTATTAATAGTTTGATTGGTTTTGATCATTTAAACCTTTAATTCAGTTGAAATTTATTCTCGAATGCAATATGAGCTATGATTTTCACTTCAGGAAAAATTATTTGCATAATATGACAGCAATAGAAATATGAGCAAAGATAGAACGTGAAGAGATATGAATAGTCAATAAACAAATGAATACCTCAATCCTCTCAGCAGGCAGGAAATACAAATTAAAGCAACAATGAATTACCAGATTGTGAAAAATGATATCCATTGTTGGTCAGGGTCAGGATATGGTATCTCATACATTGCTGGTGAGTAATTTAGCAATATCTACTAATTTAAAATATATGTATAGGCTGGGCTTAGTGGCTTATGCCTGTAATCTCATTACTTTGAGAGGCTGATGCAGAAGGATCACTTGAAGCCAGAGGTTTGAGACCAGCTTAGGCAACATAGTGAGATCCTGTCTCTAAAAAAACAAAAATAGGCCGGGTGTGGTAGCTCACGCCTGTAATCCCAGCACTTTGGGAGGCTGAGGTGGGCAGA
This sequence comes from Homo sapiens, assembly GCF_000001405.40. Lineage (NCBI taxonomy): Eukaryota > Metazoa > Chordata > Mammalia > Primates > Hominidae > Homo > Homo sapiens. The sequence goes on along the minus strand of NW_015495299.1, from coordinate 163,771 downwards.
TCACCTGAGGTCAGGAATTGGAGACTAGCCTGGCCAACATGGTGAAACCCTGTCCCTACTAAAAATGCAAAAAATAGCCGGGTGTGGTGGTGCATACCTGAAGTCCCAGCTATTTGAGAGGCTGAGGTGGGAGAATTGCGTGAACCTGGGAGGTGGAGGCTGCAGTGAGCCGAGATTGTGCCACTGCACTCCAGCCTGGGTGACAGAGCGAGACCCTGTCTCAGACAAACAAACAAAATATATTTGTAGCCAGCAGACTCACTTTTGGGACACTATCCTGTGGATTAAAAAAATCAAAATGTAAGGATATATGTGCAAGGATGTTCACTGAAACATTGTTTGCAGCATTAAAAACCTGCAAAGAAACAATTACTGATAGGAAACCTTGACTAAATTATTGTTCATATAAGTTTTATGAAATATTATGTAGCAGGCTGGGTGCAGTGGCTCATACCTATAATCCTAGCACTTTGGGAGGCCGAGGTGGGAGGATCACTTGAGCTCAGGAGTTCAAGACCAATCTGGGCGACACAGTAAGACCTTGTCTCTATTGTATAAAAAAAAAAAAAAGAAAAGAAAAGAAATATTATATAGCTATTAAAAAGAATGAATGAGGCCAGGTGTGGTGGCTCATGCCTGTAATCCCAGCACTTTGAGAGGCTGAGGCCGGTGAATCACCTGAGGTCAGGAGTTCGAGACCAGCCTGGCCAATATGGCAAAACCCTGTCTCTACTAAAAATACGAAAATTAGCTAGGCATGGTGGTGTGCGCCTGTAATCCCAGCTACTTGGGAGGCTGAGGCAGGAGAATTGCTTGAACCCAGGAGGCGGAGGTTGCAGTGAGCGGAGATTGTGCCATTGTACTCCAGCTTGGGCAACAAGAGCGAAACTCCATCTCAAAAAAAAAAAAAATTCTGTATCTTTTGACCGGGATGTGTCCATGGTATATTAAAAAGTGGAAAAAAGAAATCAAGAGGTAATTATTATCCCATTTTGGTAAAAATAAACAAAGTAAATAAACAGGGGATATCAATATATTTATTGATTAAGTATATGGCTATTGGCCTGATTGATGTGAGCAAAGGTAAAAGTATAAAAGGATATATACTTCCAGACTGTTAACATCAGCTACCCTAGGGAGGATGGAATTGGACAGGGTATATTTTATAGGAGTTGGGAGTGGTGGCTTTTCTTATAGCTTTTTATTGTTTCACCTGTTGTTAAACCATCTGTGACTTTTCGTGATTAAAATACAAAAGTTAAAAAATTTATAAACAAAAATAATAAATTAAAACACTCCAAGCCATATTAATACCCATTTGTTAATACCTTGATATATTCTTTCTAATATATAAAATTGGGCTCTTACTATACATGCTGTTTTGTAACCTGGTTTAAAATTTTTCATACTAATGTATTTTCAAGTTGGTAATTTTTCATATGCAGTGTAATTTGTCATGGCTGAATTCTGTCTTCCATTTAAGTTGTATCCAGCTTATGTCCTTATAAACTGTCGTAGATGTATATAGCCTTGCAGTAAAACAATTATTGCCACATCTTTTTTTCTTCAAATAGATTGTTAATTCAGACTAAAAGTGGAATTGCCGATTCCAAGCTTTAGCTTTTAAAAAAAAAAAAGTTTTGATATATGTTGCCAAATTTTCCTTCAGAATTATTTTGTCAGCTTATCTTCTTTAAGCAGTGTGTGAAAATAACAGTTTCTCTAAATCTTTATCAGCCCTGGGTAGTAGTATTATTGTTATTATTGCCTTTGCAAATTAGATAGAAAATCTGCTTAAATTTACATATCTTAGATTAGTGTTTCTCAAATATTTGGTTTTAGGATCCTTTACACTTAAAAATTAATAAGGAAACCATAAAGCTCTTATGTATGGGTTGTATCTATTTATACTGTATTAGAAGCTAAAACTGATAAATTTAAAATATAATTTTTTTTTTTTTTGAGACAGGTTCTTGCTCTGTTGCCCAGGCTAGAGTGCAGTGGCATGATCATGGCTCACTGCTGCCTTGACCTGCTGGGCTCAAGTGATCCTCCCACCTCAGCTTCCCAAGTCACTGGGACCATAGGCACACACTACCACAACTGGCTAATTTTTTTTTCAGATTTTTTGATAGAGATGGGGTCTCACTATGTTGCCCAGGCTGATCCTCCTGTCTTGGCCTCCCAAAGTTCTGGGATTACAGGCACAAGTCACTGTGCCTGGCCTGTCAGATTCTCTTTCAAATAAAAATGATGATGAAGGCTGGGTGTGGTGGCTCACACCTGTAATCCCAACACTTTGGGAGGCTGAGGCGGGTGGATCACGAGATCAGGAGTTCAAGTCCAGCTTGGCCAACATGGTGAAACCCCGTCTCTACTAAAAATACAAAAACTTAGCTGGGCGTGGTGGAGCGTGCCTGTAATCCCAGCAACTTGGGAGGCTGAGGCAGGAGAATTGCTTGAACTGGGACCCGGGAAGCGGAGGTTGCAGTGAGCCGAGATCGCACCACTGGACTCCAGCCTGGGCTACAGAGTGAGACTCCATCTCAAAAACAAAAAAATGATGATGAATGAGAAAAAGCAGTTTGGTCAGGTTGCAATAAAAACAGTTGTGTAAGTCCTCTTCCTCAGGACAGCTGTCATGCTTTCTTCCTTTGCAGCAGATTCACATTTACTCACACAGAATAGTATAAAGACATGTGCTCAGGGATCGATTTAATAAAAATAAATAATCTTTAACAAACAAGAATATTCTCAAATAAAACTCCTTTACAACTGCGAGGCATGGCATGAGGAATACAATGACTCCTAGTAAGTCTGATGCCACTGCCTTGATTCATGGTAATTAAGGAGCCTGTAGTTTTACCTGTCATTGCTTTTATACCATCAGTGTGTCAACACAGTGAAAAAGGCACATAATGTTTTAATATTATTTTGTTGAAAATAGTTTTGAGGCCAGGCGAGGTGGCTCATGCCAGTAATCTTACCACTTTGGGAGGCCAAGACAGGAGGATCACGTGAGCCCAGGAGTTCGGGACCAGCCTGGGAAACATAGTGAGATTCTCTTTTTTAAAATTTAAATTAAAAAAAAAAACTTCTTAGAAAGAATATAGTGTTGACCTATATACTCCAAGAATATTTCAAGGACTTCTGGGGATCTGTGGACCATACTTTCAGAACTGCTATTTTGGATTAATAATATAGTTGAGTATTCGTTCATATGATTTTTGGACATTTTGTTTATTTTGCCTTTCACTTCTTCCATCCATATATTTATTTTCTATTGATTGGTAAGAGCTTTTTATATGTATATTATATTTGTTGGAAAGTCTCTCCCTCCTCTCCTTTGTTTTTTGCTTCCGGGTATCTGTTATAGCCAGGCACAGTTGCAAACTTGTAATCTCTGCTACTTGGGAGGCTGAGGCGGAAGGATCCCTTAAGTCCAAGAGCTTATGACTGGCAGTGAGCTATAATCATGCCACTGCGACAGAGCTGAGACCCCGTCTCTGAAAAAAAAAAGAAAAGAAAAGAAAAGAAATATCCATTGTAGGAATTTAAAAGTTAAAATTTTTATGTATTCTCTTCTTTAAGATTTCTTTCTTTTGAGTCTGGGTTTTGGTTTGCTTGCTTATTTGGATTCTCTTCATCCCAAGAATATATGAACATATTCACCCGTATTTTCTTTTAGTCCTTTTATCATTTCATTATTTACATTTTATCTAGCTGGAACTCATTTAGACATTAGTTTTGAGGCAGAGATCTAAGAAATTTTTGTTGTTGTTGTTGAGACGGAGTTTCGCTCTGTCACCCGGGCTGTAGTGCAGTGGCGGGATCTCGGCTCACTGCAAGCTCCGCCTCCCGGGTTCACGCCATTCTCCTGCTTCAGCCTGCCGAGTAGTTGGGACTACAGGCGCCCGCGACCACGCCCAGCTAATTTTTTGTGTTTTTAGTAGAGACGGGGGTTTCACCGTGTTAGCCAAGATGGTCTCAATCTCCTGACCTCGTGATCCGCCCGCCTCGGCCTCCCAAAGTGCTGGGATTACAGGCGTGAGCCACCGCGCCCGGCGAAATATAACAATTTTTAAAAAATGTTTGCCTCTAATTCCAACACTTACCGGCATCATCTACTAAATTTTTATTTATAATTTCATTTATTTCTGGATGCTGATAATTTTTTAGCTTTTGAAATGATGAAATATTATGTCATCTTAGGGGCTGATTTTTTAATCTTTTTTTTTTTTTTTTTTTTTTTTTTTTCTTTTGAGACGGAGTCCTGCTCTGTCACCCAGGCTGCAATGCAGTGGCGAGGTCTCGGCTCACTGCAACCTCCGCCTCCCGGGTTCAAGCGATTCTCCTGCCTCAGCCTCCTGAGTAGCTGGGACTACAGGCGCATGCTACCACATCCAGCTAATTTTTTGCATTTTTAGTAGAGACGGGGTTTCAGTATATTGGCCAGGCTGGTCTTGAACTCCTAATCTTGTGATCTGCCCGCCTCGGCTTCCCAAAGTGCTGGGATTACAGGCATGAGCCACTGTGCCCAGCAATTTTTAAATCATTTTTAAACAGAATGAAAACACACAGAAAAAGTTTTCAGCCTTTTAAATTTTTTTTTTCTTTTTTTGAGATAGAGTCTCGCTGTGTTGCCCAGGCTGGAGTGCCGTGGTGTGATCTCAGCTCATTGCAACCTCTGCCTCCCAGCTTCAAGTGATTCTCTTGCCTCAGCCTCCTGAGTAGCTAGGATTACAGGTGCATACCACCACGCCTGGCTCATTTTTTGTATTTTTAGTAGAGATGGGGTTTCACCACGTTGGCCAGGCTGGTCTTGAACTCCTGACCTCAGGTGATCCACCCGCCTTGGCCTCCCAAAGTGCTGGGATTACAGGCGTGAGCCACCATGCCCGGACGCCCTTTTAAATTTTTTAAAATGCAAACATATTAGAGGCCTAAGATTTCAAAGCAAAAGTTACTTTGGGGAAACCAGAAATAGTAATGCATATACTCTGTAATCTTATGACAGAGTGTAGTCTGTATTCATGTCAGCAAAGAGTATTTAAATAAAAACTCAGTCTTATTATTAGCCTTTATAGTCCTGTCTGGGCTAGTTATGTCAGCTAGTTACATTAAAACTAGTGATAATGAAGCCAAGATCAAAGGTTTGCTTTATTGGACAGTTAGTTTCACAGCAGGAAAAACACTTCCGTCTTAGTTTTTATGACTTAGATCTTGACTTCCTCAGAGAAAGTCAAGACACCTCAGAGGTGTCTTAGGAGAAATTATTCTATTGAAACAAATAAAAGATAACTCATGTTCTGTTTTTCAGTGGTGCCTTAAATGTCACTTTGAAGGACCTTACCTTTCAACACACTGAAGTTGATGCTGTGATCATTTAATTGCTTTTTTACCTTTTCCCCCTACAAATTATTAATTATTTCAGTTGAGAAAGTAACTCATTTTTAAAGGTGACCTGACATTTTAGATAGTCATCTTAGAATTAGATTTGAAGTTTCTTTATGCCAATGGCAATGTGTTATTTAATCTTAAGCATTCATAATTTGCATTTTAATTAACCTTTTCTTAATTTCCCTATTTGGCACATGTAAACTCATTTAAACTATGGAAGCAATCCATGAAGTCCTTTTTAATGTAACTGTCTAATGAGGATACTCTTGATTTTTGAGGTTCTCAAGAAGGAAGACATAAATAAAATACTAGTTATCAAGGTGTCTAGTAAGTTTCATAGAGGTATGGATATATTAAACTTACATAGTCCCACATACTGTTACACTTTAGGCTGTGCAACATCAGTCTTTATCAAGACCTCTTCAAGATATAAAACTTTTTTTCTTAACTTTTAGAGACAGGGCCTTGCTCTGTCACCAGGCTGAAATGCAGTTACATGATCATGGCTCACTGCAGCCTCAACCTCCTGGGCTCAAGGGTCAGTCGATCCTCCTGCCTCAGTCTCCTGAATAGTTGGGACTGCAGGCATGCACCACTCAGCCTGGCTAATTTTTAAGTTTGTTGTAGAGTCGGGGTCTTGGTGTGTTACCCAGGCTGGTCTCTAACTTCTTGCCTAAAGTGATCCCCTTGGCTCAGTGTCCCAAACTGCTGGGATTACAAGCATGAGCCGGTGCACCTGGCCAAGATACAAGACTTTTAAAAGGGTAAAACTTTTATGGCAGGAGCTAAAAATTATTCAGTCATTAAAAATTATAGCATTTGGCTGGGCACAGTGGCTCATGCATGTAATTGCAGCACTTTGGGAGGCTAAGGCAGGTAGATCATTTGAGCTCAGGAGTTCGAGAGCAGCCTGGTCAACATGGCAAAACCCGGTCTCTACAAAAAGTACAAAGATTAGCTGGGCATGGTGGTGCTGTCTGTAGTGCCAGCTACTTTGGAGGCTGAGGTGGGAGGATCACTTGAGCCCGGGAGGTCAAGGCTGTAGTGAGCTGAGATTGCACCACTACACTCCAACCTGGGCAACAGATCGAGACCCTTTAACAAAATATTAATAAATACTGTATCCACTTTTCCTTCTAACCTTGTTTTAGATAATGGAGCACAAAGTCTGACATTTTTTGTTTAAAATAATTGAAAGAGGCTGGGCACGGTGGCTCACGCCTGTAATCCCAGCACTTTGGGAGGCCAAGGCGGGTGGATCACAAGGTCAGGAGATCGAGACCATCCTGGCTAGCACGGTGAAACCCCGTCTCTACTAAAAATACAAAAAAAAAAATTAGCCAGGCGCGGTGGCGGGTGCCTGTAGTCCCAGCTACTCGGGAGGCTGAGGCAGGAGAATGGCGTGAACCCAGGAGGCGGAGCTTGCAATGAGCAGAGATCACGCCACTGCACTCCAGCCTGGGCGACAGAGCGAGACTCCGTCTCAAAAAAAAAAAATTGAAAGAAATCCGAAACCTCATTAGTAGTAGAACATTACCATCCTACCCTTCCATCTTCCCATGGAAGGTAAGAGCCAGGGAATGGTTTGGGAGAGGGGGATGGAGTGTTTCTACCTTTGACACTTTATCATAGGGCCCTTCGTTGTTGAAATGTAGAGTGACTCTATCTGCACTTTTTGATTTTTTTTTTTTGTTGTTTTCATAAAACCATTCAGAAGCAGGTATTGACCTTTTTCTTGCCTTAACATATATCGAGCTTCTTTTCTCACCCTCTTGTTTGTATTTTATGTTTTTCTGACATCATTTTAGTGTATTAAGTTTTGATACTTAAATTCTGGCCAGATGTGGTGGCTCACGCCTGTAATCCCAGCACTTTGGGAGGCCGAGGCAGGTGGATCACTTAAGGTCAGGAGATTGAGACCAGCCTGGCCAACATGGCGAAACCCCATCTCTACTAAAAATACAAAAATTAGCTGGGCGTGGTGGTGCTCACCTGTAATACCAGCTACTTGGGAGGCTGAGGCATGAGAATCACTTGAACCTGGAAGGCAGAGGTTGCAGTGAGCCGAGATCATGCCACACTGTGCTCCAGCCTAGGTGACAGAGCAAGACCCTGTCTCAAAAAAAAAGAAAAGAAATTCTGCCTTTTTGTGACCTGAAATCTCTCTTTACTTGTGTTGTTTCTACCCCATTAGTGAAGTGTCTGACAAAAGAAGTTCATCTGTGGAATATAGCTTAGCCTTTTTGTTGTAATGTCATTTTAAAAACCCGATTGTGTGGCCAGGCGGTGGCTCACGCCTGTAATCCCAACACTTTGGGAGGCCGAGGTGGGTGGATCACGAGGTCAGGCGTTCAAGAGCAGCCTGGCCAATATGGTGAAACCCTGTCTCTACTAAAAATACAAAAATTAGCTGGGTGTGGTGGCTGGCGCGTGTAGTCCTGGCTACTCGGGAGGCCGAGACAGGAGAATCGCTGAACCCGGGAGGCAGAGGTTGCAGTGAGCCAAGATCGTGCCACTGCACTCCAGCCTGGGTGACAGAGTGAGACTCTGTCAAACAAAAACAAAAACAAACCGATTATCTTTGTAAGAATAGAAATGAGATTCATCAGGAGACATTTATTCACACCATGATAGTACTTGCAATAGGTATGTTGGGTTATGTTATTTTGTGTAGCTTTTTAGTTTAAATTTTGAATAAAAGTAAACTTTTTCTAATTTGCAATATCTCCTGTCTAACCCAGGTTTGGACTGGTCTGAAGAGAGCGGAGAGGAACCAGAGGACTCAGAGCAGGCCTCGCCCTACCAGGTTGCATGGTCCATCCGGGAAACCCTCAGATATCAAAGACATGCGTAAGTCTTCTGTTCTGTTTTTATTCTTTTTTTTTTGAGACGGAGTCTCGCTCTGTCACCCAGGCTGGAGTGCAGTGGTGTGATCTCAGCTTACTGCCACCAAGCCTGACTAATTTTTTTTGTATTTTTAGTAGAGATGGGGTTTCACCATGTTGGCCAGGCTGGTTTTGAACTCCTGATCTCAAGTGATCTCTCCGCCTAGGCCTCCCAAAGTGCTAGGATTACAGGCATGAGCTACCACGCCCGGCCCTAGTTTCCTTCTTGAATGACCACTGTAGCAGATTGATATTTCCCACTATATATGCTGATACTTTTATGTTATTAGATCTAGTTTTATTGTAAAATAAAGGTAAAAAAAGACTTCACTCTAAAAAATTGGTGGTAAAATAGATTCCACTTGGGAGTAAATGTACTATATTGTTTGTAAATGTACTATATCGTTTGAGCAAAGCTACTCTTAAATTTTCTTGGTAAATTTGCTTCTGTACCTTTCCCATTCATCATTAAAGGAATTAATTATAATAGAACCTAGAATTGAAAAGAACCTTAGAGATTAATTGATCCAATTTCCTCATTTTACAGAAGAGGAAAGCAAGGCCCACATAGGTTGAGGAACTTGCACGTGGTCCCTTGGGGGGCTACGTGGAGTCCCACTATCTTGCCTCTCTGTATCTTCCTTGGCTGTACATCTCCACAGTAGTAGAAATAGTGCTTTTTTACTTCACCTCTATCTTCTGCAACATTGATCCATTCTTTATTTCTACTGTGCTACAATTTTTTTTTTTTTTAGGCTAGATCTCCTGAGGGGTTTTCTTTGTACCTTCCTTATTGGAAAGCTGTCGGGGTATACTGACAGCTCTCTTCAGTTTTTTTCCCCATGTTATGTCTTCGGAAAAGAAGTGTTTGTCTAAGATCTGTAGAAGTTGAATGCACATCCTCTTCAATGATAGTAAGAAAATGAATTTTTTTAGGAGACTCCTTTTAGCATTCTACAGATTCACTTGGTACAGTTTGACAATACCAAGATAGATCCTTGTCTACCAAAAGATGACTCACTTACTCAGCTAACCATTTATTTAAAATGTTGTGGTTTGAATAGATATTCAGCAATGTAGAGGGAGATCAGCTATCTGTGATGGTTTTTGAGTTTATAGGATTAAAAATGTGATTTGTTAGTATACCTAGAGGTGATTAGGCTTAGGGAACTGATTCACTAGAGACTAATCTGTACACTAAAATGCCAGCTTATAATGAGAAATACAATCATCAAATAGTACAAATGGTCACTAAACAAAACTACACAGGAAGCAAATTATCATCAGAAGCTTATTTGGACATGGAATTAGAGCAAGTAGGGTTAGTTGGATTTTATTAGTGGTCACTGTCTTAAATTATAATAGCATGATGTATCTATTCCACTCTTTGGATTTATCTCCCACCCAGTTGTTCCTCACTTACCCCCTAGATAGTATTGGAGAATGTTATACCTTTTTTTCTTACACTGAGGTTCCATTTTATATGTCATTCAAGACTGTTTCCTTACCTTACCATTAGCAGGTTCTTTCAGATACAGCACAATAGAGTCAATTGAGCTTAAGCTTTTTAGTTATAGATACCATCAGTCATACTTCCTAATGGTAATTCGTATCAGCTTAATTTGACTTGTGATATTTTGGGTTAATTTTACAAATCCAGCCAAAACCTGGTACATGGGAAATTATTAATAAATGGTAGTTATCATTCTTAATTTAATTCTTAAGGTAACCTTGACATCAGTATAGGGAGTATATGCTATTGATTAGGAACAATGTGTATTCTATTCTGCCTTCTATTCTTGCAGAGTTATCAAAATACTTCTTTTGTTGTTTCAGATTTGTGGCCATCCTCATTTTTCTTTATCTCTGTAGCATGTTACTTTCTTGGCCACTTTCATAACTTGCTTCCTCTTTGATTACTACGATACTCTGCTCCCCTGGTTCTTTTCCTTTACTCTGTTTTCCTCCTTTTTTTTTTTTTTTTTTTAACAGGTATTTATCCTTACTTCTTGCCCAGCTGCTGTTTCCATCTTTTCCCCTTCATTCTTTTCCTTCACTCAGTCATTCATTTTTCATTCATTTGTTCATTTACTTATTCAGCACTTTCTTGTTGGGCTATTATGCTCCAGTCAGGGAGCACTGTATATTTTTAATGTTGGGCAAACATGTTGGTTTACCCACCCATCTATTCCTGTAACTCCACATTTGTATCTGCCACTCTGCCCTCTAAGAGGAATCTCTGTCCTGTATTTTAATTAATTAATTAATTAATTCTTTGAGACGAGAGTCTTGCTGTTGCCCACAGTAGAGTGCAGTGGCATGATCACAGCTCACTGCAGTCTTGAACTCCCAGGCTCAAACAATCCTCCTGCCACAGCCTCCCGAGTAGCTGGAACTACAGGTGTGCACCACCACATTTGGCTAATTTTTAAGTTTTTTGTAGAGATGGGGTCCTGTTATGTTTACCCAGGCTGGTCTGGAACTCCTGGTCTGAAGGGATCTTCCTGCCTTAGCCTCCCAAAGTGTCAGGATTATAGGCATGAGCGACCATGCCTGACCTGTCCTGCATTTTAAACTTCCATCTTTATTCCAATTTCTTGTTGCAGCTACCTGTCATTTGTTGTACCTTGCTGTGTTTCAGTGTAGTAGAAAATGGGGAGCTGTAGAAAATTGGCCCTACCTCGGCCAGGCACAGTCGTCACGCCTGTAATCCCAGCACTTTGGGAGGCCGAGGCAGGCGGATCACAAGGTCAGGAGATTGAGACCATCCTGGCTAACGCGGTGAAACCCCGTCTCTACTAAAAATAGAAAAAATTAGCTGGGCCTGGTGGCGGGTGCCTGTAGTCCCAGCTACTTGGGAGGCTGAGGCAGGAGAATGGCGTGAACCTGGGAGGCGGAGCTTGCAGTGAGCCGAGATCGTGCCACTGCACTCCAGCCTGGATGACAGAGCGAGACTCCATCTCAAAAAAAAGGAAAAGAAATGAAAATTGGCCCTACCTGGCTGAGCACGGTAGTTCACGCCTGTAATCCCAGCACTTTGGGAGGCCGAAGTGGGCGGATCATGAGGTCAGGAGTTCGAGACCAGCCTTACCAACATGGTGAAACCCCATCTCTACTAAAAACACAAAAATTAATCGGGTGTGGTGGTGCACACCTGTAATCCCAGCTACTCAGGAGGCTGAGGCAGAAGAATTGCTTGAACGCGGGAGGCAGAGGTTGCAGTGAGCCGAGATTGTGCCACTGCACCCTAGCCTGGGCAACAGAGTGAGAGTCTGTCTCAAAAAAGAAAAGGAAAGAAAAGAAAATTGGCCCTACCTAGGCTGTTCATTATATCTTCAAGAGGGTGTTGCCATGCCAAATGCCTCAATAAGTTCATTGAGTTTTTAAAAGAAAACTGACAGTTGTCTGGCCACCAAATTTGTGCCTAAAGAATCTTTTTGTGAATTTTTTGGTAATGCAGGATTGTGCCATAAGGAATTTGTTTGTTTGTTTGTTTTGAGTCAGGGTCTTACCCTATCACCCAGGCGGGAGTGCAGTGGTGAGATCATAGTTCACTGCAGCCTTGACTTCCTGGGCTCAAGTGATCCTCCTGCCTCAGCCTCCTGAGTAGCTGGGACAACAGGTGCAGGCCACCATTTTAAATTTTTGTAGAGATAGGCTCTTACTATGTTGCCAATGCTGGTCTCAAACTCCTTGCTTCAAGGAGTCCTCCTGCGTTGACCTTCCGAAGTATTGGGATTACAGGCGTGAGCTGCTGTACCCAGCCCTAAAGGCTTTTTTTTTTTTTTGAGACAAAGTCTCGCTCTGTCGTACAAGCTGGAGTGCAATGGCACGATTTTGGCTCACTGCAACCTCCGCCCCCCGAGTTCAAGTGATTCTCCAGCCTCAGCCTCCCGAGTAGCAGGATTACAGGCGCCAGCCACCACGCCTGGCTAACTTTTCTATTTTTAGTAGAGACAGGGTTTCACCATGTTGGCCAGGCTGGTCTCAAACTCCTGACCTCAGGTGATCCACCTGCCTCCGCCTCCCAAAGTGCTAGGATTACAGGCGTGAGCCACCTTTTAATATTGCTTTTGGTTTCTTTGATTCTCTTTATTGTTTTTAATTTCATTGCTTTGTGTTCTAATTCCCATTATTTCCTTCTGCTTGTTTTGAATGCAATTTGCTTGTCTTTTTGTAGTTTTTAAGGTGACAGCTTAAGTCAGTTGACTGAGATCTTTATTGTTTTCTAATATTGACTCTTCATGTTATACACTTCCCTCTAAACACTGGTTGTAGCTGTGTCCCACAAATTTTAATACATTTTCATTTTTATTCAGTTAAAAATACTTTTTTTTGAGACAAGGTTTCACTCTGTCATCCAGGCTGGAGTGCAGTGGCATGATTACGGCTCAACTGCAGCCTTGACCTCCTGGCTTAAGAGATCCACCCATGTCAGCTTCCTGAGTGACTGAGATCATAGGCGTGTGCTACCACACCTGGCTAATTTTAATTTTTTTATTTTCTTGTAAAGATGGGGTCCCAAACTCCTGGGCTCAAGTGATCCTCCCACCTTGGCCTCCCAAAGTGCTATGATTACAGACATGAGCCACCATGCCCAGCCCCAAAATACTTTGTAATATCTCTTTTGATTTCTTGTTTGATCTATGGGCTATTTAGAAATGATACTTAGTTTTTGAGTATTTTGGGGTTTCCCAGATACTGATTTCTAGTTTAATTCTGTGATCACAAACCACATTTGAATATAGTATTCTATAAATGTAAATTAGGTCAAGTTGGTTAATAGTGTTGTTCATGTCTTCTACATCTGTGGTGATGTTTGTCAACTTGTTATATCAATTACTGAGAAAAGGATCTTGAAATATCTCTTTGTAAATTTGATTATTTCTCCTTTTGGATCTGTCATTGTTTATTTCCCACACTTTGTATTTCTGTTATTAGATGCATAATTGTTTAAGATTGTTTTGATGAAGTGGCCTTTTATTATTATAAAATGGTCCTCTATATCCCAGTAACAGTGTTTGCTTTGAGATCTTTCCTTATGTGGCATTAACATAGCCACTCCATCGTTCTTTTGATTAGTGAAAGCTTGGTATCTTTTTCAGTCCTTTTGCTTCTAACCTATTTGCATCTTTATATTTAAAGTGAGTTTCTTACTGGCAATGTATTACTGGGTCTTGCTTTTCTATCTCTTCTGACAATCTCTGCTTTTTATTTGGAGTATTTAGACAACTTAAATTTAATATGATTATTGATATTTATTGGGTTTAAATTTACTGTCTTTTGTATTTGTCTCACCTATTCTTTGTTCTTTTCTCCCTGTTTTATTATGGTTGTATTTTATCTCTTTTCATAGCTTATTAGCTGTACTCATATGCTTTGTTTTTGTAGTAGCTGTTGTAGGGTTTATATCATACATCTTTAATTACCACAGTCTACCTTCAAGTGTTAAACCACTTCACGCATAAGAACGTATAACAGTGTCCTTTCATTCCTACTCATTTCATTTATCTACTCTGACAGTGTCTGCTTTTTATTTGGAGTGTTTAGACCATTTGAATTTAATGTTATTATTTATATTACTGCATTTATTTATTTAATTTTTAAGATGGAAACAAAACATCTAAAACTGTAGCTTCTGGAAGAACTGCTTGTTCTTGCCCGTTTTGTATCTCTCTTTGAGCTTGACCTTGGCCTCCCATTGGGACTTGTGTTTAAGAGCAGGATCTCTGAAGACATCCTTGTGGATGACAGTTTTGTGTAAGAGGATATCCACAGAGTGCACTGTAGGCGTAAGATGATTGTAGTTATAAACCTTCACAAAAGACTCGATCTTTGACCTCCTGGTAATCTTCTTTTTGCCCATGGCAGCTGTCACTTTGCAGGGATAGCGATCAATTCCAACCACGAGAGCTTGGATGTAGGGGCAGTCTGAGGTGCCATCATTAATGTTCTTTACGATGACAGCTTTGTGTTCAGCCAGAATACTGCTGGCCAGGACCAGCACCACTTTCCCAGGTTTCATGCACTTGCCCATTTTGACAGCAACCACCGAGGGCTACAACAAAAAGGAAGGAAGGCTATTATTGCATTTACGTCTAACATGTTAGTTATTCTTTAAATGTTTTAGTATAATTCACTAGTGAAGCCATCTGGTCTTGGGCTTTTTTTTTTTTTTTTTTTGAGACAGAGTCGCACTCTGTCACCCAGGCTGGAGTGCAGTGGTGAGATTTAGGCTCACTAAACCTCCTGAGTTCAAGCAATTCTCCTGTGTCAGTTTCCTGAGTAGCTGGGATTACAGGCATGCACCACTACGCCCGGCTAATTTTTGTATTTTTAGTAGAAATGAGGTTTTACCATGTTGGCCAGGCTGGTCTTCAACTCCTGACCTCAAGTAATCTGCCTACCTTGGCCTCCCAAAGTGCTGGGATTACAGGTGTGAGTCACCGCGCCTGGGCCTGGGCTTTTTTTTGTGGGAAGTTTTGTGATTACTCTTTGTCGTATGTTTATTCATGTTTTTTCTTGAGTTAGATTCAGAAGCTTGTGCCTCTCTAGGAACTTGTCCATTTTTTATCTAAGTTTTTGGCATACAGTTTTTAAAAATAACATTCCATTATAATATTTTTTCTTTCTTTCTTTCTTTTTTTTTTTTTTTTTTGGAGACAGAGGCTCACTCTGTTGCCCAGGCTGGAGTGTAGTGGTGCAATCTCGGCTCACTGCAACCTCCACCTCCTGGGTTCAAGTGATTCTTCTGCCTCAGCCTCCCGAGTAGCTGGGATTACAGGCATGCGCCACCACGCCCAGCTAATTTTGTATTTTTAGTAGAGAGGGGCTTTCTACATGTTGGTCAGGCTGGTCTCGAACTCCCAACCTCAGGTGATCCCCCACCTCAGCCTCCCAAAGTGCTGCGATTATAGGCGTGAGCCACTGCACCCAGCAAATAATTTTTTATTTGTAAGAGTTTATTTATTAAATAAAATTCTGGAACCATGCCACTAAGCCCAGAACCAAGAGCCTAAGCTATAGCAGGAACATCGTTTATATGTTTCTTTTTTGTTTTGTTTTTGAGATGGACTTTCGTTTTGCTTTTGTTGCCCAGGCCGGAGTACAATGGCGCAATCTCGGCTCACCGCAATGTCTGCCTCCTGGGTTCAAGTGATTCTCTTGCCTCAGCCTCCCGAGTAGGTGGGATTACAGGCATGCGCCACCACGCCTGGCTAATTTCGTATTTTTAGTAGAGACGGGGTTTTTCCATGTTGGTCAGGATGGTCTTGAACTCCCGACCTCAGGTGATCTGCCCGCCTTGGCCTCCCAAAGTGCTGGGATTACCGGGGTGAGGTACCGCCCCCAGCCCCTTTATACCTTTCTTACACAACTTTTATATTCTGTATGTCGTAAGTCCCACCTTCGGGGTCTTTGTAAGTATGAGTCTATCATTTAATGTGTTTTTTCTTTTTGTCACACAAAGTGGCTTACCTACTCATTTGCATGGTAATCTTTGGTTTTATAGGTTCTGGACTTACCCTGGAAACTCAAATTTAGCTACATTATCTTGTTTGGATGATACTTTATATCAGCAAGTACTCTGAAATCAGCCTACCTCCTCTCTTTTTTTCTCTGCTTCTAACTTTAGCTTCAGTTTTGAGTTCATTTGTTTGTTTGTTTTCTGAGACAGGGTCTCACTCTGTCACCCAGGCTGGAATGACCTTCCAGGCTCAAGCCATCCTGCAACCTCAGCCTCCCGAGTAGCTGGGATTACAGGCGTGTACCAGCACGCCTGGCTATATTTTTGCATTTTGTTGTAGAGATGGGTTTCACCATGTTGCCCAGGCCACTTTCGAACTCCTGGGTTTAAGCTATCCTCCCACCTCGGTCTCCCAAAGTGTTAGGATTACAAGCGTGAGCCACTGTGCCTGGCCCAAGTTTTTTCTATTTATTGTTTATTTACTTTTTGATGAGCAGTTAGGGGAAGAGATCTCCTCTACTTCCTATTGGGACCAACAATGCATTCATATATTTTACCTAGTATATTGTTGCTTTAGAATGGCAACAAGTTCTGTTAGAGTATCTAAACTACCATATGCTGTTAAGTGTTTCTTTTAAAAGTTTTATCAGGTACCTCTTTTTACCCTCAAGGTCAAAGAACACAATTTATTCATCTTTATACCACAAATATTCTAATACACAGATCAAAATAGAATACAACAGATGACTAGTAATTTTATTTCCATATTATTTGTACACATTTATGGGGTACACATGCAGTTTTGTTATGCATAGATTGTGTAGTGATCAAGTCAGGGCTTTTAGGGTACCAATCACATGAATGACATACATTGTGCCTGTTAACCAATTTCTCATTATCCTCCGCTCTTCCACCCCGTCACCCTTCTGAGTCTTCATCGTCTATCACTCCATTCTCTACGTCTATGTGAACATGTTTTTTAGTACCCACTTATGAGTGAGAACATGTGATACTTGTCTTTCTGTGCCTGGCTTGTTTCACTTATAATAAGCCCCTAATTCTATACATGTTGCTGCAAAAGACATGATTTTATTCTTTTTTTATTTTGGCTAAATAGCATTCCATTATGTATACATACAACACATTTTCTTTATCCATTTGTCCACTGATGGACACTTAGGTTGATTCCATTCTTTGTTATTCTGAATAGTGCTGTTATCAACATATGAGTGCCGGTATCATTTTGATACATTGACTTACTTTCCTTTAAGTAGATACCTGGTAATGGGATTGCTGGGTTGAATGGAAGTTCTATAGTTCTATTTTTACTTCTTTGAGAAATCTTTATACTGTTTTCCATAGAGGCTGTACTAATTACATTCCCACCAACAGTGTCTTTTTAATGATAGCCATTCTAACTGGGTTTACTTGTTATCTTTTTGTGAATGACTCCCAAATCTTTTACTCATGTCTAATGATTCTTTTGAGTTTGAATTGCTCGTTGGATATTTCTCATCACGTATTTGGTCAATACCTTAAATTCAGCATTTCTAAAACTAAACTCATTATTTTTCTTAATATGTATGCCTCTTTCTGATTCTCCTGTTTTTATTAGAGGTATTACCATTTTGCTGTTTGGTTGTCTTAATAAAGTAAATTAAAATGAATTTCCCTTGGAGAAGTTCATGGCATGCCTTGAGATTATGGACAAGCCTGGAATCTTAGAATATCAAGTGTAGAATTTGCTGCTCTGTATTTGGGTTATTAATAGCATCTTAGTAATAACAATATCTGTATTTATATTGTTACTTCACAGGTATCATTTCTTTCCTTTTTTGTAAACAACCTTGGGAGGTAGGCCAGGTGTATCTCTCATTTCACAGATATGGAAAGAAAGAAGGAAGGAAACAAACACAAACTGAGAATGCACTAGGTGCCAGGTTTTGTCACTGCTAAATGAAGGGAAACTGGCCTTTCTCTTCTCAATTCTCTACTCTTCATCAGCAACCAGGTTTGAAATATTAATGTCCTTGATCTTAGAAGTGGGAAGCATCCTGAAGATGTTCTAAATTATGTCCTTGCAAGGGATGGTCTGTGGACCTGTGTCAGTCTGCAAACTGCTTGTTACTGGTCTGTGATAAAATAAGTATGGAAATTATGAATAAGCTTTAGAAAATCGTATAATCATGTAACGTGCCTCAGCATCCAAGTGCGTCTTTCCACACTTAACTTGAGAAGCACTGATTTAGTCCTTCCATTCTGCAGTAATAGCATCTTTTTTATTTTTTCAGTTTTCCATAGGTTATTGGGGTACAGGTGGTATTTGGTTACATGAATAAGCTCTTCAGTGGTGATTTGTGAGATCAGTATTCACTGCACCCTATTTGTAGTCTTTTATCCCTTGCTCCCCTTCCACCCTTCCCCCCAAGTCCCCAAAGTCCAGTGTATCTTGCTTATGCCTTTGGGTCCTCATAGCTTAGCTCCCACATATCAGTGAGAACATAGGATGTTTGGTTTTCCATTTCTGAGTTACTTCACTTAGAATAATAGTCTCCAATCTCATCCAGGTCACTGCAAATGCCATTAATTCATTCCTTTTTATGGCTGAGTAGTATTCCATCATATACCACAGTTTCTTTATCCACTCGTTGACTGATGGGCATTTGGGTTGGTTCCATGATTTTGCAGTTGCGAATTGTGCTACTATAAATGTGTGTGCAAGTATCTTTTTTGCATAATGACTTCTTTTCCTCTGGGTGGGTACCCGGTAGTGGGATTGCTGGATCAAATGGTAGTTCTACTTTTAGTTCTTTAAGGAATCTCCACACTGTTTTCCATAGTGGCTGTACTAGTTTACATTCCCACCAGCAGTGTAGAAGTGTTCCCTGATCACCACATCCATGCCAACATCTACTGATTTTTGATTTTTTGATTATGGCCATTCTTGCAGGAGTAAGATGGTATTGCATTGTGGTTTTGATTTGCATTTCCCTGCAAATCAAATTTGCAATTAGTGATGTTGAGCATTTTTTCATATGTTTGTTGCCCATTTGTTTATCTTCTTTTGGGAATTGTCTATTCATGTCCGTAGCCCACTTTTTATTGGGATTGTTTGTTTTCTTCTTACTGATTTGTCTGGGTTCGTTGTGGATTCTGGATATTAGTCGTTTGTCAGATGAATAGATTGTGAAGAGTTTCTCCCACTCTGTGGGTTGTCTGTTTACTCTGCTGACTGTTCCTTTTGCTGTGCAAAAGCTCTTTAGTTTAATTACGTCCCAGCTATTTATCTTTGTTTTTACTGCATTTGCTTTTGGGTTCTTGGTCATGAACTCCTTGCCTAAGCCAATGTCTAGGAAGGTTTTTCCAGTATTAGAATTTTTATAGTTTCAGGTGTTAGATTTAAGTCCTTAATTGACCTTGAGTTGATTTTTGTATAAGGTGAGAGGATCCGGTTTCATTCTCCTACATGTGGCTAGCCAATTATCCCAGCACCATTTGTTGAAAGGGTGTTCTTTTTCCACTTTGTTTTTGTTTGCTTTGTCAAAGATTAGTTGGATGTAAGTATTTGAGTTTATTTCTGGGTTCTCTATTCTGTCCCGTTGGTCTGTGTGCCCATTTTTATACCAATACCATGCTTTTTTGGTGACTGTGGCCTTATAGTATAGTTTGAAATCAGGTAGTGTGTTGCCTCCAGATTTGTTCTTTTTGCTTAGTCTTGTGTTGGCTATGTGGGCTGCTTTTTGGTTCCTTATGAATTTTAGAATTGTTTTTTCTAATTTTGTGAAGAATGAGGTGGTATTTTGATGGGGATTATGTTGAACTTGTAGATTACTTTTGGCAGTATGGTCATTTTCACAATATTGATTCTACCTGTCCATGAGCATGGGATGTGTTTCCATTTGTTCGTGTCATCCATGATTTCTTTCAGCAGTGTTTTGTAGTTTTCCTTGTAGAGGTCTTTCGCCTCCTTTGTTAGGTATATTCCTAAGTATTTTATTATTATTATTTTTCTTTTGCAGCTATTGTAAAAGGGATTGAGTTCTTGATTTTGGTTGCTGTTGGTGTATAGAAGAGCTACTGATTGGTGTATATTAACCTTGTATCCGGACACTTTACTGAATTCTTTTATCAGTTCTAGGAGCTTTCTGGAGTCTTAATGGTTTTCAAGGGTAAACGATCAGATCATCAGCAAACAGTGACAGTTTGACTTCCTCTTTACTGATTTGGATGCCCTTTATTTCTTTCTCTTATCTAATTGCTCTGGCTAGGACTTCCAGTACTATGTTGAAGAGGAGTGGTGAGAGTGGGCATCCTTGTCTTGTTCCAGTTCTCAGAGGGAATGCTTTCAACTTTTCCCCATTCAGTATTATGTTGGCTGTGGGTTTGTTATAGATGGCTTTTATTATATTGAGGTATGTCCCTTGTATGCCAATTTTGCTGAAAGTTTTAATCATAAAGAGGTGCTGGATTTTGTCAAATGCTTTTTCTGCATCTATTGAGATGATCATGTGATTTTTATTTTTGATTCTGTTTATGTGGTATATTGCATTTCTTGACTTGCTTATGTTAAACCATCTCTGCATCCCTGGTATGAAACCCACTTGATCATGGTGAATTATCTTTTTGATAAGTTGTTGGATTCGGTTAGGTAATATTTTGTTAAGGGTTTTACCATCTATGTTCATCAGGGATATCGGTCTGTGGTTTTCTTTTTTGGTTATGTCCTGGTTTTGGTATTAGGGTGATGCTGGCTTCATAGAATGAAGTAGGGAGGATTCCTTCTTTCTCTATCTTGTGGAATAGTGTCAAAAGGATTGGTATCAATTCTTCTTTGAATGTCTGGTAGAATTCTGCTGTGAATAAGTCTGATCCTGGACTGATTTTTGTTGGTAATTTTTAAATTACCATTTCAATCATGCTGCTTGTTGTTGGTCTGTTCAGGTTATCTAATTCTTGATTTAAGCTAGGAGGGTTATATTTTTCCAGGAATTTATCCATTTATCCATCTCTTCTAGGTTTTCCAGTTTATGTACATAAAGGTGTTCATAGTAGCCTTGAATGATCTTTTGTATTTCAGTAGTATCAGTTGTAACATCTCCTGTTTTGTTTCTTATTGAGGTTATTTGGATTTTCTCTCTTCTTTTCTTGGTTAATCTTGCTAATGGCCTATCAATTGTATGTGTCTTTTCAAAGAACCAGCTTTTTGTTTCATTTATCTTTTGTATTTTTTTGTTTGTTTGTTTCAATTTCATTTAGTTCTACTCTGATATTGGTTATTTCCTTTCTTCTGCTGGGTTTGGGTTTAGTTTCTTCTTGTTTCTCTACTTCCTTGAGGTGTGACCTTAGAATGTCAGTTTGTGCTTTTTCAGTCTTTTTGATGTAGGCGTTTAGGGCTATGAACTTTCCTCTTAGCACTGCCTTTGCTGTATCCAAGAGGTTTTCATAGGTTGTGTCATTATTGTCATTCAATCTGAAGAATTTTTAATTTTCCATCTTGATTGTGTTTTTGACCCAAAGCTCTTTCAGGGGCAGGTTATTTAATTTCCATGTATTTGGATGGTTTTGAAGGTTTGTTTTGGAGTTGATTCCCAGTTTTATTCCACTGTAGTCTGAGAGATACTTGATATAATTTCAATTTTCCTAAATTTATTGAGGCTCATTTTGTGGTCTAGCATATGGTCTATCTTGGAGAAAGTTCCATGCACTGTTGAATAGAGTGTTTATTCTGTGGTTGCTGGACAAGGCCTTTTACTATTATATAATATCCCTCTTTGTCTGTTTTAACTGCTGTTACTTTAAAGTTTGTTTTGTCTGATATAAGAATAGCTACCCCTACTTGCTTTTGGTGTCCATTTGCATGGAATGCCTTTTTCTGTGCCTTTAAGTTTATGTGAGTCCTTATATGTTAGGTGAGTCTCCTGAAGGCAGCAGATAGTTGGTTGGTGGGTTCTTATCCATTCTGTGGTTCTGTATCTTTTAAGTGGAGCATTTAGGTCATTTACATTCAATGTTAGTATTGAAATATGAGGTACCGTTGCTTTCATTGTGCTCTTTGTTGCCTGTGTACTTTTGTTTTTTGTTTCACTTTCTAACTTGTATTTTTGTTTTATAGGTCCTGTATAATTTATGCTTTAAAAAGATTCTGTTTTGATGTGTTTCCTGGATTTGTTTCAAGATTTAGAGCTCCTTTTAGCAGTTCTTGTAGTGGTGGTTTGGTCATGGTGAATTCTCTCAGCATTTGTTTGTCTGAAAAACGACTGTATCTTTCCTTCATATATGATGCTTAGTTTTGCTTGATACAAAATTCTTGGCTGATAATTGTTTTGTTTAAGGAGGCTGAAGATAGGGCCCCAATCCCTTCTAGCTTGTAGGGTTTCTCTTGAGAAATCTGCTGTTAATCTCACAGGTTTTCTTTATAGGTTATCTGGTGCTTCTGTCTCACAGCTCTTAAGATTCTTTCCTTCGTCTTAACTTTGGATAACCTAATGACAATGTGTCTAGGCAAAGGCTCCCAGATCAATGGAGTTGTGTATTTAGGAGGATTATGGCTGCCTCTGCTGAATCACACAGGTTGTCAGAGAAGTGGGGGAAATCCGGCAGTCATAGGCCTCACCCAGCTCCCACACAATCTGAGGGGCTGGTTTCACTCCCACCATGCCCCACCTAATAGCCCCAGTCTGTTTCCAGGCAGTGGGTGAGCAGGGCTTGAGAACTTGTCCGAGGCTACCTGCCTCCCAGCTGCAAAAGAGAGGGGCTTTGGTTCTTTCCCCACCTGTGGAGTCTGCACAGACGATTTGTGGCCTTCCCCACATTCTGGCCAGGAGGCTTCTCGCCAGGTTCAAATTGTTACAAAGTTCAGCTGGAGATTTCCTTCTCCCTGTGGCATTTTCCCCATGCCTCTGGCTGCCCTCCCGAAAGATCTCTGTGATGCCAGGCAGGAATGACCTGCTTGGGGACCCAGTGAGCTCCCAGAGCGTTTCCTGCTGCTTTCTCTACCCCTGTTATTTTGCTCAGCTCTCTAAATTGACTCAGCTCCAGGTAAGGTCGGAAACTTCTCCTGCAAACTAGACCTTCAGTTTCCCCAGCAGCGGTGTGTGTTCGAAACGGAGAATCTCCCTTTCCTACTTCCGCAGTTTGGGCACTCACGGTATTTGGAGTGTCTCCGGATCCTGCAGGAGCAGTCCACTTCCTTCAGAGGGTCTGTAGGTCCTCTCGGGATTCCTGGTTTGTTCTTGCAGTTGTTCTGGAGATAAAATTCACTATGCAAGCCTCGGCACTCTGCTCTGTCTGTCCGAGTTGGAGCTGCAATCCAGTCCTGCCTCTCATCGGCCATGATGATCACTCCACTATTTTAAGCCAGTCCTAGGGGTAAAGTGCCATCTGGGGCACCCGCAAGTGCTGCGCAGCACAGGAGGCAGGCAGGGCCATGCAGCAGTGGCGGTGCTGTCCTAAGAGTGGGACTGGAGCCAAGGGACACTGAGGTGGTGATAGCGGTGGCAGGGGCGCAGGTGCATCTTTTTAAAATAACAGTTTTGGCAACTGATTATCGACCCAAGCTTTACCTTCCCTTTAAGATCTGCCTTTCCTCTCCATTTCCTTTTTCTATGAATGAGACTTCTGTTTTCCTAGTTATGCATATTCTAAGTCATTGAGTCATTGACTTTCTAATCTTTCATATTGAGTCACCAAAGTGAGTTAGTTCACTTATGATAATGGCCCTTATATGTCTTTTTTTTTTTTCTTTTTTTTCGAGATGGAGTCTTGCTCTGTCACCCAGGCTGGAGTGCACTGGCGTGATCTTGGCTCACTGCAACCTCTGCCTCCTGGGTTCAAGTGATTCTCCTGCCTCAGCCTCCCAAGTAGCTGGGACTACAGGGATGCACCACCATACCAAGCTATTTTTTTTGTATTTTTAGTTCCTTGTTTTATACATGATGTTACTGTCCTTCCCATTCTTTGTTGGTGGAAACTGCTGCCTGCTTATTGTCCCTTCTCTGGTCCTTGCCAGCTGACAAAGCTTGTCTTTATACATGCAGATTGCCTCATGCTCTCCAGTCCTGCTCCTTCCATCCTAGCATGGATCCTTGTTATCTCTTTGCTGGAGATTTACAGTAATTTTTTAACTGCCTTCTTCTCTCTCTTCTTCTGTTTATTTTATATCTGCTGCTGACTGTAATCATTGTCATGGCACACCTCTGTTACTGTATTTTCTTAACAGTTACAAAGCTTAGCAGTTAGGAGTGCAAAATTTAAAAAATTACAAGTCTTCTGCTTTACCTGTGGAATAAAGGTTAAACTCTTTAATTTGACATTTAAGTCTAGAAAGCTAACCTTACCTATCATTATTCCCTTACAGACCCCTTACCTTAGCCACACCAAGCTACTTACATTCTTGCTGTTCACCATCCTGTCTATCTCTGTGTCTTGTGTGTCTTGGCTTACGTGTTGTATTTGTGTGAGGTCCTCTTTCTTCAGGGTTCATTTCTGCTGTCACCTCCTCTGCAAAGCCTTTCTTTACTTCCAGCAGTCTTTTTTTTTTTTGAGACAAAGTCTTGCTCTGTCACCCAGGATGGAGTGCACTGCTGTGGTCTCAGTTTCCTGCAACCTCCACCTCCCAGGTTCAAATGATTCTCCTGCCTCAGTCTCCTGAGTGACTGGGATTACAGGAATACACCACTACACCTGAGTACTTTTTGTATTTTTAGTAGAGACAGGGTTTTGCGTTGTTGGTCAAACTCTTGACCTCAGGTGATCTGCCCACCTTGGCCTCCCAAAATTGCAGGGATTACAGATGTGAGCCATCGTACCCAGGCCTTCCAGCTGTCTTTCCAGTGAACTTCAGTAACACCTTACCCTGACCTCTGTTGTGGTACTTTACTGTTTTCTGTCTTGTGTGAAAGATATTTATCACATTTGCTAGCTCTACGAGAACTCCCAAGTGTAGACCTGCTGTCAGAGGTCAGGGAAAAATTCAAAATGAAGAATCCTGGGCCCTATACCATGGAGATTCTGGTTCAGTAGATTTGGGGTAGTTTGTAGGAGTCTGAAACTTTTAAGTGCTCACAGATTTTTCTGATTTGTGGTCAGATATTTGAATCATTGGCCTTTTTGCCCCACTGTTTTTGTTACTGTTTTTATTCTTTTTTGAATTGTTTTAACTTTTTGGGAAGTGTTTATCTTGTCCAAATTGCATTGCAAACTCTTTGAAATGTTGGTCTCTCTTCTGTAGTGCTGAGCATAATAGATACACAGTGAATGTTGAATGTTGAATAAATGAAAAGATTGAAGTAAAGTCCTTCAATTTGTAGATCTGTAGTAAAAAGTATACTGACGAGAATGTGCTTCTTAGGAGAGGTACTAAGTAGAAGTTTATAGAGTAGCCTGTTATAGACTATGCTGAAGGAAAGAAGAATAATATCACTTAAGAGAAACCCAGCAATGAATAGTAGAAGATTAGTAAGAGAATATATAGTCCATGGTGTCATGTGTGGTATTTACTTATGATAGCAGAGAAAGAAGCTAAAATAACAGGTCAGTTTTCAAGTCCAGTGGGCATTATTCCTAACGGTAAAAAGTAAGATCACATTTGTTCCATAAAAAAGTGGCCTTTTAAACCTTGCTGGTGGTAGCCATTGCTAAAAAGGCACTCTTTCTTGTTGAGCTTAGATGTTCCTTCAGCATCACTTCCACATAGCATTTCAGCCAGGACACCAATTAATCACATTATTAGCATGTGATGGAAAATCCTTTATGTAATCCCTGACTTATCAAATGCTGTTTAGGATACTTCCATAGTTAAAAAAATACATGGTAGAAGGCCGGGCTCGGTGGCTCATGCCTGTAATCCCAGCACTTTGGGAGGCCGAGACAGGTGGATGACAAGGTCAGGAGATCGAGACCATCCTAGCTAACATGGTGAAACCCCGTCTCTATTAAAAATACAAAAAAATTAGCCAGGCGTGGTGGCAGACACCTGTAGTCCCAGCTACTCATGAGGCTGAGGCAGGAGAATGGCGTGAACCCAGGAGATGGAGCTTGCAGTGAGCTGAGATCGCATCACTGCACTCCAGCCTGGGCGACAGAGTGAGACTCTGTCTCCAAAAAAAAAAAACAAAAAAACAAAACAAAAATACATGGTAGAATTAATGCGATCCCTACAACCAAATTTCTTTAGGTGGTTAGCAAGAAAAAGGTGGTTAAAAACCAGAATGGTTAAAAGGGCAGCTCTTAGATAATAAACTGTTAGAATTCGCTGCCCTATTTCTGGTATGACCTATCTTTTATGAAATTATGCTATGTGTTTCCTCATAACTGTCATGTCATTTACTCAGACTTTTTAGTAAGTAAAGGTAAAGAAATGAATTTTTTTCCTCAGGGGTCTCTAGTCACTTAAAATTTAGAAGACACTGGTATATTAAGTGTCTACTGATGCCATGCTAAGAAGGCTGTTTTTGAAAACACTGGATTAACTCTGTCCTTACTGTTGAAATACTGTACTTAGTTCAGCTCTGTTGGAATTCTCTTACTCTAATTGTGTGAAGTATGTGCTCACATGCCACAAAAGTTTTAAACCTGTGCATTCAGCTACATTTCCTAATTCTCGTTTACCCTGTCTAAAATGAGCCTAATGTGTAATCAGTTTTTCCTTTCTCTCCCTGCACTTTCCAGGTCAGATGATGATGATGCGGAGAGTAGGAGCTCCAGGGTGACTCAACTTTGCACTTACTTTCAGCAGAAATATAAGCACCTCTGCCGCCTGGAGCGGGCAGAATCTCGTCAAAAGAAATGCCGGCATACGTTTAGGAAAGCTTTGCTGCAGGCGGCCAGTAAAGAACCAGAATGCACTGGTCAGTTAATACAAGAACTGCGGAGAGCTGCATGCAGTCGAACCAGGTTAGAGCCACAGCAACCTATTCTTAAGGGACTCATCTCAGTTTGCTTTCTTTATTTTGTGAGAGGATAGTTGAGGCACAGTGGGAGATGACCACTAAGTCCTAAACGTTTAAGCATTATGTTTTGGTTTTCTTGCTTTATTAAAGTGCTACAGGTGGCAAAATAATACTGCCATGAGCTAACAGTAAAATTAAACCATTACTAAAATTTTGCTGAAGTTTGATTAGAATTTATTCATTGAAGATTTGAGAATGTTACCTGGCTTTAAAAAAATAGAATGCTTAGAAATTTCATGTTATTTAAAAGTAACATTTATAGATTTTTAACTACAAAAGTAGTATTTTATGTTTATTTACATGTGTTATTTTAGTTTCTTTTCAGTGTTGGTTTTCATTTTTTTGTTTTTAGAGACAGGGTCTTGCTCTGTCGCCCAGGCTGGAGTGCAGTGGTGTGATCATAGATCACTGCAGCCTCAAACTCCTGGGCTCAAATGACCCTCCCACCTCAGCCTCCTGAGTAGCTGGGACTATAGGCATGTGAAACCATACCCAGCTAATTAAAAAAATTTTTTTTTGTAGAGGTGAGGGTCTCGCTGTATTGCCCAAGCTGGTCTCAAACTCCTGGCCTGAAGCGATCCTCCCACCTTTACCTCCCAAAGTGTTGGGATTAGAGGTGTTAGCCACTGTAGCTGGCCTTTTCAGTGTGTTTTCTATTAATATTTACATTACCTCACAGATTATTTGTGCAAGTATTTTATTACATTGAATTTTTTTTAAGAAAAAAATTCCTTCTGTTTATAATGCAAATACTTGTTTATTGTGGAAAATTTTAAAAATACACAAATGAGAAGGGAAAAATCTTCTTGTTACCATTCATGAGAGAGAGAATGAGCACTGTTAACATTTTGATTCTGTTTCCTTCTAGTCTTTCTCTGTGTGTGTGTGTGTGTGTGTGCGCGTGCGCGCGTGCGTGTGTAAATTTTCCAGTGAGCCATGTGTTTATATTAAAAAGCAAAATTGAAATCATGTTATCTGTATTATTTTCATTTATTTCCGTAAATGCTCTTTTCCTTTTATCACTGAATTATGACCACTTTCTCATGAGATTAATTCTTAATTATTAATTAATGACATTCTCATGACAATAATTTGAGTTTTCTAGTTTTCCCTCAAAAGTATACCATAGCCATTTCCCTATGTTCTTCAAGATTCTTTTGAAAACAGGATTTATAATGTTTACATAATATTCCATTCGTGAAAATCTGTATATCAGAAATGTAGAGTTATCTGATATTTTAGAAATTTGGCATATTACCATTTTGGTGGTAATGGTGAAAACCTTAGTACAGTAATACCTTTGTTTATACCTATAAAATTTTTAAAAAATACAAAGTTATATTTTCTAAACTGATTATGGAATTCTGTTATATATATAAATATAAAATATCTGTTATATATAAAATATATATAATATCTGTTGTGTATATATAAATACATATTTAACACAATTTTGTTTTTTATATATATTTTAATTATGGCTATTTTTCTTTTTTTTAATTTTTTTTTGAGACGGAGCCTTGCCCTGTCACCCAGGCTGGAGTGAAGTGGCACGATCTTGGCTCATGGCAACCTCTGCCTCCCTGGTTCAAGCAATTCTTCTGTCTCAGCCTCCCAAGTAGCTGGGATTACAGGTGCCCGCCATCATGCCAAGCCAATTTTTGTATTTTTAGTAAAGATGGGGTTTCACCATGTTGGCCAGGCTGGTCTTGAACTCCTGACCTCAAGTGATCTGCCCACCTTGGCCTCCCAAAGTCCTGGGATCACAGGCATGAGCCACTGCCCCTGCCTGGTTATTACTTTTAACTGAAATACACATTTAAAGCACTAAATTGAATTTTAAAATTTCAAAACATGGCTGGGTGCAGTGGCTCACACCTGTAATCCCAGCACTTTGGTAGGCTGAGGTGGGTAGATCACTTGAGGTCACGAATTCGAGATTAGCCTGGACAACGTGATGAGACCCCATCTCTACTAAAAAATACAAAAATTAGCCAGGTGTGGTGGCGTGCACCTGTAGTCCTAGCTACTAGGAACGTTGAGGTGGGAGGATGGCTTTAGCCTGGGAGTAGGAGGTTGCAGTGAGCAGAGATCACACCATTGTGCTCTAGCCTGGGCGACAGAGTGGGACTGCCTTCCAAAAAAAAAAATTTCAAAACATTATCTTACTTTAAGGAAATAGAGTTCAAATTCTGATTCTTTTTGTTGTCGTTCAGACAAGGTCTCAGTCTGTCGCCCAGGCTGGAATTCAGTGGCGTAATCACGGGTCACTACAGCCTCAGCCTCCTGATAGAAGGCCAGCTTCTTTATTGAGTTTATTATTTATTATTTCACACATTTAAAAAATTTCTTTTCCTTTAAGGCTAGTCAAGTGAAGCAGTGGGAGTGGAGAAGGAGCAAAGAAATCTGTAACTAACTGGTTGTGATAAATTACTTGTAAAACCACTGCATATGGACCAGCCTATTTCACACTTTTTAGTTATTTTATATATATATATATATATATATATATTTTTTTTTTTTTTTGAGATGGAGTTTCACTCTTCTTGTGTAGGCTGGAGTGCAATGGTGCGATCTCGGCTCACTACAACCTCTGCCTCCCGGGTTCAAGCAATTCTCCTGCCTCAGCCTCCTGAGTAGCTTGGACTACAGGCACCCGCCACCACGCTTGGCTAATTTTTGTATTTTTAGTAGAAATGGAGTTTCGCCATGTTGGCCAGCCTGGTCTGGAATTCCTGACCTCAGGTGATCCACCCACCTCGGCCTCCCAAAGTGCTGGGATTACAGGCGTGAGCTACCATGCGTGGCCAGTTATTATATTTTCATATGACAACTTTTAGTACATATATAGAGAAAAAATTTAGGAATTTATGTACCAGAATATCTCTAGGTGGTGGGATTATTGATAAAATGAAAAAATTCTTAGTTTGTACAGTCTCATTTTTATGTAATGATCATAAGTCACTTGAGGGAAAAAAAGGGTTTTAAAACAAAGTGTTGGCCGGGTGCGATGGCTCATGCCTGTAATCCCAGCATGATTTGGGAGGCCGAGGTGGGCGGATCATGAGGTCAGGAGTTCGAGACCAGCCTGGCCAACATAGTGAAGCCTTGTCTCTACTAAAAACACAAAAATTAGCTGGGTGTGGTGGTGGGCACCTGTAGTCCCAGCTACTCGGGAGGCTGAGGCAGGAGAATTGCTTGAACCCAGGAGGCAGAGGTTGCAGTGAGCCGAGATTGTGCCACTGCATTCCAGGCTAGGCGACAGAGTGAGACTCCGTCTCAAACAAAAAAAAAGATAAATAAATAAAACAAAGTGTTAAAATATAACCTTTATTTTGTAGCTGTTGGTCATATTACTTATATACCTGTTTTTTGATATTTTATTTTAGTGTTGTGTATTTTGCTTTTCATTTGTTGTAATAAAGTGACCTAATTTTCAGTTGCATATCTCACATGGATGCACTGTGCCCTTAAGAGTTTTCTAGAAGTAGAACAGGTTAGAGTTGTTTGAAGTATCTAATATACCATATGTAATGGCTGCAGCCTACTCTTCCCTTACACCCAAATCACCTTGCCTGACTCCTAGACCTCTCAGTCCTCTGGATCTAGTATCTGTTCTAGAACATCCTTCAGGTCTCAGCTTACTCAGAGACTTATGTTCTTAGAGATACATTCCCTGATTCCCTGGACTATGTTAGGTTCCCTCTACTGTGTATGCCTACTGTGCTCTGTACTCTGTTTCATTGTACAATTTTATACCTATATTAACTTGTCTCTCATGCTAGACAGTAATTTCCATGAGAACAGGAAAAAGTTTGTTCCTAAATCTCCAGTATTGATGAACGAGTGAACAAAATTGAATAAATGAAGGTCTGTTCTCTATTTGTTGAAGGAATTTACTCAGTTTGACACAGGTTATAAAATAATGATAACTAACATTTATATGATATAATGCTTTCAAGTGTATACTTTTAGTAGAATTGTCCAGCATGAACCAATTTGTATGTAAATGTATATGCTGAGTCCAATATATTATTCTGATCTTGTCAAAGATATAAAAGACTATACAATGAGTTTGGGAAAATTTGGTATTTGTGTGGAAAACTGTATATATCTATGATTCTTAACTGGTTGTTTTCAGAACATCTTCCTAACTGACATCAGTGATATTTAAAAAACATTAATGATAACTGCCACAACAAACAAACAGCAAGATGGACCCTGTTATAGTTTTCAGATTGATTTGATGATATTCAGTTGTGTCACCCATGATTAGTGAAAAGTTTATGGCCCAGTGCATCGCTGATAATCATGTAACAATGTATCATAATCATTCTTTGGTGATTGGCAACTTTTTTTTTTTTTTTTTTTTTTAGATGAGTCTCACTCTGTTGCCCAGGCTGGAGTGTGGTGACACAGTCTTGGCTCACCACAACCTCCACCTCCTGGGTTCAAGCAATTCTTCTCCCTCAGCCTCCCAAGTAGCTGGGACTACAGGCATGCGCCACTATGCCCGGCTAATTTTTTGTATTTTTAGTGGAGACGGGGTTTCACTATGTTGGCTAGGCTGGTCATGAACTCCTGACCTCGTGATCTGCCTCCCCCGGCCTCCCAAAGTGGTAGGATTACAGGCATGAGCCACTGCGCCCAGCCGGCAGCTTTTTATATTACATTATATTCTAGGTTCACAAAAGTCAACTTTTAGTTGCATGCTGCCCTCTATTTGATATTTTCGGTATTAAAGTCCTAGTTTCAAAAAAAGATACATAAAAGTTTGACATTACATATTTTAGAAATTAAAAGTTTAATGGCTACCTTCTAATGTGGACCCTTTATTAATTTTTTAGTTTTTTGAGATGGAGTGTCACTCTTGTTGCCCAGGCTGGAGTGCAATGGCGCTGTCTTGGCTCCCTGCAAGCTCCGCCTCCCGGATTCAAGTGGTTCTCCTGCCTCAACCTCCCAAGTAGCTGGGATTACAGGCACCCTTTACCACGTCTGGCTAATTGTTTTGTATTTTTTGTAGAGACAGGATTTCACCATGTTGGCCAAGCTGGTCTCGAACTCCTGACCTCAGGTACTCTGCCTGCCTTGGCCTCCCAAAGTGCTGGGATTACAAACATGAGCCACTGCGCCCGGCCTGGATCCTTTAAAATAGAGTTCGTTGGCCAGGCATGGTGGCTGGGTGTGGTGGCATGCGCCTGTAGTCTCAGCTACTTGGGAGGCTGCTGTGGGAGAATTGCTTGAACCCGGGAGGCAGAACTTGCAGTGAGCTGAGATTGCACCATTGCACTCCAGCCTGGGTGACAGAGGGAGACTCCTTCTCAATAAAATAAAATATAGTTTGTATACAAGCTAAATAATGTTAGTCTTTCCTATCAAATAACTTTGTCGTATTTATTGATGAGTAAGTGGAATAAGCCATTGAAATAGCTTCAAATATGTGAACCCAAATTAAGTATCTTGCAGCCCACAATCATACAGTGACTAATGTTTGTATGGAAACATCATTATTTATGGGGGGTGCAATAGGGCATGTCAAAGGGAATCCTGTAGTAGATTTTTTAAATATGAAAAACATGAAAAAGTTTTGGTAATTCCCTTTGTTTGTTGGGCTTATTTGGATAATAAAATATATCTAACATTACATCAAGCATTTTCACATTAATTTTTTTTTATTTTTTATTTTTTGAGACAGAGTTCTGCTCTGTTGCCCAGGCTGGAGTGCAATGGTGTGATCTCGGCTCACTGCAACCTCCACCTCCTGGGTTCAAGTGATTCTCCTACCTCAGCCTCCCGAGTAGCTGGGATTACAGGTGCCCGCCACCATGCCCAGCTAATTTTTTTTGTATTTTTAGTAGAGACGGGGTTTCACTGTGTTGGCCAGGCTGGTCTCGAACTCCTGACCTTGTGATCCGCCTGCCTCAGCCTCCCAAAGTGCTGGGATTACTGGGTGAGCCACTGTGTCTGGCCATTTTTACCTTAATTTGTCCATGGGGTTATTGAAACAAGGCAAGTTTAAAAAATGAAACCAATAGTTATTTTGTAAGTTTGGAATAAAGAAAATGAGGGAATGTATTGTACACTAGTCTTTGAAGATAGCTGAGCGGTTTATTAGAGTGTTTAATGAAAATTATCCATTCAGGCAGGGTGTGGTGACTCATGCCAGTAATCCCAGCACTTTGGGAGGCTGAGGCAGGTGGATCACCTGAGGTCAGGAGTTCAAGACCAGCCCAGCCAACATGGTGAAACCACGTCTCTACTAAAAATATAAAAAATTAACAAGGCATGGTGGCAGGTGCCTGTAATCCCAGCTACTTGGGAGGCTGAGGCAGGGGAATCACCTGAACCCGGGAGGTGAGGGTTGCAGTGAGTCGAGATCGCACCATTGCACTCCAGCCTGGGCAACAAGCAAAACTCCGTCTCAAAATAAAAAAAGAGAAGTATCCCTTTAATATGGAGACCTTTCTATTTAAATCTAGACCAAGAGAATTTGAGCTTAGCTGCCAGAATAGTAAAGGTTTATTTATTTGAAATTATATATTCCTTTTATAGGGCTAAATTTAATGTAAACAATTTTTTAAAGAAACAATGGATAAACTATTAGGAATAAACTGTTTAGTTCTATGATGATCCACTTCCCTATTCTTATAATCGTGACAAATCTTGTAGACATCTTAGTTAAGGCAGGTTTTAAGGCAACACCATGGACATATAAACAGTGTTTACAGTTTATATGAAATTAATAACTACGGTAGAAGTATTTATATTTTGTGTAAATTCATATGTAATTTAGATTCTGTGTGGCCTTACCTAATTAGTGTCAATAATTCCATTGAAACCCTGAGAAAGATACTAGAAACAAACAACTCAAAAGATTTTTTGTTTGTGATATCTGACTTGAACTCAGTATGTTAAGTAGATTTTTTTCCTCATACTCAGACTTGTAAAGGCCTAATGGTTTGTGATGCTTTATAGAGTCACGTAGATGGGATAGGTTTTGTA
This sequence comes from Homo sapiens, assembly GCF_000001405.40. Classification (NCBI taxonomy): domain Eukaryota; kingdom Metazoa; phylum Chordata; class Mammalia; order Primates; family Hominidae; genus Homo; species Homo sapiens. The sequence continues at coordinate 130,070 of NW_015495299.1, read as the reverse complement.
CTTGTAAGAATTGTCTTTTTTCTTTTTCTTTTTCTTTTTTTCAATAGAGATGGGGATCTCCCTATGTTGCCCAGACTGGTCTCAAACTCCTGGGCTCAAGCGATCCTTTTTGATTTTGGGAGCCCTCCTCTGCCTCCCAAAGTGCTGGGATTACAGTCATGAACCACTGCACCTGGCCCACTTCTAAGAATTTAAATGTTATTTATTTGTGTTTTTATATGTTTGTGTAAAGAAACTGGAAGGATCTGCAGACTAATAAAATGAATACGTATTATAGAGGGAGTGGGGGCTGGCAAATTAGGGGGCAAGGGCAAGAAGTCGATTCTTCACTGCCTAGCATTCTTTCATTTTTTTATGGATCCATGTGAATGCATTGCTTATTCATAAGATTTTAAATGAGTTAAAATATTTAAACATTAAGTGTACAAAGTGGAGATAAAAAAAAATTTAAATAATGAAACATGGATTGCACATATAATAGAAAGTTTAAAAAATAGATCTAAAGTGAGTTCACTTTGGAGGATAAAAGCCACTCAGCCATTTCTGCGTATCAGTATCCTCTTCCCCATGTATGAGATGAAGAGTTTTTTTGCAGATTTATGGGTTTAGTAGCATGAGGCAATCAATTCCTAATGGTGGCGATAATCATAGTCATGACTAACAACCACTGACTGTTTACTGTGTAATACTATATACTGTATATAAGTGGTTTAGATGTGATTAATCCTTTTATGCTCCCAACAACCCTGCCAGCTCAAGGTACCTTATTGTCTCTACTTTACAGGTGAGAAAATTGGGGTTTAAATGAGGCTGAGCAACATGCCCATAGTCACACAGCTAGTAAGAGGGAGAGCTGAGATTCAAAACCAGGTCCATCTGATTCTTCTCTCATGTTCTTCATCACTTTTCTCTACTGTCTCTTTGTGAAGAAAAGGGAAATAAAACATCACTTAAAAAAAAAAACAGACATACTTGAAACATATTCTGATGTAATTATCAGCTTTGAATGTCAGAAGATTAGGGAAATAACACAATTGGTAATTGTAATACCGTCTTTCTTTAAATCACATTTGCATTTTATTTAGTGACTGTAGATGTTATATATATTATAATGAGAGTGTTACAGAGTTGTGACATCATGTTGAAAAATTACCCTGGATTCTTAAAGCATTAAAAAAAAATTAATTCTCTGTTTTTCTTTCCTTAGCATAAGCCGGACCAAGCTGAGGGAGGTGGAACCAGCAGCATGCAGTGGAACCGTGAAGGGTGAACAGTGCGCTAACAAAGCCCTTCCATTCACCAGACATTGTTTCCAACGTATCCTTTCAACTAAATGGAATGTGCATTGAAAAAGTACTACCTAATTTGGGGCTGTATATTTCATTTTTAATTCAAGTGAATGACTTTTGAAACCATAACTGTTTAATGTTTAAAATAATTTTATCGAACATAATTTTCATGATGTCCTCTGAATAATTTTTCTTGTTTTACTCAAAAATCACAAAAAATAAGCAAAATTGATAGCAAATAGCAGGTTCCTCCAGTGTCTGTCACTTAATTATATTTTGTTAATAGAATTCTGGTCCCTCAGGTGGTTCCTAGTAGCTTGTAAGAAGGAGCTATAACACTCATTAATGGAAAAAATCAAATCACATTATTTAAAATCTGTTTTTAGTCTTCTAAGACAGTTACACAGTTTTACAGAACTTTTTCCTGTAAGATTAGTTTACTCTTTTTAATGAGTACAGTGCTGATTTGAAATGAATGAAAGGTAACAAACATCACTGCCTAGGAAAGAAGATCTCTTTTAAAGTATACTTGAAGAAAACCTATGTTAAAGAGCTTTAGGTTGGTGATGAAATCTTATTGCTGTGACTTTTATTGAGTATTTAAAATCAGGTAGCATGTAAAAATAGCAGCAATTACTTATCTTTACCATCTATTTAATTGTTGCCCTCCTTTCTGTTCTTGGAACAGCTTGTTCAGCAGCACTTTCTATGTAATAAAGGCTTTATAGTTTTACCTAAAAACCATAAAGGAAAAACACAAAGGCACTTAATAGATATAAGGTAAGTGTTAAGGAAATGTAGTAGCTAAAAGTATGAGTGCTTAAAAATATTGATGATGTAAAGCTCATGTTTGTTTGTTTAGAGGCAGGATCTCACTCTGTCACCCCGGCTGAAGTGCAGTGGCACGATCACAGCTCACTGCAGCCTCGACCTCCCTGGGCTCAGGTGATCTTTGCATCACAGCCTCCTGAGTACCTGGGACTACAGGCATGCACCACCATGCCTGACTAATTTTTGTACTTTTTTGTTGCCCAGGCTGATCCTGAACTTCTGAGGCTCAATAAATCAACCCACCTTAGCCTCCCACAGTGCTGGGAGTATAGGTGTGAGCCACTGTGCCTGGCCAATAGTGAAGTTTTGATTTAAAAGTAATTTTTCATGGGTTGTGAGTTTGAGTTTGTTGCTGGAAGTGTGAAGCAAAATATTCAAATTTGGAAAGATGAGTTTCTAATAACTATATCTTTAAATTTTTATTCTTGGTAAGTATCATAGGCAGAAAATTTTCCTTTTAAGAGCTGTTTAAAAAAAGAAAACCATTGGCCAGGTGCAGTGGCTTATGCCTATAATCTCAACGCTTTGGGAGGCTGAGGCGGCTAGATCACTTGAGGTCAGGAGTTCGAGACCAGCCTGGCCAATATGGTGAAACCCTGTCTCTACTAAAAATACAATAAATTATCTGGATGTGGTGACAGATGCCTGTAATCCCAGTTACTCGGGAGGCTGAGACAGGAGAATCACTTGCTTGAACCCGGGAGGCCGAGGTGGCAGTGAGCTGAGATCGTGCCATTGCACTCCAGCCTGGGCAACAGAGTGACTTCATCTCAAAACAAAAAACAAAACAAAAAAAACATGAAGTGGAACTTTAAGTGGAGTTCACATGTTAAGAAGGAAATGGCCCTGCTTTTCCAAATAACACAATTTGGTTCAGAATGGTCATTAAGGAGACTGGTGCCAGGGTCTCATTAGCAAAATAGAGTCCTTCAGAGTTGTCATCTGATAAATTCTATTATTTTCCCATATCAGTAGTTGAGCTAGTACTGATATGGGTAATATTTATATTATGGATAATAAAGCTTGTACTTATGAAATGTAAGGGAACAAGCAAATTTTATATAGAAATTGAAAAATTAGAGTTTCAGTGTATTTTACTCCTAACTTAAAAAAACCCAGATATCCTCTTGAACCACTCTCAGCAGCTCTTCTCAAGTTGCACAGCCAAGTTTGCAGATGGACAGCAGTGCTCTGTGCCAGTTTTTGACATTACACATCAGACACCTCTGTGTGAAGAACATGCCAAAAAAATGGTAAGTTCTGCAACAGAGGCTTTCAAACTTTTTGTAGCTATCCACTGTAGGAAGTATTTTATAACTTAGCACAAACTATGTATGTATATAAATCACTGAAACAAGTTTTGAGAGAGGATTTTTATTCCCTTAAGATACATTTTATTACCTTAAGATATGTATCTTATACATAGCAGAATTTCTAAATACTCTCTTTGTTCCTATGTCTCTAAGTTTTTGCTTTCTTATATACAATTCTACAAATGTCATGAATAGTTGATGAAACTTCAATCGAAGGCCCAGCCTTTCTAGAAATCTATTGAATGTAATTATTGCTTTAGTTAATGCTAGTTATCATAAATCCTAATTAATTCAGAATAATTTGGAGGAGAGACAGATTTGAATTTGAGGAATATCTAAATTATATAATCATTTAAAGGAAGTTCATTTTTATTGTTTTCATCCATCAAGCAGTTACTGCAAGATACTTTCCTAGGTACCTTATGTACTAGAAAGTGAGATACTTCCTGCCCTCTATAAACATGTTATAGTTTTCAGGGATTCTCAGGGTGAGGGAATGGGTATTAGACCAGGACTTAATAGTTGGAACCTGTGATCCTGGCTTTGCCACCAGCTTGGTATATAACTAGGGGCTAAGGATTCAGCCTTTTTGGACCTCAGTCTCAATGTGTGTGATTCACTGGTGTATTAGTCCGTTTTCATGCCTCTGGGAAAGACATACCTGAGACTGGGCAGTTTACAAAAGAAAGAGGTTTAATTGGACTCACAGTTCTATGTGGCTGGGGAGGCCTCAAAATCATGGTGGAAGGCAAGGAGGAGTAAGTCATATCTTACATGGATGGAGGCAGGCAAAAATAGAGTTTGTGTAGGGCGACTCCCATTTATAAAACCATCAGATCACATGAGACCCATTCACTATTACAAGAACAACAGGAAAGACAACAGGAAAGACCTGCCCCATAATTCAGTCGTCTCCCACCAGGTCCCTCCCACAACACGTGGGAATTATGGGAGCTACAAGATGAGATTTGGGTGGGGACACAGAGTCAAACCGTATCATTCTGCCCTGGCACATCCCAAATAGCATATCTTCACATTGTAATACCTTCACATTGTAATCATGCCTTCCCAACAGTCCTCCAAAGTCTCAGCTCATTTCAGCATTAACTCAAAAGTTTCAGCATTAACTCAAAAGTCCACAGTCCAAAGTCTCATCTGAGACAAGGCAAGTCTCTTCTGCCTATGAGCCTGTAAAATCAAAAGCAAGTTAGTTACTTCCTAGATACAATGGGGGTACAGCCATTGGGTAAATACAGCTGTTCCAAATGGGAGAAATTGGCCAAAACAAAGGGGCTACAGGCTCCATGCAAGTCTGAAATCCAGTGGACAATCAAATCGAAAAGCTCCAAAATCATCTCCTTTGACTTCATGTCTCACATCCAGGTCAAGCTCATGCAAAACATAGGTTCCCATAATCTTGGGCAGGTCTGCCCCTGTGACTTTGCAGGGTATAGCCCCTCTCCTGGCTGTTTTCATGGGCTGGCATTGAGTATCTGCTGCTTTTCCAGGTGCATGGTGCAAGCTGTCAGTAGATCTACCATTCTGGGGTCTGGAGGATGGTGGCCCTCTTCTCACAGCTCCACTAGGTGGTGTCCCAGTAGGGACTCTGTGTGGAGGCTCCCACCCACATTTTCCTTCTGCACTATTCTAGCAGAGGTTCCCCTGGAGGGCCCCACTCCTACAGCAAACTTCTGCCTGGGCATCCAGGCATTTCTATACATTTTTTTTTTTTGGAGACAGAGTCTCACTCTGTCACCCAGGCTGCAGTGCAGTGGTTTGATCTTGGCTCACTGCAACCTCTGCTTTCAAGGTTTAAGCAATTCTTGTGCCTCAGCCTCCCAAGTAGCTGGGATTACAGGCGTGTGCCACCACGCTTGGCTAATTTGTGTGTATTTTTAGCAGAGACAGGGTTTCACCATGTTGGCCAGGGTGGTCTCAAACTCCTGACCTCAGGTGATCTGCCCGCCTCAGCCTCCCATAGTGCTGAGATTACAGGCGTGAGCCACCATGCCCAGACAGACTGTTTCTATACATCTTCTGTATTCTAGGCGGAGGTTCCCAAGCCTCAATTCTTGACTTCTGTGCACTTGCAGGCTGAACACTATGTAGAAGCTGCCAAGGCTTGGGGCTTCCACCCTCTGAAACAACAGCCTGAGCTCTACCTTGCTCCCTTTTAGCCATGGCTGGAGTGGTTGGAATGCAGGGTACCAAGTCCTTAGGCTGCACAGAGCACGGGAGCCCTGGGTTTGGCCCATGAAACCATCTTTTCCTCCTAGGCCTCCAGGCCTATGATGGGAGGGGCTGCCGAGAAGACATCTGACGTGCCCTGGAGACATTTTCCCCATTGTCTTGGGGATTAACATTCAGCTCCTTGTTAATTATGCAAATTTCTGCAGCTGGATTGAATTTCTGCTCAGAAAGTGGGATTTTCTTTTCTACTGCATTGTCAGGCTGCAAATTTTCCAAACTTTTATTCTATATTTCCCTTTTAAAACTGAATGCTTCTAATAGCACCCAAGTCACCTCTTGAATGCTTTGCTGCTTAGAAATTTCTTCTGCCAGATACCCTAGATCATCTCTCTCAAGTTCAAAGTTCCATAAGTCTTTAGGGCAGGGGCAAAATGTTGCCAGTCTCTTTGCTAAAACATAACAAGAGTCACCTTTGCTCCAGTTCTCAACAAGTTCCTCATCTCCTTCTGAGACCACCTCAGCCTGGATTTCATTGTCCATATCACTATCAGCATTTTTGTCAAAGCCATTCAACAAGTGTCCAGTGAGTTCCAAACTTTCCCACATTTTTCTGTCTTCTTCTGAGCCCTCCAAACTGTTCCAGCCTCTGCCTGTTACCCAGCTCCAAAGTTGGTTCCACATTTTTGGGTATCTTTTCAGCAGCACCCCACTCTACTGGTACCAATTTGCTATATTAGTCTGTTTTTGTGCTGCTGATAAAGACATACCTGAGACTGGGCAATTTAAAAAAAAAAAGAGGTTTAATTGGATTCACAGTTCCACGTGGCTGGGGAGGCCTCACAATCACGGCAGAAGGCAAGGAGGGACAAGTCACATCTCACATGGATGGTGGCAGGCAAAAAGAGCTCGTGCAGGGCAACTCCCATTTTTAAAGCCATCAGATCTGTGAGACCCATTCACTATTACGAGAACAACAGGGGAAAGACCTGCCCCCATAGTTCAGTCATCTCCCACTGTCTCCCTCCCACAACACGTGGGAATTATGGGAGCTACAAGATGAAATTTGGGTGGGGACACAGAACCAAACCAGATCAACTGGCTTCTTCACCAAGAACTTGTTTTATTTTTTAGGTTTCTTTTACAGACAATATGTTTTGAAAAATTTGTATACTAAACTACATATTACAATTACATATTACAAATGTTGAATAATTATTTTCCCACTTTAATATAAAAACATTTAAAATATAGGTTGTTTTTTTTTTTTTTTTTGAGATGGAGTTTTACTCTGTCACCCAGGCTGGAGTGCAGTGGTGCAATCTTGGCTCACTGCAACCTCCGCCTCCTGGGTTCAAGTGATTCTTGCACCTCAACCTCCCGAGTAGCTGGATTACAGGCGCATGCCACCATGCTGCCTAATTTTTGTTTTTTTTAGTAGAGAAAGCGTTTTTCCATGTTGGCCAGGCTGGTCTTGAACTCCTGACCTCAGGTGATCCACCCGGCTTGGTCTCCCAAAGTGCTGGGATTACAGGCATGAGCCACCATGCCCAGCGAATATAGGCTTTTTTTTTTTTTTTTTTTAAGCTTACTCAGGCTTTGTCATAGCTAAGGAATAATTTCTATATGCTTTTTGAACCACTTTTGTGGACCTTCATTGATGATTTCACAGACCCATGGTAATGTGGGCCCTGTAGCTTTCAAATCACGAAATAAATGATCCCAGCTGCATATTTTCATTTTAAAGTTCCACCATTCCGGCATACTTCTAAGATACTGAGGAAGATACTGTTAAGTAGAAAAAACTGTACTTCAGTGTCTGCTTTAGGAACTTATTATGAATGAATTTTTGGTTCCTATAACAATTTTTTTTTTTTTTTTGAGATGGAGTCTTGCTTTATCACCCAGGCTGGAGTGCAGTGGTGAGATCTCGGCTCACTGCAAGCTCCACCTCCCGGGTTCACGCCATTCTTCTGTCTCAGCCTCCCAAGTAACTGGGACTACAGGTGCCTGCCACCACGCCTGGCTAATTTTTGTATTTTTAGTAGAGATGAGGTTTCACCATGTTAGCCAGGAAGATCTCGATCTCCTGACCTCATGATCCGCCCACCTTGGCCTCCCAAAGTGCTGGGATTACAGGCGTAAGCCACCGCGCCTGGCCTCCTATAACCATTATTATGTGAATGCTTTTAGAGAAATTGAATGCAGTTTTATTCTTTTCAGCTAGTTAAACTTTCCTACTTAGGCAAATTCAATGAGGCAAACCTAAGACTGAATTAGTATAATGTAAATTAGTCATAAAATAATATATATTTTATATAACAATCAAAATTATACTAATCAAATTTTTTTCAAGTATTTAAAATACAAATTTTTGAAAATGGTTTTCTCTCTGAAGACAGTTAGAATCTGGCAGTAGTTTGAGCTATTTTTGTTTTAGGTTAAAAATTACATAAGAGACTATAAGAAGCACTTGTACCCCATCAGTGCTCCTATGAGAGACTGACACTGGGAGATGAAAAGTATGTGCAAATCTAGGCTCTGGTTTTTTTTTTTTTTTTTTTTGAGACAAGTCTCTCTTTGTCACCCAGGTTTGAGTGCAGTGGTGCAATCTCGGCTCACTGCAACCTCTGTCTCTCAGGTTCAAGGAATTCTCCCACAGTAGCCTCCCAAGTAGCTGGGACTGCAGGCGTGTGCCACCGTGCCCAGTTAATTTTTGTATTTTTTGGTAGACATGGGGTTTTACCATGTTGGCCAGGTTGGTCTTGAGCTCCTGACCTCAAGTAATCTGCCCACCTTGGCCTCCCAAAGTGCTGGGATCTTACAGGCCTGAGCCACTGTGCCAAGCCTCTATTTTCATATTATATTCTGAATCCAAACACATTTTATAAATTTCACTGCTACCATTCTAGTTGAGGCTACCATTATCTTTGCCTGGATTATTGTAATAGTCTCCTAATTGATCTCCCTTCTTGCCATATCCCCCTGCCATAGGGGGTATGTTGTTTACATAGCAGCCAGAGTAGGCTGGGTGTGTCTATGTTCTACTTTCTTTGAATTGAATTCACTTTTGAGTGTACACTCTCAGGAGTTTTGTAGACGCATACAGTTGTATAACCACCACCTAAATCAAGATACAGAACTGCTCCCCAGATTCTCTTACACTACTCCCTTTGTGGTCATCCCTTTACTCCATCCCCACTGATCTATTTTCTGCCCCTATACTTCTGTATTTTCCAGAATGTCATAGAAAGGGAATTCTGTAGTAAGTAGCCTTTAGAGCAGGCCCTTTAGACTATACATCTGATCATATTAGCTCCATAAAATCAAAACCTGCTAATGGCTTCCCATCACATCCTCCTGCCACTGCCTCCCAAAGTGTTGGGATTATAGGCATGAGCCACCACACTTGGCCTTTTCCCAAGTTTCCGCATTGCTCACTCCTTCCTTTCATTCAGGTTTGTTACCATGTGTTGTCTCATCACACAAGTCTTCCACCTGCCTGTTACCCTGTCAGGTTTTATCCTCATACTCTACCTCATTTTTCTTCCTAACATTTGTCTGCCTAACAGTTATTCATTAGTTTGTTTATTTTCTGTATTCTCCTACTAGAATGTAAACCTCACAAGGGCAGGACCATTTTTTTGTTACTACTGTATCCCTAGCACTTAGAACAGAGATGCTCAGTAAGTAATTGTTGAATACATTAATGGTTAGGCATACCAATGGAAGGGGTTAAGATTCAGAACTAGGATGTGACAGCCATTGGTAAGAGACTCCAGCTGCAGGAAGTCCCGGCTGTCAGGCAGAACATGGGATTCCACCTTTGTAAGATCCTATGACAGATGGTGAGTGCATTGCCTTGACATAGAGGTAGAATCAGACAAAAGTTGGGAGTGAATAGTATTTCACTGTGCACTGAAGCTAGGTAAAAGAACAGCTGGCATTAGGAAAGCCTCAGGGGGTGGGGGCTCTAGCTCTCTGGAGGCGAGCAAGGCAGGTATCAGTCACAGGCTGTTCTGTGTGAAGTATCTGGCATAGTACCAAGAGTGCCACAAGGCCACTGCACACAAGCTTAGGAGAATCAGGCAGGAATCTGACCCAGGTGATCATTGGGAGCCTTACAGATAGGACTTATTTTCTCTTGGGTGAGAGCCCCCTAACTTCCTCCTGAGATCAGCACTGGTGCTGGAGGGAAAGCCTGGAATGGATGCTGAGCACAATGTTCGGGTACTGGCCCTTGCGCATTCACCATTTGTTGAGTTAAATAGTGGACATAATACAAGTAGACCTCAAGTGTTGAGACAAAAAGAACTACAGAGTCTGAGAAGTAGCCTTTTTTTTTTTTTTTTTTGAGACTGAGTTTCGCTTTTGTTGCCCAGGCTGAAGTGCAATGGCATAATCTCAGCTCACTGCAACCTCTGCCTCCCGGGTTCAAGCAATTCCGTTGCCTCAGCCTCCCAAGTAGCTAGGATTACATGCACGTGTCACCAGGCCTGGCTAATTTTTGTATTTTTATTAGAGATGGAGTTTCGCCATGTTGGCCAGGCTGGTCTCGAACTCCTGACCTCAGGTGATCCACCCACCTCGGCTCCCAAAGTGCTGGGATTACAGGTGTGAGCCACTGCGTCTGGCCAGAGGTAGCCTCTTTTTTTTGGTTTGTTTTAAATTTATGTATTTGTGACTTAATCTGTAATTGTTTACATTCAAGCATTTGAGTAGGATTAAACCTGTTTTAGATTTCCTGAATTTATGCTTTAATTTTATTCTTTCTTGTTTTCAATTTTTTGATGCTAGTGATAGTTATTAGTCTTAAAATACTATGGTCTACAATCTTTATTTAGCTACAAGAGTTATTAGGGAATTAATTAAAGGTGACATCAATTGCAAATCCCACTGTTTTATGTGCCAATAAGAAAGAAAAAAAATGTTGCCAGTGATGCGGTACTTTCTTATCACTTAGAATTTTTGTTTTCAACTTATTAAAGAGCTTTTAAAAGACTTATTTAGACATAGATTTTTATATACTGTTCCTGGTTTTGGCTGTACTGCTTGACATGTGAAAGGCAGTATTTTCTACGTACTTCAGCAATAGAACAACTTCATCTACTTTGTGGTTATTTTCCTTTTTCACTTGGTTGTTGCCTTACAGGGAAAAAAAAAAAAAAGAATTGTGGTCGGTTCTTCAGTAATGAATATGTGCTCCACTAATATTAATTTTATGCCCTGCTGCTCTTTGTGCCTTTCTACATTCACAAAAAATTTTCCTCCACACGTAGTACCAACAGTGTACAAACCTTAATTCAGAAACGATGCCAGTACAAAGAACTGGAACCGTGTGTGTGCGTGTGTGTGTGTGTGTGTGTGTGTAGACAGTGTCAACTATAATGACCATCAGCAGGCTGACCGCAATGGTAAAATGCCACCAATTTAAAATGCTTCCCAATTGCAGAGATATTAAAATGTAGATCTTGGAATTGATGAAGTTTGATGTCTTCATTATTGTTATACATAGTTTTGGGCATCCAGTATGTTTTAGGCATTATATAGAATATTAAGGGATGTAAGTATTTTTTAGGTAGCTGTCAGGTTTATCCCAGATAATCTCAATTTAAAAGCCTATTTATTCATTCCAAAGGATAATTTCTTGAGAGGAGATAACTCCCGTAAAGTTCAGCACCAGCAGCAGAGGAAACCCAGGAAAAAAACCAAGCCTCCTGCACTAACCAAAAAACACAAGAAGAAGAGAAGGCGTGGACCTCGTCGACCCCAAAAACCCATTCCACCTGCAGTCCCCCAAGGGAACCTCAGCATGCCCGCCAGCGTCTCACTGCCAGTGGAGGCCTCTCACATCCGGTCAGTGGTGCCACTGGCACCTAATTTTTCTTTACATTTTGGGATTCTTCTCAGAACATCTAGCTTCATGTGGTTATTGTAAAGTTGTCACTAGGCTACAGAAACCATTTAGTATATCAGCCTAGATTTTTTAAATAGTTTTTGGTGCAAATTTTACCTATATCTGGCTGTATTTGATCTAAAATTAAGCTTTTGCTTACAATAAAGAGAACAGACGCGAAACTGACTTTAATTGTATACTCTCAACTTAAAAAACATTTTTTTTTTCTTGAGACCAAGTCTTGCTCTGTCTCCCAGGCCAAGTGCAGTGGCGCAATCTCGGCTCCCTGCAACCTCTGCCTCCAGGGTTCAAGCGATTCTTCTGCCTCAGCCACCCTAGTCTGGGATTACAGGCATGTGCCATCACGCCCAGCTGATTTTTGTATTTTTAGTAGAGACGGGGTTTCACCATGTTGGCCAGGCTAGTCTGGAACTCTTGACCTCAAGTGATCCACCTGCCTCGGCCTCCCAAAGTGCTGGGAATACAGGCATGAACCACTATACCTAGTCTCTTAACTTTTAAAACTTTTGCAGAAATTCCATATATGTTCCAACAGAAGTATTCCATCAGAAATATGAGGCATTATTTATTTTGGCAGGGTTAAACATTTTGACCAGAAGAATGAAGCTTTTGTTTTAGCTAAGCATTTCAATTTTACCTGTTGTTAATTTCATTTCTAAAATTATTATTTCAACCAGATTTGAAATTCTACTAAAAAGCATTAAGACACACTTGATACACCAAATTGTGATTCATTGTACAAATTTGAAGTAAAAGTATTACCTAGTAGTTGTTGTTGCCTCTTAATACATGGGTGAAGGTTGCAGAAATATGACTGCATATGGTGAGGCATGTATTTTTGCAGTGACTCTACTTTCAGATTTCCTTCTTTTAAAATAGGGGAGGAGACACTGTAAGTTAGGGTTTCTCATGTTTCTGTTGAATATAAAAAACCTAGGACCAGGTGCGGTGGCTCATGCCTGTAATCCCAGCACTTTGGGAGGCCGAGGTGGGTGGATCATGATGTCAGGAGTTCGAGACCAGCCTGGCCAAGATGGTGAAACCCTATCTCTACCAAAAATACAAAAATTAGCCGGGTGTGGTGGCGAGCACCTGTAATCCCAGCTACTCAGGAGGCTGAGGCAGAAGAATCGCTGGAACACGGGAGGTGGAGGTTGCAGTGAGCCGAGATCATGCCACTGCACTCTAGCCTGGGCGACAGAGCAAGACTCCATCTCAAAAAAAAAAAAAAAAGCAAGGCATGGTGGCTCATGCCTGTAATCCCAACACTTTGGGAGGCCAAGGTGGGTGGATCACCTGAGGTCAGGAGTTCGAGACCAGCCTGGCCAGCATGGGTAAACCCCGTCTCTACTAAAAACAAACAAAAATTAGCTTGGCATAGTGGTGGGCGCTTGTAATCCCAGCTACTCTGAAGGCTGAGAAAGGAGAATCTCTTGAACTCAGGAGGTGGAGGTTGCAGTGAGCCGAGATTGCGCCATTGCACTCCAACTTGGGCAACAAGAGTGAAACTCTGTCTAAAAAAAAAAACCTAGAAGACATTAGGATTGGCTTTAGCTCAGGTGGTTACTTCCTTACTTTCCATCTGTCTAATCCCTGTGCTTGGGTTCAAGACCTGCCGGGGCTTTCTGACCTTTAAATAAAAAACCTAAAAGACATTATTAGCTTGTTTTTTGATTTTGGTTGTTTTTTTTTTTGAGACAGAGTCTCGACCTGTTGCCCAGGCTGGAGTGCAGTAGTGTGATGTCAGCTCACTGCAACCTCCGCCTCCTAGTTTCAAGTGATTCTCATGCCTTAGCCTTCTGAGTAGCTGGGATTACAAGTGTGCACCACCATGCCCAGCTAATTTTTGTATTCTTAGTAGAGACAAGGTTTTGCCATGTTGACCAGGCTGATCTCGAACTCGTGCCCTCAAGTGATCCTCTCACCTTGGCCTCCCAAAGTGCTGGGATTACAGGTGTGAGCCACTGTGCCCTGCCTGACGTTAGCTTCTTTTCATGTTGAATGAACTTGGCTTGGTGGTATTGATGTGAAGATAATGGGGGAGTTATGGGACCAACAGTGTCCTCTTTCCCAGGAGCCCATCCACGCCAGAGCTGAGTGCTGATGAGTTGCCGGATGACATTGCCAATGAGATCACTGACATTCCACATGACTTGGAATTGAACCAGGAGGACTTTTCAGATGTCCTGCCACGGCTACCTGATGACTTACAAGATTTTGATTTTTTTGAAGGTATAGTCAATATTTTGACTCAAGGAAACTGGTTTTAAAAATGAGTTTATAAGAAAAGAAATAGTGTTTTGAGATGTGTTTATCATATTCCTCCTCACATGTAATGTCTTTCACTGTAGATAGGAAATATAATGCCACTGCAGCTATTTTAACCCTTTCAGAAGATAAGGAATGTGCAGTTTGTTTAACCATCTCATAATTTGCTGACTAGGTTTATAACTTGTTTCTTTTTTCTTTGGAGACAGAGTCTCACTCTGTCGCCCAGGCTGGAGTGCAGTGGCACGATCTTGGCTCACTGCAGCTTCTGCCTCCGGGTTCAAGCGATTCTTTCGCCTCGGCCTCCCGAGTAGCTGGGATTTCAGGCATGTGCCACCACGCCTGGCTAATTTTTGTACTTCTAGTAGAGGTGGGGTTTCGCAGTGTGGGCCAGGCTGGTCTTGAACTCCTGGCCCCAAGTGATCCACCCGCCTTGGCCTCCCAAAGTGCTGGGATTACAGGCATGAGCCACCACACCTGGCCCAACGTTGTTTCTTTAAAGTGAATACTTTTGCTTTATTTTTGAACAAAGACATCTCGAATATGACTTTTTTTTTTTTTTTTTGAGATGGAGTCTCGCTCTGTCGCTCAGACTGGAATGTAGTGGCGCCATTTTGGCTCATTGCAACCTCTGCCTCCCATGTTCCAGCGATTCTCCTGCCTCAGCCTCCCGAGTAGCTGGGATTACAGGTGTCTGCCACCATGCCCAGCTAATTTTTCTATTTTTAGTAGAGGCGGGGTTTCACCATGTTGGTCAGGCTGGTCTCGAACTCTCAACCTCAGGTGATCCACCTGCCTTGGCCTCCCAACGTGCTGGGATTACAAGCACGAGCCACCGCGCCCAGCCGAACATGAGTTTTGAAGTCTTTTAGAACTTGCCCTAGTTTTATACCCCACCCTGTACTTCAACTGAAGTGCACTTTTCCAAAACGAAGTTTGCTTAATCCTGCCAATTCCCCCATGCTTTCAGGGGAAATATTTTATACTTTTAGAATGTTTCTTTCACCATTAAAAATCGAATATTTCCATGGTGATTAATCAAGTTCCTAACAATAGATTTTTTAAATATTAGAAATGAAATCAAAGTAGGTCCATGGGCTTCCATTTTATGAAAATTAGTAAGAAATGGGAAGAGGATGAGGGGAAAGGATTAGAGAGTAAAGCAAAAGCATTTTGAAAGATAACCCGTGAAATGAACTGAGAGCTTAGTGTTGTGCTCAAATAGATGTATGAATTTCTGTGTTTTAACCTTCCACAGCTGCCCTCCAGCTGGGAGAGTCAGGAGTAGAACAGGCAAGGTGGACCTGTTCTACACAGCCTTTTCTCTCAAATCCAAGTTGATATATGTTTTCTATGTTAATGATGATAATATTATTTTAGGTTAAAAACACGTATAATCACATAGTCACCATGAGCTTTAAATTTGTAATCCTTAGAATTCCTAAGAATTTAGTACTTTGATAAGATGGTTTTTGAGATGGTATTCAGTAAATCAACTGAAGATGGTGATTCAAATTCCTAGGTAGCTGACGTTACAGACCCTGTCCTGCAGACCATTATTTCACTTTTTCCCTCCAATCAAAATCTTGGAAACTTTTCTTTTCAAGAGGGACTCTTTAAATCGAATATTGTTTAAAATAATTCAAATGTGTGATTTTTGTGATGTAGAACTGGTAAAAGCTCTACTGATTGTCGATGGCTTTTGTTGACTCAGGGAAGAATGGAGACCTCCTCCCAACTACCGAAGAGGCTGAGGAGCTTGAACGGGCCTTGCAGGCTGTAACTTCTCTCGAGTGCCTGAGTACCATTGGGGTCCTTGCCCAGTCAGATGGTGTGCCAGTCCAGGAGTTGTCAGATAGAGGAATAGGGGTGTTCTCCACAGGTACTGGAGCTTCAGGAATACAATCCTTGAGCCGAGAGGTGAACACAGACCTAGGGGAGCTATTGAATGGGCGTATAGTACATGATAATTTTTCTAGTCTAGAGCTGGATGAGAACCTGCTCCGTTCTGCTACCTTGTCAAACCCACCTACACCCCTGGCAGGGCAGATCCAGGGGCAGTTCTCTGCCCCAGCCAACGTTGGCCTTACTTCTGCCACTCTGATCAGCCAGAGTGCACTTGGGGAGAGAGCCTTCCCAGGACAGTTTCATGGACTTCATGACGGCAGCCATGCCTCCCAGAGGCCACATCCTGCCCAGCTGCTGAGCAAGGCAGATGACCTAATCACCTCACGACAGCAATACAGCAGTGATCACTCACACTCCTCACCCCATGGAAGCCATTATGATAGTGAGCATGTGCCGTCTCCCTACAGTGACCATATCACCTCTCCCCACACAACATCGTACTCTGGTGATAATATGGCAGCTACCTTTTCAGCAGAGATGCCCATCATGGCGCAGCACTTGCTCCCAACCCAACTTGAGGTGCCACTTGGAGGCGTGGTAAACCCCAGAACTCACTGGGGCAATCTCCCTGTCAACCTTGGAGACCCCTCTCCATTTAGCAACCTTCTCGGCGCAGATGGACATCTTCTTTCCACTTCCCTATCCACGCCACCCACCACTTCGAACTCAGAGACCACACAGCCTGCCTTCGCCACCGTGACCCCCAGCAGCTCCAGTGTGCTTCCGGGGTTACCACAGACCAGCTTCAGTGGCATGGGGCCTTCTGCTGAACTAATGGCCTCCACCTCTCCCAAGCAGCAACTCCCTCAGTTCAGCGCAGCCTTTGGCCACCAGCTGAGTTCTCACAGTGGCATTCCTAAGGACCTGCAGCCCAGCCACAGCTCTATAGCCCCTCCTACAGGCTTCACAGTAACAGGTGCCACAGCTACAAGTACCAATAATGCATCTTCTCCCTTTCCCTCCCCTAACTGAGGGTGTCTGTGTGTTTGCAGGCAGGTGGGGAACCCAGTGTTTTCTATCTTTGTTTCCTCTTTAGCACCCCTCTCCCCTTTTCCTAAAGAAGATATAACAGATGGGGATCAGAGGGGCACCCCCCTTCCCAGTTCAATGAGTGGCCCTGCAGTGGACCTCGCTACAGTGTTCACATGTGCTCCTTAGCACTGGTGCTCATTCCCTCCTGGCAGGCCCACTCCGCCCCAGTGGTTTCCTTAGTGGTTCAGCACAGTGACTGGATAGGATTGATTTTTAGCAGCAAGTCCTAGAAGTGGAAGATACCTCAGAATACCAGTGCCCTTTACTATTTCCTAGTATTCAGATCAGTGCTTTCCATTCTGTTGCCAGGTTTTTACATAGGTGGTTCTAGATAGAATGATCTTATTAATTGAGTTCCTGTATAAGAGACAGCAAATGGTGTGTGGCAGGTCAAGATTCTGACCTAGCACCAACTGCTAAACACCACAGTGAGGCCAGGATTCCATTCGTAATTGTGATCATGTTTAACTAAAAGAAAAAAATGTGTCTTTTGACTGCCTGTGAGTATGCGTGTGCCCACGCGTGTGTTTTTGTGCAGTGCAGGAAGCAGCTGTCCCATTAGTTTGATTTTTTTTTGTTCTCCCCTTCCCCCTACTTAATGAGTATAAAACTCTTACTTTTCTCCTGTCCTACATCTCACAGTCCTAATAAGGTTGGTCCTTCTTTTCCTCAAGTTTCCTGAATAGGGAGGGTGGTGGACTGGTCGTGTGAGTAGCACAACCTTTTTCTGCTAAAAGTTAGCCCAAGAAGAAACAGAACATAGAAAGCTTGGATTCCCGTCAGTGAGGTAGGGATGTCCTAAAAAGCTTGCCTGGGATGACTGCAGGCTGCCGGGGTTCTGGGGCCTGATGGTCACTTTGTCTTTTCAGACATTTGTTTGTTTCTAAATCCCTCTCTCATGGAATACATTTGCAAGATGTAATTAAAGAAAATATTTTGATGTGAAAAAGCAGGATAGGTCAGATAGATTTGAAAAGATGGGATCTGTCAACTCCTTGATCCATCTTTTGCTTTTGAATTTTTCATGTTTACAGTAGTGATTCTTTGGTAAGATTTGTAAAATGTTAAGACACTTGTAGAATCAGTGTACCAGTTGTGAAGTGATGTGTAATATCTGAAGGATACACATTTTAAAGTTTCTTTCAAAGCAGAATATGGAAATTAGATATAAATTTTATTCGCCCTTTGGTCCTTTTAAAATAATTCAAGTACTTGGGTTTAAGTAAATTTGAAAATAGCTTTGGGAAATGTTTTTAAAATGCCAGGATTTTAGGGGTTAAAGATCATATGGGGTAGTTTAGGAAGTTTGTGACTATGAGATGAATTTGTGAGGTTTCTTGCCTACCTTTTTTCCCCCCCAGAGAAGGGTGGAACTAGATTTTAAAGGCATCTCTACTCTGCTTTTGCTGAGTAGTTTCACTGTCCCTTGAGATACCATTGGCTATTTATACCTGAGTCTAGTCTAATTCACATATATATATATTTTAAAAGTTGAGAGAACATACCTATTGATGTGGTTCAATAATTCATTTGTCAGGGAATATTTGATCTTAATTCCTTTCTAATAGGTAGTGATTGGATGTATTTTCCTACTTCCTGTATGTAATCTCTTTATGCCATGCTAGTTCTAACCAGTCCCTTCTTTTGAAAGCTTTTCTTTCTCTGCTTTTTAAAGGAATGATGGTGATCAGCAGGCATTATGCAGATACCACGTGCCTGAGGTTATGGAGGGGAAATGTCACATGACTGTATGAAATCATTATATGCCCTATTTTGTATTTATTGATGTTTCTTTTTGTGGGCCAAAAATATGTTTGTAATATATTTAGTTTTTTTAAAATCATGGTAATTGATTGGAAGATTTATTTTTAATAGCTTTGCCTTTTTTGCAGAGTGCAAAATTTCTAAATTATAACTTATGTCATAAAGCAAAATTATATTTGGTATCACCATAAATTTCTATTCTGAATGGTGAGAACAGATAATTTGAATATTTCTCACCTGTGAGTCTATATTAGTAAGCTTTTTTATTTTAATGTACTGTAATGAAGTGGTCACGAGTAGTTACCTCGGCTCAAAAATGTCATTTAGTTTGTTAAACTATTTTCACAACCATCATAAGCATAACTAGATAACTGTCCATTCCCAGCAGTTCAGTTTAGTCTCCATTGTGTATTTAAAGGTTGTCGCAGAGCAGCACATTGACTTCCTCATCAGCCCTTTGACAAGGAAGGGAAAGTCGTGGGTAGTCGATTTGAACTTTTTCTGTCTACTTGTCCCCTCATGTTAGCTGCTTGAAATTCTTCAGTTATGATACAAAGCTGAGTTTGCAGTAAGTTGCACATTTTATTGTTTGCAATTTTCTGTTTTATGTGCATTTAAAAGCCCTTCTCTGCTTTCTAGTAAGGAGGCATGAAATTATCAGGAATGTTGCTAGTTACAGCTTCACACCAAAAACTTTGAGTAAATACATTTTCGTTTGGATGCCCATGATGAAAGCTGAGGAAAGTGGTTGAGGAATTATCAACAACAAACTTTTCCTCTTATTTTATCTAGTTCAAAACAGATATCAAAGTTTGCAATTTGCTTTGCTCTTGCTGTTTCTTATGAGTCCCTTTTTGGAAGAGAGGAGAACATCTATAAGCCCAGAGAGATCTGTGTTTTTCTTTTACTTAATAGAGCCATTCTCGTCTATTAGTAGGAACTTTGCTATTAATATGTATAGAAAGGAATGAAGTGGCTTTTACTCCAGAAATATGAAAATTAGTATCTTTTAAAATAGCACTTATGCTATCACAAGGCAATACTGGAATGAAAAACAAATCTTATATAAGGTCCTAAATAGGTAGAAACTAGCTTTTATTCTAGTGTTGAACCCAGGAGAAATAGTGGCAAAGAAGTTTCACTCTGTTTCTGCAGTTCTTTGGGACTATTTATAAAGGCCAGTTAGATTGTGTTACTGTGATTTAATTTACAAAGTTGCTGCAGTTAATGGATACATTCTGTGCTCTGAGAATCTGAATTCCATTCTAATGTGTGATATTCACTGGCTATGATCAGTAGTATCTGAAGAAAAGATGGGCTTTTTCTCCTTTACTCTCTCTACATAATTATTAATATTATTTTAATTAAAGTACTTAAGACATTGTTTTTTCTTCTGTAAAAATGGCTTAGCAATTTGCACATCTGGGTAGGTTATGTAGCTAGTAAACAACTCAATAGTAAGTAGCAATTATACTTAACCCACCAAGTGACAGACTATGCAATGGAAAAATTTTCTAATTATCGTCACATAGCTTAGACAGCAAAGGATTATTTTCTCTGGTGACCTACCATGTGTGATATAACTGCTTTATAAATGACTTCCTGAGCAATTTCATGTTGGCAGGCAGTGTGGTGTGTCTAGTGCCCCTCTATGAGAAGACTATAATTTAATCAGAAACAAATAGTAGGCATGGGGAGCAAGTTGGAAAGTGAGGTTATTATTTTTTTTCCTTAAAATTGGTGTTACTGTCTTTAGTGGCTTGAGGCTAAAGAAAGCTGATACTTTATCTTTGCCAAATAATTATTTATAAGATTTATTTTTAAATAAGCCCAATCTCTCACCTGCAGTTAAGAATCATCATTTTCTGTGACTGACACTAAAGCTCTTCCTTATCAGAGCTTGTTCTCAATCTGTGATCACAGTCCACAGTGGCAAAGACAACTCTTTGATTAGGAAGGAAACCATGTTTGGGATGCACAGAGGTGCCCTGTCCATACGGTTTTCTTCTTACATGAAAGAATTGACCTTTCTGTTGACCTATACCATTCTGTTTTTATAAAGTGGGATTAGAATTTGAGCATATCTAGTAAATGCCGTGTGGTCAGTCCGCTGATGCTTGCCCGCCGTCTTTGCCGTGCCTTGGCATCCTAGGGGTGCTGGTGATGGTCAGTGGGCATCATCGGTCAGCAGTGCACGTGTAAGGCAATCTCCTCTCCTCCAGGTTAGTTCAGAAGGTCGCTATGGGTTGGTATTGCAAAAAGATGAGTATATGAACACTAAACTTATTAAGAGGTTTGAAATTCATTAAAAATTAGTTTTCAGTTTCTTCATCTTTCTTTTCAGACTTCTTTAAAAATACTGTTCTTAATCTGGTATATATAGAAATCTAATATTATGGTCTTCTAAATGGTCAACAGAACTCTCCAGTTTAATGAGGCAATTTAGAGGATTCCTTGAAAGAAAATTTCATCATACTGAACAGTCCTCATTTGTATCTCTTTTGTTACCAGTATTTACATTGTTCCAAGGATTTTTTTCCTGACAAAAAATATATTTCTCGGGAGTGGAGAGTTTTTTATATATATATATGAAAGAACATAGATGTTTCCCCCCGCCCAATACATTAACTGAATCTTCACTGGCATTCTGTAGAAAAGTTAAAACAGTTTAATAATGTCTTAACATCTTTATACATTTTCCTATATTCTGGAGGAAACCAGAATCATGTTTAGTAGATTAAAGTAACATTTTAAATACTACCTTTCCAATAATTTGTAATAAAATACCAGTGAAGGACATGTTTGGATATCTGTTAAGCATTTTTCCCTGACTAATGAATTAGGAAAGAAAACATAAAACATAAATGAATAGTTATGTCTCTTCTAATAAACAGTGTCATTAATGCTGCAGTTGTGGGTCAAACTTAGGGAGCCTTATTTCTAAATAGCAAAAATTCTGTTTTCACTTCAGCCCTTATTTTTTTTTGTTAGTTTTTCTCTGCACTGTGATACAGAGCTAATAAGAGGAAATGTGACGTTTCAGAGAGAGAGCAAGCAAATTGGGTATGACTTTTTTACCCTATGTTCCCCAATACTGGGGATGTTTGGCTACTTTGAACAGCAGTTTTTAGTGATCTAAAGTTTAGATCAATACTCGTATAAGAGAAAAATCTAACTCTCAGTGAGCTCCATAGGGCAGCACAGCTTTCCATCTTCTCTTTCGCCTTCTTGCGTCTGCCCACCACAGTCCCGAAGAATGCACACGCACATATGATCTGTACCCATCCCGCCCGAAGAGTCATAGAATCCTCTTCTTTCACTTGTTTCTTTTTTCTTCGTTTGTTTGTTTTTGTTTGTTTGTTTTTTAAGCTGGGGACCACTGAAGTAAGCTCTGTATGCACCCAAAGTTCCCCTTGGAAAAATTTTCAACACGCAGTGCAGAAGGCTCCAGTGCAGCTAAATGCCACACCATTGGTTCTACCTGGGGGAATAGACTGATTTGCCCTAAAATGACTCCAACCTGCATCATTAAGGTACAGTTGGCTCCAGTGGATTAGTGCTGAAATGATGGGAAGTCTGACACTTGTTGACATTGTCTTCATCTGTTTGGAAGGGTTGAATCTGTTCCTCTCAACAGTGATAGTTCTTTTCACTGTATAGTATTGAGTATGTCTCAGGGATTCCTTGTGGAAATTAGGGCAGTTTTTAAAATAAGAAAATAGTTTTAAAAGAAACTAAAGGTGACTCATCATTGAAGAGAGCGGAAGAAAGAGGAAACATTTGGTTTTGTAGCCCACAGTGTCTTGCATAGGACTTTTTCCTTTCTCCTCCAGGCTCTCATCTCAGCTTCAGAATACAGAATCCTTTCCCATCACGCACAGCTTTAAAACTTTTATTTAAAAATTTCCTTCCCCAATGAGCTTTCAGAATACTTATTGTAGATTTTAAGAGAAAAGGTATATTAATTTATGCTATTAACATCACCTCATAAATTATAAGTTTTATACTAAAGCTGTATCGAGTGTAATGAATTATGTTGCCTATGTGTTTAATAGCTAAATATATATGAGCTTTTTTTTTTTTTTTTTTTTTTGACAAAACAAACTAGTGAAGCACCTTTTTACACTGGATCTCTGCCGTGTCAAGGTGTATAGCTATCCTTTGCTACCTTGCAGATATATAAAATAAAAGGATATCCTGGGGCCTCAAAATGTAGAACACCTTTAGACCATTTATAACTGTTCCTAGAACTGTTGAGAATCATGTTCTTTAGTAAATGATCTGTGGTTTACACTTAAGATGGCTAGAAGCTTAGTTACAGGGTACATAGAAATACATAGATCAAGTAAAACTCCAACTACTGTAGCTGGAATTTGTAAACTAAGTTTGTAAGACCTCTTTTATTTCCTATGGAGTTATTCTTTAATTTACAGTTTATTCTGTAAGTTGGGAAGTAAAATAGAGAAAATAATAAATCTAGATGTTCTCAGTGTCTTATTCAGGAACTTTTTATCCCTCCTCACTAAGGAATTCCCACTGTGACTTTAAAATAGAACTAAATTACTTGTGTGCATGTATATGTCTGTATTTTTTACACACATGCAAAAATATACATTGGGGGCACGTGTGTGAGAGATATGAATGTGTGCTTATATAAAAATAGATAAAGGTAACCGAATGTATTGTAGAAACATGATTTATTTAGTTGAGGGTATTGGAGTTACTTTCTCATTGTCTCTGTTGTATAAATACACCAAATTAATCATTATGTTATCTTATGTTAAAAGGCTAGCTCTGATATCATGTGCATTTTATGTTAACCTTTGGATTAACTTATATTATGCTATGTTCATAAAATGACATGAGAAACAGGAGGTTCTAAGATCAGCCTCTCACTTTCGAGCATAAAAATAAGAGAGGGAGACAGACAGCCCCAGACATGAGCTGTGTTTATCTATTGTGGTGATGGGACCACAGATCTATTGAATCTTTTTTATGTTAATTATAGATTTCTTTATATTCGAGTAAGAAAATATTGTTGATCATCTTTTCTTGGTGAAGTTAAGAAAAAGTATAGGCCTTTCATAAACAATTTTTGGAAGGGGCTGCTTTGTTTAAGGAGTTGGTGGGATCATTTCACCGTGCATATTTCAAAGCTGGGGTGATTTCATTTATTTCCAAAATTTTTCAAAAAACTTTTACTCAGTTCTGCTGTTATTTATTAACTTAAGAGTGCTCCCATCCCCATATTTCAGCTATAGGAAAATTGTGCTACCCCTGATTCATATGGAATTAAAAAAAAATACATCCCTTTATTTTGAGTTTTAAGTTGTTATTTTGCTATACATTTATTACTGGAGTATCTGGTGGTCTGAAATAGTCAAAAGTAGAGTTGGTATTAAATGTTCCAATGACATTTATTTTTAATACTTAAAAAATCATGTACTTTGAAATATGTCAAAGCAACTTCTGATAATATACCTGAATTTGTAGTTGTCTCTTGAGCATCATTTACTTCATCTTAGATATAGTGAAGATCTAGGAAAGCTCTATATGCTGTTCTTTTCTACAGTTGTATTTTTGCAGCATCTCCTGGTTTCATTCACTCTTGTTTTGGGATTTTTTTTTAGATCTGCATATTTCTTGTACATATGCATGCAAATGAAAGAAGGGAGTTTGTACTGGTGCCATTTCTCCCTTCAGTTGCTGGTTAATGGGATTTGCTAGAAAAAATTCTCCCGGTTGAAGGGTGAAAACAGACCCTTATGTGTATATCTGTACAGAGATGTGTATATGGGATGTGGTGGCACTTTGCTGAATGTGAACTTGCCTTGTCAATGGAAAGATTGAAAAGTATTATGTTTATTTATACATTTGTATAAATCTATATATACACGTATGTATATGTGTGTGTATAGATAAAGCTATATACATATATTTCCCTTAAAAATGTGTGTGTATAATAGGTAAACAGCCTTTGTTAAGCAAGATTAATGTCTATGGAAAGTTCTGGATTATTCTGTAAGCCAGAGGAGGTGACAGTCTAGAGTACATCATCAGAACATACTAAAATGGAAGTCCTTTGGATTATAGTTTTGTTTATGGATATTACACAATGAATGCTTGTCTGAACAGTTCTTACTTGCCAGTTCCACTATTCTTCATCTTCACCACCTTCTACTGGTCAGTCTTTCATCACTTAAAAAAAAAAAAAAAATCACACATCATTGTGGTTTTTTTCCCCCTTAATTCTGTCTCTTCTAGCCAGAAGCATCTGGCTTAAGCATATTTCATCAACTTCTCTGTTATTTCTTTTAAAGATCTTTATCTCTGAAATTTTCCCAGAAGATACAAGTTTTGGTAATATTATCAATAGGAATTTTGAGACTTGGGCATTCATCTTTGTCTCAAAAACAAACAGAAAGCCAACCTTCAAATAAAACAAATTTGAAAGTTTTAGCTCAATAATTTGGGGACATTTTACTTAAATTACAAAAGAACATAATTATGATTTTATGATCGATATTAGTGTTAGGTTTATTTCCACACTTACTGTCATTAATTTGTCATTTACATATTTTTATTTGCTTTGTAGTTTAATCATAACTTCACCATTTACATTTTAATGGAAAGCATACAAGGTCACATGTTAGCCTCTTGAATTCTGTAACTAACTCATTTTTCTCATGATGAAACTGCTTTGATGAATTCCTGTGTGATGAATTCTGCTATATTTCCTTTTGACTTTTCTCAGTTTGTGACATTCTGTATTAACTTTGCTGCAGCTCTCTAGAAAACTTGCATCCCTATATATTGTGCCTTTAAAGCTCTTATGCACACACAGACAAAAGTGTATATATACATGTCAGAGCATGTGTACATATGCTTTCGTATGTACTCACACAGTATGTCTCTAGTATATATTGTGGGAGTAGATATATAGATATTCAAAGGCAATGAAATATTGCTCTCCAGATATATATGTATATAAATAGTGTTGATATAACTGTATATACACATGTATATGTATGAGTTTTAAATGGCAATCTTTTACATTTAGCAAAATGCTGCCCCTACTGGAATATTGTCACTGCAGTGGCAGTTGTATGTAATGATTTAAAATACATTATCAAAAGTTATTTAAAGAACATTTAAAGTCTCATCTAAAGACATCCACACACTATTTATTTATCTTCCTTTTCCTTTTATTGTTGTGTTTTTCTTAACTGAAAGGGAGACTGTCATTTTAAAAATGCCATCTGTCCCATGAGAGTAAGAAAGAGCTGGAGATTCACTTGAGGAGCTTTGTGCATTTTTCCTCTCTCTGAAGTGGAGATGTTCCACAGACCAGACTGTTTATTTCACTTATAAAGCAATCCTAATATTTCCGTTAGTGTATGTCAGCCACCATCTCCTAGATCAACTTAATTCACCAATTTGCCTCCTCCTTTCATTAATAAATAATGATTATTGAGATCATTTTGCCTGGGGGAAGTTAACTACTCCCATGCTGCAGGGAAATATATCACCTAATTGTTATTTTGCCTTGTTCAAAATTCAAATTTGAAAGAAGGCAGCTCTCTCATGAAGCTGTCTTAAGCACATTTTAGTTAAGGGCCCTCCCAAACTCTTTTTTCTTTCTTTCTTTCTTTCTTTTTTTTTTTTTTTTGCGAGTTCCAAGTTGCATGTGCTTGAAATAGATTTAATTCTTATTCCCCACAGTTTAGGTATTTTTCATTAGTACATCAATTTGACACACTGAATGCAAGACTATTAAGGAAGAACGATTAAATATTATTTTATTTTGTGAAGAGTTGGCAGCAGATTACATCTCAAGAACTTGCAGAGAGAGGAAGGTAGATGGACAATCCTAAATTGTAAGATGTTACAAAAAACAGTGAAGTAAGAGTACTCCTGAAGACTAAAATAGAGAGGCTGGGGTTTGAGCCATTTTACTGAGTAGCTTAGCTGGAACCTGATATCAGAAGTAGCCTTTAACAAAAAGCCTCTTGGCAATTGTATGGTACTAACAACTAGAGTACTGAAGTGTAAGTTGAAACCAAGTTGCAGTGGGAAATCAAAGGTGAGGTAGCTTATTTGAAACCAGCAAATGAGACAGGTTGGACAGTTTTAAAATCTCTTCTAACAAAGAAACTGCACGGTAGCAAGGACTAGCGGTTCTCAAAGCCCTTCTTTTTCAGTGTTCTCATTCACCTTGGCACCCAAGTATGTTTAACAGGCCATGCATTAAAAATAAATACAAAAATATAAAAGCCGCTTAAAGGGAACTTACAAACTGACAATCTCTCCTCTGTATTTGTGTTCATAGTGGCTGGGAGTTTAATTATATGCACAAAAGTTAGGAGCCACTTGTTTCTGCACAGACTGTAGGAGCAAGATGAGGAGATGGGCAGGTTTTGGTAAGAGCCCCCAGTTCTGGTGGACAGGCATACTTGTGGCATTGGGTGCGGCATTGCTGGGAGGACCACGTCTTGGGAGGCGATTGACTTTTGGTTTGTAATTTCCCTTTAAACAAGAAGAGATGGCTCACATTTTCCATATATATCTCAATGAATGTACTGTATTACTGTTTTAAAAATTTGATGAAATAATAATGAATTGGTCTCCTTTTGTTATCTGGTCCTTGTTTAATTTGTTTAAGGGTTTTTGTATACAAAAGTTTACATTTTTATGTATATTTTTCTTGTGTAAAAACTGATGTAATATGTGTATGAAACACTGTATGTATTATCTGTATATAGTGTGACAAAATCATTTTTCTTTCTTTCTTTTGGATGTATTAATAAATCTTGCTGTGAAGTAGCCTTGTTTTTAGTTTAATTTTCTATACTGGGATATTGATGGAAGCTGCTAATCCAGGGTAAGTATTTTTCTACCTTTATTTGAATACAGTATTTTTTAATATCTTGTGTTTCACCAATAACTCTAGGCAGATATATTCATGATTTTTATGGTTGAACTAACAATAATTAATATTTGTAATAGCCGTGGATCAATCAAATTCTATCCAAAGTGATTTTTGATATGGTAACCAGCCTTTGTTCAACTAGAATTTGCATTTGAAATTGTTATATGCTATAATGGAAGTCTTACAAGCCAATTTCTGTTTCTTTAAATCAGAAGCCTCTTCTGTCTTCATTTTCATAGTTTCACAAATATAAGAACAACTTCATGTTTTATAGCCAAAATTAAAAAAACAATACAAAACTCGAAGAAACTTTTTTTTTTTTTGAAACAGCATCTTGTTCTGTTTCTCAGGCTGGAGTGCAGTGGTACAATCACGGCTCACTGCAGCCTCAACCTCCCTGGCTTGAGCAGTCCTCCCACCTCAGCCTCCTAAGTAGCTGGGACCACAGGCATGTGCCACCCCGCCTGGATATATATATTTTTTAATTATTTGTTTTTTAGAGATAGGGTCTTGCCATGTTGCCCAGGCTGGTCTTGAACTCCTGGGCTCAAGCAGTCCTCCTGCCTCAGCCTCCCAAAGTGTAGGTATTATAGGCATAAGCCACCATGCCCAGCCCTTAATTTTCTATTTTTTTGTAGAGATGGGGGTCTCACCATGTTGCCCAGACTGGTCTTGAACTCTTGGGCTCAAGCAATCCTCCCACCTTGGCCTCCCAAAGTGCTGGGACACTTTTGTTCTTTAAGGCATTGATATAGTTTGAATATTTTCACCCAAATCTCAAGTTGAAATGTAATCCACAGTGTTGGAGGTGAGACCTGGTGGGAAGTGTTTGGGTCATGGGGGCAGATTCCTCATGTCTCGGTGCTGTCCTACCGATAGTTGAGTTCTCATGAGATCTGACTGTTTAAGAGTGTGTGGCACACCCAACCATCCCCCACCCACCCCACCATCCACCCCTCTCTTTTGCTCTTGCTCCTGCCATGTGATGTGCCTGCTCCCCCTTTACCTTCCGTCTTCTGGTCTTACTCTCTTGCCCAGGCTGGAGTGCAGTAGCCACCATCCTGGCTTACTGCAGCCTTGATCTCTTGGGCTCAAGCGATCCTCCCATCTCAGCCTCCTGAGTAGCTGGGACTACAGGCGCATGCCACCATACCTGACTAATTTTGTTTGTTTTTTGTAGAGACGGAGTCTCCCTGTGTTGCCCAGGTTGGTCTTGAACTCCTGGGCTCAAGCAATCCTCCTGCCTCTGCTTCCCAAAGTGCTGGGATTATAGGCGTGAGCTGCCACCCCTAGCTTCAGGTATTTCTTTATAGCAGTGCAAGAACAGCCTAATGCAGATACTAACAACTATTTACTTGGAATTGTTTTTCAACTTTCTAATGCTATCTTTTGTTGCTGAGGGAAGCTCTAGTGTAAGTGGTTTTGTTGTACACATAGAGGCAAAAATTCACATACAAAAATTAGTAACCTTTTTTTTTTTTTTTGAGACAGAGTCTCGTTCTGTAGCCCAGGATGGAGTGCAATAGTGTGATCACTGCTCACTGCAACCTTCACCTCCCAGGCTCAAGCTATTCTTATGATCACATGTTCTTTAGAGAGTTTCGCTTAAAAAAAATTTTTTTTTGGAGACAGGATCTCGCCCTGTCACTAGGTGAGTGCAGTGGTGCCATCTTGGCTCACTTCAGCCTCGACCTCCCAGGCTCAGGTGATCCTCCCATCTCAGCCTCCCAAGTAGCTGGGACCATAGGTATGTGCCACCATCCCCAGCTAGTTTTTGTATTTTTTTTGTAGAGACAGAGTTTCACCATGTTGCCCAGGCTGGTCTCAAACAACTAGGTTCAAGGGATCTGCCTGCCTTGGGCTCCCAAATTTCTGGGATTACAAGCATGAGCCACCATGCCCAGCCAATTTTTTTTTTTATTTTTGTGGAGCAGTTGAACTTGTTTTCCTTGGTCTCTAACCCAGGCATGTTTAAGGTACATTCTAAAATTGTCCTTTGTTTCTCTAAAAGAAGTTAACATTTTGAGGCTAGAAGCAGATGGCCACAGTACTAGTAAAATGGCCACAATAACAGAACTTTTTCCATTTCTCTGCATTGGAGATTGACAAGGTATGGAGGATAATGCTTGAAATGGATTGTTCTGTTTCTTCGGTTATATGGTAGCTGATTTTAAGCTCTTCTGTTATTTTCTACTTAAGGTTGCTTCCTAAGTCTCTGCACAAACTTTTGAGATTGTGCTGGCTAAGTTCTTGACTAAGAAAAAAATAGTAGCCTTAGGAGACAAGCCTGTTAGTGTAATATTTGAGTTGAGGCAACATCTTTAAAGCGGTAGTGCTGAGATCCTGTGGATTGTGAGTGGAAGCAAAAATTGGAGTTTAGAAGATAATATATTTTTATTAATTCCCCTTTAGTATACCTCCACCTATTTGTTCTTTCTTCTGCCTCATTAAGAGGTAACGATAATTTTTTTTTTTGAGACAGAGTCTTGCTCTGTCGCCCAGGCTAGGGTGCAGTGCAGTTGGCATGATCTCAGCTCACTGTAACCTCTGCCTCCTGGGTTCAAGCAATTCTCCTGCCTTAGTCTCCCGAGTAGCTGGGACTACAGGCATGCGCCACCATGCCCAGCTAATTTTTTTGTATTTTTAGTAGAGATGGGGTTTTGCCATGTTGGCCAGGCTGGTCTCAAACTCATGACCTCAGGTGATCTGCCCGTGGCCTCCCAAAGTGCTGGGAATACAGGCGTGAGCCACTGTGCCTGGCCTAACAATAGTTCTTTAAAAAGCCTGTATTGGCTGGGCATGGTGGCTCACACCTGTAATCCTAGCACATTTGGGAGGCTGAGGCAGGAGAATTGCTTAAGCACAGGAGTTCAAGACCATCCTGGGCAACAAAGTGAAACCTGTTTCTCTTTTTTTTTAACCCTGTATTGTTTAAAGACCTTATTTGCATTAATTTGTACCTTCCAGCAATATGTGGGTCTAAACATTAAGGTGATTTTCTTAGCCTGTTTTGTGCTGCTATCACAATACCAGAGACTGATTAATTTATAAAGAACCAAAATTTATTTCTGACAGTTACAGAGGCTGGGAAGACCAAGATCAAGGCACCAGCATCTGGTGAGGGCTGCTGCTGAGACACTGTGTCCTCCATAGAGGGGTAATACTGTGTTCTCACCTGGCAGAGGGCGGAAGGGCAAAGAGAGACAAACTTCCTCATCAAACTCTTCTACAGTGGCATTAATCCATTGATCAGGGCACAGCCCTCATGACCTAAACATCTCTTAAAATGCCCCACCTCTCAACATTTGCACTGGGGATTACATTTCCAGCACATGAATTTGAGACACATCAGACCATATCAGTGATGTTATTTTGTTCCTTTCACAGAAATGTCTTTTGGAAAAGTCCTCTTTAACATGTTGTGACTATAGTCAGTTATTTTTCCGACTTCAAATCCCTGTGATGGAAAGATGATGCTCATCACTTAGCACCCTGAAGTTTCAGTCAACCTCATGGTAGTATGCTATTGCTGTTTCTCCCATCTTTCCAGTTTTCTGTCTTTCTGACCTTGCATTCATTTTTATACATTTAGTTATATTTTTGGGCAGTTTGTGTTGGGGACAGTGAGACACATGAGAATGAATCACAACTGGATTCTACACCCAAAGGATTTTGCCACCTAGTAGGAGAGTGTTGCATAACCATCTGTGCAAACAAGAAAGACACTGTCAACTGCCTAGTAGAATGATAAAATGCTGTGTAAGCTCAAGTCAGGAAGACATAATTTGCAACCAAAGGATAGAGCAAATTTTCTAGAGGAGAGCAATTTCGAACTCCTGATGTCAAGTGATCCACCCACCTCAGCCTCCGAAGTGCTGGGATTACAGGCGAGAGCCACTGTGCCCCTCCCTGAGTAGAGTGATCTGAACAGAGCATCCACAGATGGGCGGTGTTTGGACATTCAGAAATGGAGAAGGTGTTCCAGGAGAAGCAAGCAGCATGAGCAGTTGGGATACCTCGTAGTTTGTGTAAGGACACTGAGCAGTTGAGCTTGTCTGGAGTCTAACGTGAGGGAGAGGGGTGAGGAGCAGAGAAGCTAATGGGTGACTGAGCATAAGGAATGTGGAAGGCTGGAATGGGAGTGATGATCAGCGGGGACTCAGGAAATCTAATTTTTCCTCTCGATCGAGGTAAGATTGCAGTGAGATGATTTGGGAGGGGGCTACTGCAGTAGTCAGGCTAGATAATGAAGTCGCACTTACTTGTGGAAGTAAAAATGGAAGGAAAGGGGAGATCAAAACAACTTGGAAACAGAGTGATAAGATGTGAGCGGCAGGGGAGAGGAGAGAGCCAAAGATGTTTCACCCCTGGGTTTCTGGAAGAGTGGTGGTGCCAGTGACGGAAGTGGGCAGCATGGCTGTGAACACTCTACAGTTTGGAGAGGGCCAGTGGGTTCTGAGTACACATAGTTTGAGCTGGGATCAGGGGCCAGGGGGAGATGGCCAGCTCCCCTTCCGCTAGCACTCAGAAGAGAGGCCCAAGCCGGAGGTACAGATGGGGAGGCTGTGGGCATAGAATTGAATGTTGAAGCCAGCTGTAAATGATCAAGGAAGAAAGCTAAGAACATATTTGGGGGAACAGCTGTTATCTATTTGTATTTTATTTTATTTTATTTTATTTTATTTTATTTTATTTTTTTATTTTATTTTATTTTATTTTATTTTATTTTATTTTATTTATTTTATTTATTTTATTTATTTTATTTATTTTATTTTATTTATTTTATTTATTTTATTTTATTTTATTTTATTTTATTTTATTTTATTTTATTATTTTATTTTATTTTATTTATTTTATTTTATTTTAGTTACAGGCCCAAAAAGAGACCTTAAATCATGTTTCCAGAGTCTCCCAGCTAGCAAATTATGGAGCTGGTATTCCAGTGCTATCGGGCTAGCTCTCCTCCCCGACGCTCTCTGAAGGGGAAAGTCAGCCCCTTCCCCAACCCTGGCGTTGTGAGGGCCTGAGCATGTGCACTTGCCTCCCCGTCATGCTCATTGTAATGACTTGTTTGTGTCCCCTTCTGGAAGGTATGCTCCCGTATCTACTTCCTTAATTCCAAAAAGCTCAGTCCCTAGCACAGCCTGCTTCCCAGTGTCAGCACATAGTAAATATTACTGAATGAAGTTAGTACTCCAAAGAGACTGAGGGGGTCTAGTGAGAAGCAGTATAGCAGTTGGTTAAGGCTGTGGCTTTGGGAGCCAGACTTCCTAGGTTCTAATCTTGACTCCAAGCTGTGTGATCTTAGGCAGGTCATTTATCCTCTCTCTCCTTCAGTTTCCTCATCTGTAAAATGCATTTTTGCATTGAGAGGATTGCAGAACAGAACCTATGTAAAGCACTTAGAATAGTCCTTGGCATATACTAAGTACTTAGTAAATTTTAGTTAGGCTTCTTTTATAACTAGAAGGAAAGACTGAAGATAAACAACATAGGCTATTTCCAGAAGGAAGTGTCCTGGGGAAATGAACAAGAGAACAGAGGTTAGCTGCAAATGAGGAAGATGGAGATAGGCTGAGAGCTTGGGAAGAAATTTCTGATCATAAGGAATGTCTGCTGCTGATTTTTTAAATACAAGAGGATATAGGTAACCAGCATATGTGGTTACTCTTACCCAACCAAGTTTCCAAATATTCGAGGATGCATTCAGTTATGGGAATCCTGTTAGTTGAAAATATAAGGCCGGGCATGGTGGCTCATGCCTGTAATCCCAGCTCTTTGGGAGGCTGAGGTGGGCGGATCACGAGGTCAGGCGATCGAGACCATCCTAGCTAACACCGTGAAACCCTGTCTCTACTAAAAATGCAAAAATTAGCCAGACGTGGTGGTGCACACCTGTAATCCCAGCTACTCAGGAGGCTGAGGCAGGAGAATCACTTGAACCCGGGAGGCAGAGGTTGCAGTGAGCCGAGATTGTGCCACTGCACTCCAGCTTGGGCAAGAGCAAAACTCCGTCTCAAAAAAAAAAAAAAAAAGAGAAAAATATAAATTTACCTTTGCTTTGAAACTTCAAAAAATTCTCCTACATTTTATCTTACATACTACAAAGCATCATTTAATGGAAGAAAATATATCATGGTATCCTGACTTAAAGAAGATACTTTGGGATAGAAACTACTTAAGAAAATAAAATATAGGCCAGGCGCAGTGGCTCACGCCTGTAATCCCAGCACTTTGGGAGGCCAAGGTGGGTGGATCACCTCAGGTCAGGAGTTCGAGACCACTCTAACCAATATGGTGAAACCCCATCCCTACTACATCCAAAAAATTAGCCAGGTGTGGTGGCGCATGCCTGTAATCCCAGCTACTTAGGAGGCAGAAGCAGGAGAATCGCTTGAACCCAGGAGGCAGAGGTTGGAGTGAGCCGAGATTGTGCCATTCCACTCCAGCCTGGGCAATTCTGTCTCAAGAAAAAAAGAAAGAAAAGAAAATATAGAGCTGGGTGCAGTGGTGCACACCTGTATTCGCAGCTACTCAGAGGCAGAAGCAGAAGGACCCTTTGAGCCCAGGAGTTTGAGGCCAACATGGGAAACATAGCAAGACCCCATGTCTAAAAGAAAAGAAAATATGACTATAAGTATAAAGAATTAGTAGACTCTGGTCCTTTATCAGAAGATGTGCATGTCCCACTGTAGACCCAGCTACTGGGGAGGCTGAGGCAAGAGAATCGCTTGAACCTGGGAGGCAGAGGTTGCAGTGAGCCAAGATTGCGCCACTGCACTCCAGCCTGGGTGACAGAGTGAGACTGTGTCTCAAAAATAAATAAAAAATGATAAAAAATATAAACTATTTTTCAACATAAGCTCCATCAAATTCAAGATACTTTTGCTAAACTAAAAAGTAGAGGATGGGCGCAGAGGCTCACACCTGTAATCCCAGCACTTCTGGAGGCTGAGGCAGGTGGATCACTTGAGGTCAGGAGTTTGAGACCAGCCTGGCCAACATGGTGAAACCCCATCTCTACTAAAATTACAAAAATTAGCTGGGCATGGTGGGGGGCGCCGTAATTCCAGCTACTCTGGAGGCTGAGGCATGAGAATCGCTTGAACCCAGGAGGCGGAAGCTGTACTGAGCCGACATCGCGCCACTGCACTCCAGCCTGGATGACGGAGTGAGACTCTATCTCAAAAAACACTAAATAAATAAAAAGTAGAAATCTAAGAAGCTAGACCATATGTCACCTCCACAGTACATAGAGGCCAAATATACTGTCCCACAATGCTTATTACTCTCAGTACCAATGTCTATTCTTGAAGACTAAAATCTTCCCTCCCCTTATTCCTTTAATTGCAGTCCTTTCTTTGTACTGGTCAACATTATACCTGCTCTTTCCACTGACTGTCACTCCTTAACCCATTGCAGTTTAGCTTTCACCTTGTTATTTGCCTGCAACTATTCTTTCTGAGGCCATCCATGCCCTTTGATGTCATTCTATTTAGCCTCTCTTGAACCAGTCAAGACTGATAACATTGCATTGTTTCTTTTCTCCACTTTATTCCCATATGATGCTTTTTCTGGGCTCTTTGTCAGTTCCAATTCTTCATCATCACTCCTCAGCCTTCTCTTTTGTTCTTACTCTGTACATGAGCTCCCAGTTTAGGATCCTTCTATGCCCTGGCTTAAACATTGACCTCCCTGGAGATTAACTTGAAAATTGTACCTACTGCTCTGATTACTCTCAAACTTTGGCCTCACATCTCCTGCTCCTTCCTGAGGACTCCCACCTTGATATCCAGCCATCATTCTAAATTTAGCTTGTCTAAATCCAAAGTTAACATCTTTTCCTTTTTGACCAGCTCTCACTGTGAACTTTTGCCTTTATTCACTTGCTCTTTTAATTATTCATTCTTTGAACAAATATGAAGACTCCCAACTCACACCAGTATCCGTAGTCATCTTGATTTCTCCCAGTGTTGCAGGTTTTCCTCACTTGCTGACCAAACTCATGCAATCATTTCCTAACAGATAACCCTCCGGAGGTTGCAGTGAGCCGAGATCACACCACTGCACTCCAGCCTGGGAGACAGAGCAAGACCTTGTCTCAAAGAAAATAAAAATAATAAAAATAAAAATCCTTATTGCTGGAGATAATGGTTCAATGCATATAGCAGAACCTGGATAAATTGTTGCCCATTATGATGCTAGAAGACGCCAAATAATATATTTGATTTTTTTTTGAGTGAGGGAGAATAAGGAACCTTCAAATATATCTTGGTATTCAAAATTGGCAATTTTTTCTATAACTCCAATTTGTCACAGAATATGTTAGATTGTCAGCATTTCATTAATCCGTGTTCTGTCTCCCCTAAAAATTGTGTGCAGAAAAAAGTATGCACAGAATATTAATCATTAAGAACATGCATCTAGCGCCTTTTTTGTTTTATTTAATTTTTATATACAGATAGAATAGCAGTGCCAAAATTGTATTTGAATTTTGGTATCAAAAGTATAATGTGATGTCCTGCTTGTGGATATTACCTACATTTCCCTCTGAAAATGATAAGCTTGAAGCTCTGTTTACTTGTATTATTATCACTTGTTTCTCTTATCATACTCCTGTTTAATTAACAGGTTACTTGACAAAATAAATGTATTCCTGAAAAGTTGGCAGTAAATCTGATTTATATTAATTAGTCATATTTTCTTATTGACACAAATTACCAAATTAGAGATGCTTTTTTTGGAAAGTGTTTTGGTTGTGAGACTAAATTAAAACCTTGCTTTAAAATGCAATGGAATAATGAAGTATTAAAATCACATCTTCTTAAGTATCTGGATAAAACAATGCTTTAAAAAATAAATTACTAAGATTTTAGCAATTCTTGATGCCACTGAACTAGTCTGGTAAAAAAAAAAAGTGTTTTTTTAAAGGCATAATTTCAGCTTCAGAATAGTAGCATTCTCAGTAGAAGTTTCAGTTTTGCTTTGGAACAATTTCTAACTGGTGCAGTTTTGTTTTGGTAAAAGCGAAAACTTGCGTCGCAATTTAGAAGTGGGTAGTCCACTAGAAGCAGCCTTGGACCGTGAGGAAATGGTTGAGCTCAAGCTGTTTCTCCAAAGTAGAAGTGTAACCTCGGAAAATCATCTCACCTTTCTGGACCTTCGGTTCCTCATCTGTAAACTAAGAGAATTAGGCCAGATTAGTAGTTTCTTTTTTCTTTCTTTCTTTTTCTTTTTTTTTTTTTTTTTTGAGACAGTGTGTCCGTCCCTGTGTTGCCCAGGCTGGAGTGCAGTGGTAGGATCTCGGCTCACTACAACCTCCGCCTCCCGGGTTCAAGCGATTCTCCTGCCTCAGCCTCCTGAGTAGCTGGGATTACAGGCACGCATCGCCAGGCCCGGCTAATTTTTTTGTATTTTTAGTAGAGACGGAGTTTTGCCATGTTGGCCAGGCTGGTCTCGAACTCCTGACCTCAAGTGATCCACCCACCTCGGCCTTCCAAAGTGCTGGGATCATAGGCGTTAGCCACTGTGCCCGGCCCATGTGGTTTTTTTGCTGTTAAAGGAAATGATATATACAGTGGTCTATTTCCAAGACAAAGTGCCTTGAATCAGCTTAGGTCAGCAAACTACAGAAGAAACAGCATATACTAGGCCTCTGCTTGGATAGCCAACACCTGCTTGTCGGCCTCCCCCCTCCCCCTCCAACCCCCTTAGTTGCCTTTACCCGAACCAAAGTTTAGTCTAAGATGAAAGTTTACTAGTCTGCAAGATAGCTCGCTTTGTCTATTCTTATCAGCCTGCCCAGCTACTTAGGTCCTAAGTCAAATACCCGAAGAGCCCCTGAGCTAACTAGGATTGCAATGCATTGTGGGCTGCAAAAAAAAAAATGCAGCAAGACAACCCTAAAGAAACCATCTAAATCCCCTACCCAACAATCATAGGCGATGTCTGGGAAGATTGTGACCCCATCGTCCTCAGCCTATGAGGAACTGGGGAAGGGACCTGCGCACTAGGGGACAAATTGCTTGTTGAAACTGTGCTGGGTGTTCCCATTCATCAGACACCCAATCTTGCAAGACCATCATTAAAAGTCTCACTTTCACGGTTCTCCCGGTCTCTTGAGTCCATTCTTTGGGTGTGGACAGGTGAGTTTTTTTCTCACAATGTCAAGTAGCATTTCCAGATCCCTGTGTTAGGAATGGTCTAAAGTGTCCTGTTATGCTGTGTCCAATGGGCTTTCACTAGCCCTTTGCCCATGGTAGATTCCCGTCTTAATGAACCAATACTGCCCATGTGACCTCTTTCCCTTGTGGGGACTCAGCTTGCTAATCAGAGCCCTTTTGACTATTTTTACGGACGTCTGCATGTCACTCTTCCCTCTCTTTCATAATCTTTCCCAAGAGACTCTTTAATTCCACCATGGCCTAGGGTAATGACTCCACCATGATGTCCTCGTCATCTGTGCAAGTCTCCACATAGGCCACATAGGCAAAGCTTAACCGCAACTGATCTAAGTCTTGGAATAGTGCCCTGTGATTGTCCCAGAACATGAGGAGATGCCCTAAGGCCATTTCCCACTCACCTCCCCATCTTCCATGGAGGCCGTCATGGGACACTCTCATTGTTTCTTGGGTTCTGATTGAGGTATGAGGCCTTGTCTTTACCCTTAGGGAATAGCTGCAGGCTATAAAATTGCTTAGTTGCAGCATGCCACAGGCTTCTCAGCTAGAGTGTGCTATCATCCATGCTGTCATCTGGCCACTTTTGTTTCAGTGTTGCCTTATGGGACAAAGGACATGAGGAACTGGCCTCTTTGTTTTTTGTTTTTGGGGTTGCTGTTGTTGTTTGATGTCTAAGCAATAAACTAAGTTCAACAGGGTATAAGTCTTGTTGTTTCTCTACTGGACAAATCTGCCAGCCTTGCTGGACACATGGCAGTTATCAGTGGACATGTTATATCTGTCCCTGCCACTCTTCCAATTTTTTTCCAAGTATGCTGCAGAAAAATTTTAAAAGTACTAACATGCTATGAAACAAATTAGATCGGAGAGTACTTTCCCAGATTGTATTTTAAAGGCATCTTCTCAGCTGTGGCCATTCCTCATTATTGGAAGCAACTTACTCATCCTTTCTGAAAAGTGTTTCCTCTGGAGCAAACTTGTAACCCAGTCACTGGTTGGTGTCACGAAAATGTTTGGAGTAGTTTCAGTACCATTAAGAATGTTTGGGGCCGGGCGCGGTGGCTCACGCCTGTAATCCCAGCACTTCGGGAGGCCGAGGTGGGCGGATCAGGAGGTCAGGAGATCGAGACCATCCTGGCTAACATGGTGAAACCCCGTCTATATTAAAAATACAAAAACAATTAGCTGGGCGTGGTGGTGGGTGCCTGTAGTCCCAGCTACTCAGGAGGCTGAGGCAGGAGAATGGCATGAACCAGGGAGGCGGAGCTCGCAGTGAGCTGAGATTGCGCCACTGCACTCCAGCCTGGGCAACAGAGCGAGACTCCATCTCAAAAAAAAAAAAAAAAAGAATGTTGTGGAATAATGACCTTGGAGCCTAAGTTCATCAGTTATTCAAGGACTAATTATCTGTTCTGTTTATTACCCTAGCTTCTCTGCTCTCCTAACTACTCCACTGACTGCTTGTCTTACAGACATTTTATGCTGTATAAGCACATGTGAGTAGGGGAAATAAGGAACTTCAGTCAGTACTGATGCTTCAAAAGTTGTAATTGAATAATTTAGGGGTAGGAGGCTTTTTATTTAAAAGATCTTTTTTTTTCTTTTTTTTTTTTTTTACATCCCCACCCCCTGGGAGGCTTTTTAAGGAACTAGTGGGATTTAGTTATTCTAGTAGTCCTAACGTTGCCTCGGTATTAATAAACAGTGCACAATATTCTTAAACGTTTATCTCTATTTGAAGTGTGGAATATCAGAGCTGGAAGGTTAATTTAGACTAACTCCCGTAATGCAAGAACCATCCTTCACGTGTGAAGTTTTCTAATTTTTTTTTTTTTTTTAGATGGAGTCTCACTCTGACACCCAGGCCAGAGTGCAGTGGTGTGATCTCGGCTCACTGCAACCTCCACCACCCGGGTTCAAGCGATTCTCCTGCCTCAGCCTCCTGAGTAGCTGGGACTACAGGCTACTAGTCCCAGTGCCACCACACCCGGCTAATTTTTGTATTTTTAGTAGAGACAGGGTTTCACCATATTAGCCAGGCTGGTCTCGAACTCCAGACCTTGTGATCCGCCTGCCTTGGACTCCCAAAGTGCTGGAATTACAGGCATGAGCCACTGCACCTGGCTAAGTCTTCTATCTTTACTCCCTCTCAAGTAGCCCATCCCATTACTGGATATCTCTATTAAGAACATATTATACTTAGATGAAATCTAGAAATTCCAGCCATTGGTGTGTATTCTGCATTTGGGGGTCACATATCGAGTATTACTTTTCTTCCCCACAATAAAGATCTGGGTTCTGCCATAGACTTGTTTAACAAATGTTTTAACTTCTCCGGCCTTCCATTTCTTTCTCTGTGAAAGAAAGAAGTTGAATAATAGTATTTAAAGTATCTTGTAGGTTTTTTTTTTTTTTTTTTTTTTGAGATGGAGTTTCACTGTTGTCGCCCAGGCTGGAGTGCAATGATGTGATCTTGGCTCACTGCAACCTCCACCTCCTGGGTTCAAGCGATTCTACTGCCTCAGCCTCCTGAGTAGCTGGGATTACAGGTGTGTGCCACCACACTTGGCTAATTTTTGTATTTTTAGTAGAGATGGGGTTTCACCATGTTGGCCAGGCTGGTCTCGAACTCCTGACCTCAGGTGATCCACCTGCATTGGCCTCCCAAAGTGCTGGCATTACAGGCGTGAGCCACCGTGCCCGGCCCAGTATCTTCTAGTTCTAAAAGTCTAGGGTCCTTAGATTTTAGTATAGTCAAGTCAGTGTTTCCATTTATTGATTTCAGGTTATTCCTTAAAAATTGAATTATAGGCTGAACACAGTGGCTCATGGCTGTAATTTCAGCACTTTGGGAGGCTGAGGCAGGAGGATTGCTTGAGCCTGAGTTTGAGGCCAGCCAGGGCAACATGGCGAAACCTCATCTCTACAAAAAGTACAAAAATTAGTAGGTGTGGTGACATGCACCCTGTAGTCCCAGCTATTCAGGAGGCTGAGGTGGGAGGATTGCTTGAGCTTGGGAGGCAGAGGTTGCAGTTACCTGAGACAGTACCACTGCACTCCAGCCTGGGCAACAGAGCAAGAACCTGTCTCAAAAAAAAAAAAAAAAAAAAAAGAATTATAAAGGGTCTGAGATATGGTCTGAGAGATGATTTTATGGTCACTAAATTCAAGTATACCCTTAATGCTGTCTGGCAAAGTGAAAGTGTCCCTTCACTCTTCTCCCTCTCCTAGACGATACATTCATACTTTTTCCTCTTTTCTCAGACCTCAACTCATACCTTGTCCTCACCTTTAGCAGATATCGTTGTTTCCTATTTCACTCAGAAAATTTAAGAAATCAAAGAAAAGTTCTACATTCTCCCACTACACACTGGAAGAGACATCTGTTCCTGTTCACTCCGCCTTCTTGTTTCCATGGATGATGGGTCTGTGCTCCTAGCAAGGGCCTGCCCTTCCACTCGGACATGGATCCCACACCCTTTCATTCATCAAAGACACCTTGCTATGGCCTGAATGGCGATGTCCTCCCCAAATTCCTATGTTGAACTCCTAACCCCCAGGGTGGTGATATCAGGAGGTTGGGCTTTGGGAGATGATTAGGTCATGAGGGTGGAGCCCTCCTGATAGGATAGGTGCCCTTATGGAAGAGGTGCAAGGGAGCTCCTGTACTCCTTCCACCAGGTAAGGCTAGGGCAAGAAGGTCCCAACTATGAACCAGAAAGTGGGCCCTTCCCAGGCTGGATTTTCCAGCTTCCTGATCTTGGACTTTTAGCCTCCAGAGTTGTGAGAAATAAACTTCTTTTGTTTATAAGCCCCCAGTTATGGAATTTGTTATAATAGTCCAAATGGACTGAGACATGCTGCTCTAGTAATTCTCCCTTCTCTCCTCTATTGTAAGTGTTTCCCTATCTAAAGGATCATTTCCATTTACATACAAACATGCTATTATTATGTTTCACATTTTAAAACTAAAACCAATAACACAGTGTGTATATATATACACACACACATATACATATGTGTGTATATATATCAACTTGAAACATATATATACATATTGATAGAAAGGTGTTGGCAGATTTGGACAGGAAGGGATCTAGGACAGGTACCCAGGACAACTGTCTTCAAGTATTTAAAGAATAGGGATTACATGTATTTCATGAAGTTCTGGAAAATAGTACATGGATTAGTGGCTGAACATTAAATGAAGGTAAATTTCAACTTCATAGCAATAACTTTGTAATATTTCTTAAAAATTGGAGAGGATGTCTTATTCGGGTAGTGAATTCTTTCTGGAAATTTTCAAGGAAAGTCTGGCTGTCCTTGTTTCAGAGGAATTCCTGCTTTGATAGGTGTATTAGTCCGTTTTCATGCTGCTGATAAAGACATACCCAAGACTAGGAAGAAAAAGAGGTTTAATGGACTCACAGTTCTATGTGGCTGGGGAGGCCTCACAATCATGGCAGAAGGCAAGGAGGGGCAAGTCACATCTTACATGGATGGCAGCAGGCAAAAAAAGAAAGAGCTTGTGTAAGGAAACTCCCCCTTATAAAACCATCAGATCTCATCAGACTTATTCACTATCATGAGAACAGCATGGGAAAGACCTGCCCTCATGATTTGATTGCCTCCCACTGGGTTCCTCCCACAACACATGGGAATTCAAGATGAGATTTGGGTGGGGACACAGCCAAACCATATCATCGGGGTGAAGTCCTATAGATCTATGACTTCCATAAACAAATCCTGTGGGCAAGTCAGAAGTGATCCTCTCATGCTGGCTTTACCTGAGTAAAGACTGTGGTTTCAAGCCTGCTCCTATCTCTAAGCTAAGGCAGGGACATTAAACTCCAGAATTCATCTTCTTGTGTATAACCTGGGAACCAAGAGTAAAGAAGCAAGAAGGCAAATAGAGGTTAAGAGCTTAGAACTCTTTCCTTTTTTCTCTTTATATTTACTTACTTTCCTTTTTCCTTCTTATTTTCTCCTTTATTTTCTTCCTTTTGTGTCCGGAATTGGTGGGTTCTTGGTCTCACTGACTTCAAGAACGAAGCCGCAGACCCTCGCGGTGAGTGTTACAGTTCTTAAAGGTGGCGTGTCCGGAGTTTGTTTGCTCCTTCTGATGTTCGGATGTGTTCGGAGTTTCTTCCTTTTAGTGGGTTCATGGTCTCGCTGGCTCAGGAGTGAAGCTGCAGACCTTCGCAGTGAGTGTTACAGTTCTTAAGGCTACCTGCCTGGAGTTGTTCGTTCCTCCTGGTGGGTTTGTGGTCTCGCTGGCTTCAGGTGTGAAGCTGCAGACTGTCACGGTGAGTGTTACAGTTCATAAAGGCAGCGTGGACCCAGAGTGAGCAGTAGCAACATTTATCACAAAGAGCG
This sequence comes from Homo sapiens, assembly GCF_000001405.40. Taxonomy (NCBI): domain Eukaryota; kingdom Metazoa; phylum Chordata; class Mammalia; order Primates; family Hominidae; genus Homo; species Homo sapiens. The sequence goes on along the minus strand of NW_015495299.1, from coordinate 87,075 downwards.
AAAGAACAAAGCTTCCACAGCGTGTAACTGGACCGAGTGGGTTGCCACTGCTAGCTCGGGCAGCCTGCTTTTATTCTCTTATCTGGCCCCACCCACATCCTGCTAATTGGTCCATTTTACAGAGAGCTGATTGGTCCATTTTGACAGGGTGCTGATTGGTGCGTTTACAATCCCTGAGTGAGACACAAAAGTTCTCCATGTCCCCACTAGGTTAGCTAGATACAGAGTGTCGATTGGTGTATTTACAAACCCTGAGCTAGACACAGAGTGCTGATTGGTGCATTTACAAACCTTTAGCTAGACATAAAGATTCTCCAAGTCCCCACCAGACTAACTAGATAGAGTGCCGATTGGTGCATTCACAATCCCTTAGCTAGACATAAATGTTCTCCAAGTCCCCGCCAGACTCAGGAGCCCAGCTGGCTTCACCCAGTGGATCCCGCACAGGGGCCGCAGGTGAAGCTGCCTGCCAGTCCCGCACCATGCGCCAGCACTCCTCAGCCCTTGGGCCGTGGATGGGACTGGGCGCCGTGGAGCAGGGAGCAGTGCTCGTCAGGGAGGCTCGGGCTGCACAGGAGCCCACAGCAGGTCGGGGGAGGCTCAGGCATGGTGGGCTGCAGGTCCCCAGCCCTGCCCTGCAGGGAGGCAGCTAAGGCCCAGCCAGAAATCGAGCACAGCAGCTGCTGGCCCAGGTGCTAAGCCCCTCACTGCCCAGGGCTTGCGGGCCTGCCGGCTCCCAGTGTGGGGCTTGCCGAGCCCATGCCCACTGGGAACTCACGCTGGCCTGCAAGCGCTGCGCGCAGCCCCGGTTCCCGCCCGCGCCTCTCCCTCCACACCTCCCCGCGAGCTGAGGGAGCCGGCTCCGGCCTTGGCCAGCCCAGAAAGGTGCTCCCACAGTGCAGCGGTGGACTGAAGGGCTCCTCAAGCGCGGCCAGAGTGAGCGCCAAGGCCGAGGAGGCGCCGAGAGCGTGCGAGGGCTGCCAGCATGCTGTCACCTCTCTCTTTCCCTCTTTGACTTCTTTTTTTTTTTTTTTTTCCCCGAGTCGGAGTTTCACCCTTGTTGCCCAGGCTGGAGTGCAATGGCACAATCTCAGCTCACTGCAACCTCCACCTCCCGGGTTCCAGCGATTCTCCTGCCTCAGCCTCCTGAGTAGCTGGGATTACAGGCACGCGCCACCACGCCCTGATAATTTTGTATTTTTAGTAGACACGGGGTTTCTCCATGTTGGTCAGGCTGGTCTCAAACTCCGGACCTCAGGTGATCCGCCCGCCTCGGCCTCCCGAAGTTCTGTGATTACAGGCGTGAGCCACCACGCCCCATGACTTCATTTTTGATACTAAATTCAGGCCACAGGATTGGTGAGCTTGGCTGTGGCCTGAGGGTCCGGAACCTGGATCTCAGCAGCACCCAGTCAAGGAAGGGCGGTGAGGAAGCAGGCATGGGAAGTAGTTGAGGAGCTCTAGGGCTTCTCCCTTGGGATGCCTCCCACCCACCAGTCTTGGCCACCTTACTTCGCAACGTGCTTGCTAGATTCTCTGTTGGAGGGCTCCGAACTGCAAAAGCCCTCCTTCCCCTCCTGGAACCATGGCCCTTCTTGTTTTTGATAAGCAGACCTCAAAAGACATGATGTTTCTCTTCTCCGTTTCTGAGACTCCGTTTCTGAGTCTCTATGACCTCTTAGAAGACTCTCAATAGGAGCCAATAGAGTAGAATAATTCCCCGTAGTGTTGGCTGCTTCGCGGCATGGCTGCTTAGGGAGTCCAGAACCACTGAGGAGCCCCAGGGGCCATGCTGTCTTGTACATAGCCACTGCCCTTATGGGACTACTGAGCCCTTGAAGCCTGGTTAGCTGGAATAAGAGGTTCCTTAAGGGTAAATACCTGCCAGCTTTCGAATACTTCGTATGAAAAAAAGAATGTAAAACACCTCATAAATAAAATTTTCTATTGGTTTCATATTGCAATGATAACATTTTAAGTTATTAAGTTAAATAATATATTATTAAAATGAATTTTACCTGTTTCTTAACTTTTTAGTGCAGCTACCAGAATAGTTAAAATTATGTACAGGGGCTTGCATTTTTGCCTTGCTTTATGTTTCTGTTGAACAGTGATGCCTTAATATCTTGCTACTTTAAAGTGTGGTCCCTGTACCACCAGCAGCGGCAGCAGCAATAGCAGCAGCATTTCCTGACAGCTTGTTAGAGATGCAGCGTGTCAGTGCCCACCCCAGACCTAAAGGATCAAAATCTGCATTTTAACCAGATGCCCAGGGTTTCAGGTGCAATGCAAGTATGAGAAGTGCCTCTCCCTCTGCCACCATAGAGGCCTTCCTGTAGGTTTAGCATATCCATCTGCTACCAGGAATGCATTCTAGAATGGCTACTGCACTGTGGCATGCTAAGCAGCACGTACAAGGCTGTCAATATATTGCTGCTGAAACTGTTATTGTTTTCCTGTCTCCCAGTATGGACTGTTTGGGTCAAGTTGAACTTCCAGAGAGAGACTGGTGTTTGATAACATTGAACACATTGGGTTGGGAGATGGGGTTGGGGAGAAACAGGGTGTGTCACAGGAGAGGAGGAAGTACAGAGAACAAGACAAAGTCCTTGTTTGTGCACTCCAGTTAATGTTTAACTTTACCTTGGAGAAAGAAGTGGTTGAGAGGGTGGACTTTAGTTTCTGGTTCTTTTTCTGAAAAAATATGTGGACTTAGTTTGATTATCCTCCTGTCTTGAAGAATTGCAGCTGTTGGGAATACATTGGGCCATTTTATACCCAAGTCTCGTGAACTAGGGGACTGAGCCAAGTAGGGAAAGGTCTGGGCTTTTCCTTTGTGGTCTGGTTTTCTGCTCTGCTCTGGATGAATAAACAAGTCATTTAGCCACATGAAACCTCAGTGAGATATCCCACCTCTGAATTAGGAATTTGTGTTTTGAAAACGGGAATGAATAAATGACTCAAGTAGAATGTTTAATAGCACTATTGAGCTATAGTTTACATGCCATAAAATTCACTCATTTTAAGTGCACAATTTATAACAGAATTTTTATTATAAACAAGTAGAAAAGTAATGACACTTTTCTCAGTCCTCTTGGATCAGATTGAATCATATGAAATTGTGGATGTTTAACTGTTTTTGACCTACAATGTGATTCAATCATAACTGAAATGCCCTTTTTCAAAATTCTTTCAGAGCAAGAAAATATTTTCCCAGAGAATTTTCCAGCTAATGAGATGTCCTCCCACATTCCGTATCTCTCTTTGAAGTAAACTGTAATAGATGTGTTGCTGTGTATATTTTATTCCTTTATACCTTCATTTTGAAACAAACTTTAAATAACCTCTAAACTGGACAAAATTACTTTTCCTTTGCAGAAACCACATCTTTATGTCTTCTTTATAAACTTTTCTTTTCTTTTCTTTTCTTTTTGAGACGGAGTCTCGCTCTGTCACCCAGGCTGGAGTGCAGTGGCGCGATCTCGGCTCACTGCAGGCTCCGCCCCCTGGGTTCACACCATTCTCCTGCCTCAGCCTCCCGAGTAGCTGGGACTACAGGCGCCTGAGACCACGCCCGGCTAATTTTTTGTGTTTTTAGTAGAGACGGGGTTTCACCGTGTTAGCCAGGATGGTCTCGATCTCCTGATCTCCTGATCTGCCCGCCTCGGCCTCCCAAAGTGCTGGGATTACAGGCGTGAGCCACCGCGCCCGGCTATAAACTTTTCTTTAACCAAAATCACATTCAATTTTTTTTTTTTGAAATGTGATCTCGCTCCTTCGCCCAGGCTGGTCTGGAACTCCTGGGCTCAAGGTGCTCCTCCCAACTCAGCCTCCTGAGTAGCTAGGACTACAGGTGTGTGCTACCATCCCAGCTACTTAAAAAAAAAAAAAAAAAAAAAAATATATATATATATATATATATATATATATATTACAGTCAAGGTTTCCCTGTGTTACCCAGTCCGGTCTCAAACTCCTGGGCTCAAGCAATTCTCCCACCTCAGTCTCCCAAAGTGCTTGGATTATAGGTGTGAGCCACTGTGCCTGGCCTTCTTACACATTCTGTATGCAGGAATTGTGCGTTTTATATCTAGTAGTTTTAATTTCATATATTAATTACAATTTTAACTCTTAGTAACCTTAATTTTCAATGAAAAACATAGAAATAAGCAATTTTGGTGGGGCACAGTGGCTCACACCTGTAATTCCAGCACTTCCGGGAGGCCGAGGTGGGAGGATTGCTTGAGCTTTGGAGTTTGAGACCAGCTTGGGCAATATAGTGAGACCTTGTCTCTACAAAATATTTAAAAATTAGCCAAGCGTGGTGGCATGCACCAGCAGTCCCAGCTACTCAGGGAGCAGAGGCAGGAGGATTGCTTGAGCCTGGGAGGTGGAGGTTGTGGTGAGCCAAGATTGTTCCACTGCACTCCAGCCTAGGTGGCAGAGCGAGACCCTGTCTCAAAAAAAAAAAAAAAAAAAAAAGCTGTTTTATTTTATTTTTGAGACGGAGTCTCACTCTGTTGCCCAGGCTGGAGTGTAGTGGCATGATCTCGGCTCACTGCAACCTCCCTCTCCTGAATTCAAGTGATTCTCCTGCCTCAGTCTCCCAAGCAGCTAGACCTACAGGCATGTGCCACCACACCCAGCTGATTTTTTTGTATTTTTAGTAGAGACGGGGTTTCACCATGTTAGCCAGGCTGGCCTCAAACTCCTGGCCTCAGGTGATCCGCCCACCTCAGCCTCCCAAACTGCTGGGATTACAGGTGTGAGTCACTGTGCCCAGCCTATCTTGTTTTATTTTATTTTGAGATAGGGTCTCACTCTGCTGCCCAGCCTGGGGAGCAGTGATGTGATCGTGGCTCACTGCAGCCTTGACTGCCTGGGCTAAAGGCAGAGTAGCTGGGACCACAGGTGCATGACACAACATTTGACTAATTTTTTTAAAGTTATTATTTGTAGGGCCAGGCGCAGTGGCTCACGCCTGTAATCTCAGAACTTTGGGAGGCTGAGGTGGGCAGATCACTTGAGGCCAGGAGTTTGAGACCAGCCTGGCCAACATGGTGAAACCCCGTCTCTACTAAAAATACACAAATTAGCTGGGCATGGTGGTGGGTGCTTCTAGTCCAGGCTGCTAGGGAGGCTGAGGCAGGAGACTTACTTGAACTGCTGGCAGGCAGAGGTTGTAGTGAGCCGAGATTGCGCCATTGTACTCCAGCCTGGGCAACAGAGCGAGATTCCATTCCAAAAAAAAAAAAAAAATTATTTGTAGAGACAGGGTTTCACTATGTTGCTCAGGCTGGTCTTGAACTCCTGGGCTCAAGCAATCCTCCTACCTTGGCCTCCCAAATTGCTAGGATTTACAGGCATGAGCCACCATACCTGGCTGAAATAAGCAATTTTATTTTATTTTTTCTTTTAATTTTAAAATATATATATATTTTTAAACACAGAGATGGGGTCTTGCTGTGTTGACCAGGCTCCTCTGAAACTCCTGGCCTCAAGTGAGCCACCCACCTCGGCCTCACAAAGTGCTGGGATTACAGGCATAAGCAATTTTCATTGTTATGTACCAGGTGCAGAGCCCAGGACAAGGAGAGAGCTGTAAAGACCGTATCTGGAGGATCTGATCCTTCATAGCATGGCTAGGAGGCAAGCTGGGCCAGAGAGAATGGAGCCATATTGGGCTTGGTTCTTCCCTGCAGCTGGTGGCCCAGGTACTGTGGACATACATATGTCTCCAGGCCTCACCATGGCCAACTGTCTAGACTACAGAATCCAAAGCTTAAAACCAAAGTCATAAACCCCACAGCAGGATGTTTGCAAGGCTTTGGTGGAACACAGCCAGCCTGCAGTGTTAGCTCAAAGACAAGTTAAGCAAGTATCAAAAGTATCACAGAAGCAAGTTTTTTGACCTTAAAACACCTAGCAGAGACAGCATAAATTTGTTTAATCAGTAGACTCAGGCAAAAATGTCTACATTAAATTTTGAAGACATTTTTATTTTACTCAAAAATTTAAAGCTAGCTTTACTTACCAAAAATTACATGTGAACTTGAAAAGCATTTTGGCTAGTTATTTATGAGTACTCATTTATTTATACGTCAGTTTGGTATCCTGTAGACAACATACAAATACATGTATAGACACATACATACATGTAGATACAACACACAACACACATGTACACATGTATGTATCCAAAAGTCATAGAGATTAGGGAGTTTAATACAAAAGAGAGCAGAGCTTTAGACCTGAAAGGAACCCATTCACAACTCTTGGGGTTCCATGAGGAATACAGGGGACCTCAAAAGAGGGGGGTCAGTGGTGCCTTAACTGTGTTCTTCAAGGGGTCTCGCAGTTGATAGAAATTTCTTTTAGATCCCTTTATGTGATAACTAGAACTCTGATGTTTTTTCTCTGTAATTTTTCATCCACTGACCACCAAATAGAGGAGAAGGGGCTTGAGATAAACCATATCAGACAACTGGAGGGAATATCAAAGGGGGCAAAAGGCGGGGCAGAAGCTGAAGGAAGAATGAGTCCCAGAGGAGCCAGTCTGGAGAGGTCTGCAGCTCCCCAAAAAGACCAACACAATTTTACTTTTTTTTTTTTTTAAGCAAAAATTTTGGCTGAGTGCAGTGGCTCATGCCTGCAATCCCAACACTTTGTGAGGGCAAGGCAGGAGGATTGCTTGAAGTTTGAGACCCTGTCTCTGTTAAAAAATAGAAAAAATTAAAAAAATAGCTGAATATGGTGGCATGGCATGTGCCTGTAATCCCAGCTACCCAGGAGGCTGGGGCAGGAGGGGCGCTTGAGCCTGGGAATTCGAGGTTACAGGGAGCTATGATGGTGCCATTATACTGTAGCCTGGACAACTTTGTCTCTAAAAAAATGACTAAAATAAAATAAAATGTTGCCAACTAAATAGCGTTTTATTTCAAAAGCTATTTAAACCAACACAAAACTAATTTACGTACACATTTTTTCCTGTTAATCCAAATTTAGAAATGGAAGAAGACCAAGAAAGACTCTTCCTCATTCAACTGGGCACCACAGAGACCCAGGAGAACTGACTTGGTAAAAATTTCTTAGCTTTCTTCACTGGCTTTTCATCAATTGACCCAAGATCCCATCCTGAAGTTCTGGAGCCAACAGAGCAATTTGTTGTCCTGCTCACAATACCGAACTGAAAGGAAAGCTTAAATTTTTCCCCAGAAGGTTTGATAAGCTGAGTCAAAAACCAAACTGATAACAGACAAATTAACAGGGAAAAAAAGCATACAAACTTATTAATGTGCAAATGGGCACAGGAGTCATACAAAATATGAAAACTCTCAAAGAAAGGATCTGCTGATTGATGCTTTATATCATCTTGAGGTTACAGAAAGTATAGGGGCTTGGAGTATGGTAAGACCAGTTATGAGAAAGAGAGAAGAGGACGGGCCTGGCTAGCAAACACGGTCTTGTTATGCAGATGACACCTCACAGGTAGTGGTGCTCAGAAAGAGTAAGTTTTTGTTAGACCCCCATCAGACTCTCAGTCTCTCCTGTGAGCCAGTCTCCTCGATCCCGACAAGGTCTGGGTGAGGCAGAGAAAGGGTGGCTGTTTATTTCATCAATGCAGATTTTCTTTATGAATACAAATCCCGCCCATACAAGGCAGATTTTGAGCAATTTTGTTTCCAGCCTTTGAATAGCCATCTTGAAATACCTCAAAGAAGTATATTTTGAGGTGAAATATTTTTGGTTTCCTTTATTGCACAAATCTAGATTTGATCATTCTGGTTTTCTTTCTTTCTTGTTAAGCGACAGGGTCTCACTCTATTGCCCAGGCTAGGGTGCACAATTATAGCTCACTGCAGCCTCAAATTCCTGGGCTCAAGCAATCTTACGCCAGCTTCCCAAGTAGCTAGGACTATAGGCACACGCCAGCATGCCTGGCTACTTTATTTTTTAGTAGAGATGGTGTCTTGCTATGTTGCTCAGGCTGCTCTTAAACTACTGGCCTAAAGTGATCCTCCCGCCTCAACCTTCCAAAGAGCTGGGATTACAGGCATGAGCCACTGCACCTGGCCTCATTCTATTTGTTCAAATAATTATTTTATACTATAATTCATTTTGCACTTGGAAAATGATTTTTTAATCCAATAAATGGAGAAAAGAACTTTTATCTGAGGAATGTGAGTCCTTTTAAATTATCAGGTTGAGAGAGATATTACAATGAGACAGCAGTCACATCTCACTTCCCCTCTTTTGAGCTATGTACTCATCTCTTGAAACTGCTTGCTATTGCCACAGTAACTACAAATTAACCTAATAATGCTGCACCAGACATTATAGCTCATACCCTATAGTTTAACAATGTATAGCCAGCTGGGCACGGCGGCTCATGCCTGTAATCCCAGCACTTTGGGAGGCCAACGCTGGTGGATCACCTGAGGTTAGGAGTTCGAGACCAGCCTGGCCAACATAGAAAAACCCTGTCTCTATTAAAAGTACAAAAATTAGCTGGGCTTAGTGGCAGGCACCTGTAATCCCAGCTACTTGAGAGGCTCAGGCAGGAGAATCTCTTGAACCCGGGAGGAGGAGGTTGCAGTGAGCCAAGATCGTGCCACTGCACTCCAGCCTGGGCAACAGAGCGAGGCTCTGTTTCAAAAAAAAAAAAAATTAGCCAGGTGTGTTGGTGCACGCTTGTAATCCCAGCTACTCTGGAGGTTGAGACATGAGAATTGCTTGAACCTAGGCAGCAGAGGTTGCAGTGAGCTGTGATCGTGCTGCTGTTCTCCAGCCTGGGTGACAGAGCAAGACTCTGTTAAAAGAAAAAAAAAAATCTGCTTGTAACAAAGGCCACCCAGAGCTCATACTGAAGGTTACTAGGTCTCAGTTTTCCGAGCAGCTGTCCTCACTTTGGCTCTAGTACACTCTTTAAATTATTTTTTGTGCTTCAGCCTCTTCCTTTTAGGTTGACATAAACAAATATATTCAATTTTTCCTGATAAATATATTTTTCAATATTCAGAAAAAAGAATTAAGAGACCTGAAGGAGAACTAAACATGGATATTTTGCTGTGTATAACATTTCTGATTTTCATAAGGAAAATAAATATGCATATGTCAACTAAAGAAAGAGTCAAGATTTTAAGAATTAAGATTAGTTGGCTGGGAGCGGTGGCTCACACCTGTAATCCCAGCATTTTAGGAGGCCAAGGCAGGTGGATCATGAGGTCAGGAGTTCGAGACCAGCCTGGCCAATATGGTGAAACCCTGTCTCTACTGCAAATGCAAAATTTAGCTGGGCGTGGTGGCGCACATCTGTAGTCCCAGCTGCTCGGGAGGCTGACGCAGGAGAATCGCTTGAACCCGGGAGGCAGAGGCTGCAGTGAGCTGAGATCATGCAACTCCATCTCAAAAAAAAAAAAAAAGAAGGTTTATTTAAAGTTTTACTGAAGACTATAGATCACGGCCTATATTCTGGGAACAATTCTGAGGACTGCTCCAACACAGAATTTCAGTTCACTGTATATATACAGGTGGTGAAAATTCAGAACATGCAAAATCACATGTAAGTTTGGGTACAAGAGCACATCTGGTTATAGTTTCCAGAAGCATAACACTAATCCCGCCAGACATGATCTTCTCTGTAGCAAAAGGACTAGGGTCATTTATCTTTCAAGGAATATAGCGATTCAGGCAAGAGACATGGGGTGCCCAGTGCACTATTCTTTTTTTTTTTTTGGAGATAGATTTCGCTCTTGTCACCCAGGCTGGAGTGTAGTGGCATGATTTCGGCTCACTGCAACCTCTGCCTCCTAGTTTCAAGCGATTCTCCTGCCTCAGCCTCCTGAGTAGCTGGGATTACAGGCACCCACCACCACACCCAATTAATTTTTTTTTTTTTGTATTTTTAGTAGAGATGGGGTTTTGCCATGTTGGTCAGGGTGGTCTTGAACTGCTGACCTCAAGTGATCTACCTGCCTCGGCCTCCCAAAGTGCTGGCATTACAGGCATGAGCCACTATGCCCGGCTTGCTGTTTTGTCTTCAAAGCATCTTTGGAGAGAGCTACATGTCATCACAGAGTCAGGGGCTTTGTGAAACTATGCTGGCAAGCAGACATGAACAGACATGGCTTCTTACATTGGCTACTTTGTCTCATACATGTGATAAAAACCAGAAATGTAAATGGCGAAATGAATAACGAAGTAGCAGACCCACACTCGGGCATGCCCAGCAAGCTCCTCAAACTGAAAATGCAATGTGACTATTAACACTGTTTCATCTCCTACTCTGAATTTCTTCATAACACAATCGAGAAACACATGTTTGATGGATGCAAATGATCATTTCATTTTTATTTGTGAGTGCATTCTCTTCTTTGCTAGAAAACATTTCCTGTTCTGCCCCTCTGTTGTTTCTCAACAGGACTTTTAGTCTCTTTCATAAGCCACTAGGCAAAAAGAAAAGAGGGAAGCGAGGTCAGTAAGACTGAGGCTTCTCTGACTCAGTGTGGGTCAAGTGTCTGGACTGCAGATGCTGGGAGTCCTGTGAGGTTCCACATCCCTGGCCTTGCACGTGCTGGTCCTTTTTCCTTCAGGATCCATTGCTCACCATGCCATCTTTGCTGCTCACTTTTGCTAAGTATGTTTGGGCAGGTTCACAGCCCAATGCCCAGCACCTGTGTCAGGTACTAAACAGGTGCATCACGGAGGTGTTTGGAAGATGAACTGAATGAACTTTTCGACTCAAGCACACAGTGTATAGGAAAAAAGAAAAAACAGCTGGGACTGGTGGCTCAACGTCTGTAATCCCAGCACTTTGGGAGATCAAGGTGGTAGGATCACTTCAGCTCAGGAGTTCGAGACCAGCCTGAGCAACATAGCAAGACTCTGTCTCTACAAAAAATTTTGAAAATTAGCCGGACACGGTTGTGTGTGCCTGTAGTCCCAGCAGCTACTTGGAAGGCTGAGGCGGGAGAATTGCTTGAGCACAGGAGGTTGAGGCTGCAGTGAGCCATGATTGCGCCACTGCACTTCAGCTTGGATGACAGAGCAACTCAAAAAAAAAAAAAAAAAAAAGGAAAGAAAAGAAAGAAAGAAAGAAAGAAGAAAGAAAGAGAGAAAGAAACGCTTTATAAACAGATACCAGTTTAAAAAAAGTTTCAAGAAAGTGAGACAAAAGAACACCCCCTTGAAATCTTAGAGGCGAACTAGGCATCTGTGTGCCTGCCCTCAGCTGGGAAAGCTCTGGAATAGTGGTCTTGGGGCTGCCAGGGCATGGGTTTTTCATCTGGGTCAAATATGCTCCATTCCTTCTTACCCTCCAGCCTCTCCCCTCCAGAGACCTGCTTTGAGTGAAGGATTGTTGCTTTTTACATTTCCTACAGCTCAGTGTTTGGAGCTGATCATTTGTGGAAGGGAGGGAAACCTGTGTGACTGTCGCCTGTGGAGTCTTCGCAGATTTTTCAGTCTCGACTTTCATAAATACTGAAGATGAATTTATTTTCCATATTATTTCCCATGAATTAAGCCGGGAAAGCCCCTTACTACCTGATGTTTACCAGACTGAGTCAAAGAGATTTGCTATGTGGCTTTTGTGAATCTTCCCCAAGAACCCCTCAGAGCGTCGTTTCCACTGAAATCACTAAGGGTGTGTATAATTATTATAAAGGCTTGACAAGGACAAGGTTTTCATGGGCACATTCATACCCAGTAAGGCGGATCCTGCTGCGTCTTTAGCCTTAATGGCTTTATACCAGGCATCTAAATGGCTTTCCCCTTGATTCTTAAAAAGAATATACATTTCAATTAAAAAAAAAAAGTCTTAAGATGGAACCCAAGAATAGCTGTGTCATTCAATAGCTAGATGGCTTTGGCCAAAATAAATGTAATCGAAAGGTGACGATTAAATGTAAACATCCCTCCATCTTCCTTTCTCTTAACACTCCCTTTCTTTCTCTTCTCCCCACAGTTCCCCCACCACAGCAGCGGTCACAGGCACCTGCACGCACATGTGCACTCACACGCACGCACACACATACACGCACGCACACACATGCACGCACTCACATACACGCACACACATGCACGCTCTCAGTGGAAGCGCGCATCTGTTTGCCATCTCACCTTCTGCCTTGGCACGCAAGGTCAGGGAAATCTGCCGAGACTTGCAAGGCCCCGGGGTTCTCTCTGGAGAGCAAGGGAGGCTGGTGGAAATGCCCTTTCCTTTGACATATGCAAATGTTCACCTGTGGAGCCCTGCAGGGCAGGGTGTGACTTCTGGGTTCTTTAATATGCCTGGAGGATGTTTCAATTATTGATCGAAAGAAATTGTGGCTGGTAGGAAGGGCTGGGGAGTCCAGGATTCAGCGTCTCATTTCAGATTTATTTTGGTCAGGTTGATGTTTTCCTTTAATTGGTAACAAATTTTCATTTTATTATTTGAAGCCATTCTTGAGTCCTAATCCATTAAAATTTAATATCAGCAGGAAGTTGGGGTGGTTCCAAGTATTTTTGCCTTTTTCTATTTTCTGGCTGCTTTTGGTGCCAAAGCTTTAGTGTTTTAAATCTTTTAAATCTTGCTAATTCCTCTTGCCACTCTTCAGATGTGAGTGCATGTGTGTGTTTTGACTTTCCTAATCATTAGAAAAGATTCTTCTGCTAGGATGTCTTATCCCTAGATTACTGGCCTTCCCTGTTTGTGCCTTCCTGGCTTCCGTTCCTCTTCCTTCCAGAACTTCCACCTCCATGGCCTGAATAATTTCCATGTTTCCTACCCAGCCGTTCCAGAAGCTCAACTTTGGAATCTGACAGTTCAAGATTTGAACCTAGTTTTGGTGCAGTGTCTCATCCCTATAATCCTAGCACATTGGGAGGCCTGGGTAGGAGGATCACTTGAGCCCAGGAGTTAAAGACCAGCCTGAGTGGCATAGCAAGACCCCTCTCTCTACAAAAAATATAAAAATTACCCAGGTGTTGTGGCATGCACCTGTAGTTCCAATTACTCAGGAGACTGAAGTGGGAGGATCACTTGAGCCCAGGAGGTCGAGGCTGCAGGGAGCTGAGATCATGCCACTGCACTCCTGCCTGGGTGACAGAGCAAGACCCTTTCTCAAAAAACAAAAACAAAAAAACAAGATTTAAACCCCGCCTCTCTACCAAATCTCGGCCTTGTGTAAGTTACCTATCCTTTCTCTCTCCCTCTAATACATATTATATATGTGATATGTGTGTGTGTGTGTGTATATATATATATTATATATGTATGTGTGTGCATATATATATATTTATGTATATATATATTTCTAGCTTCTCTGAAAAATCTCCAAGATCTGGCTTCTGTGACTTTCCTGGGAGGCAACAATCAAGCCAAGCTGAACAGTGCTGTCCCCTTTAGATGACGTGCTCTTTGTCACCACCCTTGACCCATGCCAATATTATTGTTTCCAATTGTTGACTTATCTGAATTGTTCTGATGGCTCTTCGAGTCCAGCTGTTTCCTGACTCCTGTCTGAGCTGCGTGTTTGGGTTCCCGCGTCTAGGATGAATGAGAATGAGCTGGGAGTGGTATGACTGGGGAGGACTATACTTTTTAAGGGTCTGGCGCTTTCATGCTCTGGACCTTTGCCCTTTGCTCACTCTGTACACTCAGACTGGACTGTTCTTCCTCGGTTCTTTACTGGAGAAGTCATTCTTCCTTCAAGGCCCAGGGTAAATGGGGCACATCACACTTTGGGGTTTCTTTCTGCTCTTGCACAGCACTCAGGGAAATCCCTCCTTTGTTTGAGGCCTGTGCCTCTGCTGAGTGCTGATCTCAGTCATTTACACGTCTGCCTTCCCTGGCTTATTGCACTTTTTCTAAGGTAGGGGGTCCCATCTCATTCACCATTAGATTCCTTTTTTGCTTTCCAGCTATCTAGCCTCAAACACACTGGCTGCCATCAAGCTAAGGGCTGGGTAGACATTGGTTGAGTTGAATGGGATTCTTCAGGGAAACTCAGTTATCTATTTTCCCATTACTGACTGAGAAATAACACATAAAGAAGAGCGCTTGTTCCAGGCCCCGGAGCTCCATGAAGAGAGGGGCATGGCAAATCTGACTTCCTGACTCATGGCTTTCCCGATACTTGTCACATCATAGGAGTCCAGTAGACAGTGAATAAAATAAAGAATAAATGAGGTATTTATAACTAAGGTCGAAATCCAAGTCTCTTTATCATCCCCTTCCTAAACAAGTATGATATCCATTACACCAAATTGAATTCTGCGTTGGATGTGAATTGGCTTTCTCAAGGATGTCCTCACTGCTCCCTCGAGCTAATTAGGACATTGCATTCTATACCCAAAGAAAGGTTCTTCTTCCCATCCCTAGGAACTTCTTACAGGATTCAGATACTGCATCTTTCTATGTCTGGCCCATCCCACGCTGAGTGATGGAGAGAAGTGGAAGAATCTGTAGTAACGAAATCAGTAGAATGTCTTTCCCAGGAACTTTGATACAGAACACTGGCTCCCTTTACTTCTTAGACCTTTGTTCAGAGAAATCTTCACATCCATCTTCTCTAATTTGACCTTGCGCTCCAAAAATGAGCACAGCTTTTATTCAAATGCTATTCAGAGGGGAGAAGTTCACACGCTGGCTAGTGTCAGGTACCAAGACCATTTCCACCCGACTTGCTGCACTTCTGTTTTATAATTGGATGGTAGATAAATCTGAAAGAGAAACATTAAAGTTGAAGTGAAGTCTTAGGGAAAAGAATTCTCATTATAACAACTTCCTTAACGTATTCCGACTTGTCCATAATTGATTCAACATCCTAGGTGATGGCGTCTAAAATCGTAAATGAAAATGGAGCTTCTTACTTAGTGTATACAATATGGTGGGTTGGCCCTGCTCAGGGAAGTATTTTTGTTTTTTATTTTATTTTTTTAGAGACGGGTCTTGCTCTGTCGTCCAGGTTGAGTGCAGTGGCGCGATGATAGCTCAGTGCAGCCTTGAACTCCTGGGCTCAAGCAATCCTTCTGCCTTAGCCTTACAAGTACCTAGGACTACAGGCATGCACCACCATACACAGGGAAGTATGTCTAATGTCTTTAGCATCTAAGCTTTTGAAGTTTGTTCCAAGAACATTTTTTTCTTCCTGTTAAGGGTTGCATTGTGTCTCCTTTGCCCCACCTCCCCACCTAATACCCACCAAATTCATATGTTGAAGTCCTAACCCCCAGTGCCTCAGAATGTGACCCTAGCTGGATATAGGGTCATTGAAGATGTAATTAGTTAAGATGAAGTCATACTGAACTAGAGTGGTCCCCTAATCCAATAGACTGATGTCCCTGTAAAAAGGGGAGACTTGGATACAGAGCAGACATACACACGAGAGATGTTAAAAAAATTTATTAGGCTGGGTGTGGTGGCTCATGCCTGGAATCCCAGCACTCTGGGAGGCCGAGGTGGGCGGATCATTTGAGGCCAAGAAGTTCAAGACCAGCCTGGCCACCATGGTGAAATCTGTCTCTACCAAAACTACAAAAATTAGCCAGGTGTGGTGGCGTGCAACTGTGGTGCTGGCTACTCAGGAGGCTGAGGCATGAGAATCGCTGGAACCATGGAGGCAGTGGTTGCAGTGAGCCGAAATCACGCCACTGCACTCCCGCCTGGGCAACAGTACAAGATTCTGTCTCAAAAACAGAAAAATATTATTCAATGACACTTGGTAAGGCATGGTAAGGAAGACTATATTCAGCACCATCGTGATAGGTACAGGGACCACTGCAACCAGGTCGTGCAGTCAGAGAGACTGGGTTCAACTCCGAAAGCAGCAGGGGCAGGTGGGAATTTATAGCCCAGGAGCAGGGTGGCCAGTCAGTGGATGGAAAATTACTAAGAGGAAACATCACGGGTGAGGAGATTCTGGTTAAACTGACCTAATAGGATTCTTGCTCAAAACAGGCCAGGGTGATGGGACACACCTGGGGGTCGGTGGAGAAGGAGGAGCCCAATCAGATATCTACGGTGATCAGATGTTGAGGGGGGTTCTTGCTAAACTAGCTTAGTCGTGTTCATTGCTGAAGCTGAATCTTACACGAAAGTGCACAGACGGGCCTAGGAGAAGGATCAGGGGCCTGTCTAAAGTTTGGCCAAGCAAACTTTGTGTTCGTCAGAGAACACCCCGTGAACAGGAAGGGAGAGATTGGGGCAATGTGTCCCCAAGCCAAGGAACACCAAAGTTAGCCAGCAAACCACCAGAAGCTTGGAGAGGCATGGAGCAGATTCTCCTTCCCAGCCGATGAATGAACCGTGCAGGAGGAATGAACCATGCAGGTACCTTGTTCTTGGACTTCTGGCCTCCAGAACTGCGAAATAATTTGTTGTGTAAGCCAATCAGTTTGTGGTACTTGATTATGCCAGCCCTAGCAAACTAACGCACTACACACTTCCCTTTCATCTCCTTCTTTCCCAAACAGACTAGCTTGCAAAATGGAGGTGCTTATCTGAAGGCCTGGCAGGAGGATTCATGAGGGGAAGAAAGTTCTCGTTTCTTTGTTTCCAGTTTGGCTTCCTCTGCCAGCAGCAGGGCACAGCAGTTAATGGTGGGCACTTGAGCTAGACTTGCATCTTGGCACCATCTAGTTACTTATCTTCCCTGTGCTGCTGTTTCCCTACTGATATGAGCTGGGGAGGCTAATAGTCCTAACTCCATAGGTGTATTGTGTGGCTTAAATGAAATCAATCATGAAGCACTTAGAGGGGGCTCTGCACATAGTAAGTGCTCAATCCATAAATGCTGGCTGCTGTTCTTCTACTACCTGTGTTTTCCTGTGGAATCTCTTTCCATGTTTCTCTCCTAGGCAGGATTCTCTGCTCGATCCTGAGCCCTTCCTTTCGGCCCTTTTTCTGTGTGTATCCTTCACGGGACCCATCTGCGCAGGTGACCTGGGAAAACAGGTGAAATAGTTTTGGTAAGCGTTCTAAAAATCTGGCTGCCTGACTGGCAGCGTCTGCATGCATATTGCCTGGGAGCTCGTTAGAACTAGGGCAGGTACCAGATTCCACCCTGACTCGCTGACTGAGTGGCACTGCTGGTGGGCCCACCAATGTGTGTTTTAAGAGGTCCCTCGGTGATTCTGCTGTGTGCTCAAGTTTGAGAACTGCTGGTATAGGATGACTTTCCTACTTTTCCATACAGCAGCTTCCCCAGACATGCCTTTCTTCTCCTATCCTGCATCCCATTTCCCCAGGGCTGCCCGATATATCTTCTCACAAAATAGGGGTGGGTGACAACATTTATGCTGTTTATGCCCTGGCCTCCCAGGCTCCTGGCTGTCTCTGAATTAACGCTGCTCAATTGAGTCTAAAAGGAGAATGTCTCTCTCGGCAGGGACCTAGAGCCTCCTGAGGATGAGCGTCTCCTGCTTTCTTTCTGATTCTGGATGTAATTATCCCCCCCATATCATTCAGGGACCAAATCTTAATTTCCTCACAAGCTCAGTGTTCAGTATAGGGCCTGTGTCAGGTCTTATTCTGTCGCCCAGGCTAGATAGAGTGCAGTGGTGTGATCTTGGCTCACTGCAGCCTCAAGCTCCCCAGGCTCAGGTGATCCTCCTACCTCAGCCTCCTGAGTAGCTGAGACTACAGACGTGTTCCACCATGACCGGCTAATTTTTGTATTTTTTGTAGAGACAGGGTTTCACCATGTTGCTTAGGCTGGTCTCAGACTTCTGAGCTCAAGTGATCTGCCCACCTTGGCCTACCAAAGTGCTGAAATTACAGGCATGAGCCACCATGTCTGGCCACTCAGTAATGTTTGTTGATACAAAGGAATGGCAATTCATGGATTGCGAACATGTGGCTTAGTGCAAACTCCATCTACTGAGGAAAGTGAGGGCTGGCCATGGTATTTACATCCTTTATGTTCAGTTTGTGTAAAACCAAGGTGAAGAGAGACTCAGCTCATCGCTTTTTTCCTGGTACCACCTCCCTGGTCCTTAGTGTCCTCTCCCTGTGGGGTGTGTGGACCACCTGGGCCCTCACTTGCCTCTTGGCCTGTGATGCATGCCTGCCAGTTTCTTTCACATCATGTCCTGCCCTATTTTCACCTTAAACTTCACGGGTCTTTTCCCGATCTGTGTGCTGGTCCTATCCTGACGCGGGTGGCTGCACTGTCACATCAGGGAGTGCAGCATGAAGAAGAGAGCCTGGGGACCTCAGGGCGAGGTGTGTAGGCTTGTCTCTGCCACTCTCTATTTTTGCCTCCAGTGCCTTGCAGATGAGCCCTATTCATTCCCTACTTTCACATCCCTCCCCTCCCTCCTGTCCTCCATCTTTCGCCAGCTCCCAGCTGGCATCTCACGTGCACACATGCACGCAAGGCTGAAGGCTGTGCTGAGTCTCACAGTGGCTTTTACAAGAACTGCACTAATATTTGAACGCATAGGGCCAGCAGCTTCTTCTCCTGCGAGATTTCCACAACCAGGAGAGATGACTATTTTATAACTCTCTCAGGAGTATTTGCGTGTTAATAGGGAACACTTGATTATTGCTATGGTTTAAGTATTTTTGTTTTTTTTAAATAACAGCTTTATTGTGATATAATTCACATACCATAAAGTTCACTCTTTTAAAGTACACAATTCAGTACATCTTTAAAAAGTATATTCAGGCCGGGCGCGGTGGCTCATGCCTGTAATTCCAGCACTTTGGGAGGCCAAGGTGGGCAGACCACTGAGGTCAGGAATTCAAGACCAGCCCGATCAATGTGGCAAAACCCTGTTTCTACTAAAAATATAAAAAATTAGCCAGGCATGGTGGTGTGTGCCTGTAATTCCAGCTACTTGGGAGGCTGAGGCAGGAGAATTGCTTGAACCTGGGAGGTAGAGGTTGTAGTGAGCTGAGATTGTGCCACTGTACTCCAGCCTGGGTGACAGAGTGAGACTCTGTCTCAAAAAAAAAAGTGTATTCATAGTTTGCAGCTACCACCACTAATTTTAGAACATTTTCATCACCCCCAAAAGAAACTCATTAGCAGTCACTCCCCAGTCCCTCTTCCCCTCATGAGGTCCCTGGCAACACGAGTCTACTTTTTGTCTCTATGGGTTTGCCTATTCTGGACATTTAACATAAATGGAATCGTACAATATGTGACGACTGTTTGGCTTCTTCCACATAGCATGATGTTTTCAAGGGTCATCCATGTTGTAGCATGCATCAGTACTCCACTCCTTTTTACTGCTGAATAATATTCCATTGTATGAGTAGACTGCATTTTATTCATTCATTCATCTGTTGAGGGACATTTGGGTGTATGTATGATTTTATTGGTCTGTTTTTTTGACCCAGCCATTTGTGTGGTTATTTTACGGGGTGGGGGGATTTGAAAATTCTTTATATTCTCTTACATTCTTTGGTGAAGAAATATTTTCTGCCCCCATGATTGACTTACCTTAGAGATTTCCGTTCTCTGAAATTGACCCGGCCATTTAAATAAAATCTAATCTGCAGGGGGAAAAAGAAGCTACCCAGTCAGGCTCCATTCACCTTGAATATATATCTCCTTTTCATGGACCTATGCGTACACAGCAAGCATCAGCTTATTATGTCACATATTTTGTTATTGACTCTGACATTCCCCTTGTGTATTAACCACATCTCTCTCTCTCTTTTTTTTTTTTTGAGATGGAGCTTTACTCTTGTTGCCCAGGCTGGAGTACAATGGCGTGATCTCATCACCGCGACCTCCGCCTCCTAGGTTCAAGCAATTCTCCTGCCTCAGCCTCCCGAGTAGCTGGGATTACAGGCATGCACTACCATGCCCGGCTAATTTTTTATTTTTAGTAGAGACGGGGTCCCTCCATGTTGGTCAGGCTGGTCTCAAACTCCTGACCTCAGGTGATCCACCCGCCTCAGCCTCCCAAAGTGCTGGGATTACAGGTGTGAGCACTGTGCCCAGTCACATCTTTTTTTTCTGTATTTTAACGCTTTGATGTCTGGGCCTTGCTGACCCTCTGGTAGGTTAGCCAGTTCCTAGAAGCAGTAGACAGCTGGCTCTCCAGTGTGCTTTTCAAATGCAAACCAACCAACCCAGAGCCCACGACTCCACCACTTCCTTTGAAGGCTCTCACTCTAGGCTGTGGTCTCACACTCTAGGCTGCGGTCTCACACTGTAGGCTACGGTCTACCTGCCCTAATCATCCTAGAGTCAGGTACCAGACGATGAGGGACAGCCCGTATGTCCCAGAACCCACCCAAATTATTCCAACTCACCAGTCCCAAGACTGTGTTCTCTCCCTTGCCCCCACTTTTCCCTCTCTCACGGCCTCTTAAACCACCCTGGGCTTCCCCGCATGGCCCTTTTATAGTGTAGCTCGCCCCCTCCTCTTGGGGCTGTGAATAACCAACTCTCTTTTCAATGACAACCCTCTCCTGATCTGGTGGCCTTACCACACCCAAACAACAAAAGTTAATAAGACACCTCGCCCTCACACACTGCCAGAGCTTTGATTGCTGGTGTGACGTCACAATTGTACATTCATTCATCCCAACAAATGTTGTGCTGATATCTTTTATTTTTGGGGTTGTGTTTTTCTTTTCCTTTTTAAAAAAGCTCCTAAATTCTATGACTTCAAGGGAGCATCAGAGAAAAGTAATTGTGATTTCTGTACACTTGGTAAAGCAAAAACTAGACTCACACAGCCACCGCCCTGGGACAGCCTCAAGCTGCTCTTCTGTGCCTGCTGCCCTTCAGGGGACCCCACTGGGATACCCACTCCATGGTCAATGGCTGTCCCCAGGCCCCCCCACTCCTCCCCACACACACACACCTGCAGGGCTGGGCTGGGGACCTTAAGGTGTTTTGTCTCCTGCTGCTTGCCAGGTGGTGGAGCACAGAGGCCAGAAGCCCAGTGCCCTGTGCTGATATCTGGAACTTGCCTTACAGTAGCTTATATTTTCCTGAATACTAGGAAACTAACACTTTATTTTTAGCATTGGATATCACTTGTCAAATTGTTTTTCTCACTAGTTTTGTATATGGATTTTATTTTTTACCATCTCCAACTTCTGGTGGGAACTAAGACTTAAAAAAAATCATATGCAAAGCATCTTTTATGAGACTACATCTGTGCCTTCTAAGGAGAGGTGGCAATGGTCTGTATTTTGATTTAACTTGGGAAGGATTGACTGGTGTTCTTGCAAATGCACCTGTCTATAAATGGTCCCAGCTTCTGTACACAGCCGGGAACTCATTCCATTGAGCCGAGTGTTTATAGATAATAGAGCTTTATTGTGGTAAAAGAAGTGAAGAGCTAATATTTTTATCTTATTTGAATAATTGTATCACAGGCTCTAGCACATGTCAAGCTTGGCACCATTAACATTTTGGGTCAGATAATTTTTTATTGGAGTTGGGCGATGGGAAAGCTGTCTTGCGTATGTGGGATTTTTAGCGCATGCCCGGCCTCTGCCTACTAGATGCCAGTGGCACCCCACTCCTCCAGTCCTCCGTTAAAACAAGAATGTCCCTAAACATTGCTAAACTCCCTGGGGGATGAGGGGGAAGTGGTGGTTGTGGTGGCAAAATCTTTCTGGGCAACCAGGATTTCTAGGGTCATAGGAACCTTGCAATCCAGCCACGTCCTGCGTGTGGAAAGCCCCCTACCTGGCAGTCCCTTGGTGGTAGGGGTGAGGCATTAATGAACGGTGTGTGGACACCTCCGCAGGAGCTCTGACTCCCTCTGCCTGGGAGAACTTGTTTCATTGTAACTTTTCTGCAGTTGAGTTGCTAGTACTAGCTGCTGCAGCCCCTAGGATCTCTCTTGCCCCTGTGGTTGGAGTGGCCCCAGAGTTGTGAGCAGGGGAAAGAACTGGATCTAGCCGGCACTGAATGGTACAGGGATTAAAGTGGGAGAGCTCTGCCCTGTGGGATGGAGTCCTGGAGCCAGGTTTCCCCTGTCACCTGGGGATGCGGTTACAAATCTCGGTCCCCCAGCTCTGACCAGGGCTGGATGAGCTGCTAGGCAGGCCTGGCACCTGCTTGAAGCATTAGTAGTGCAGAGGCACATGTGGGCATGCTTATGCACACACGCTAGAAAATGGTCCATTGCGGAAAGACAGCTATTCAAACTCCATATCCACTGTATGCGTATCATGTATTGGATAACTTAGGACATTAGAAAAATCATTTCCTGGCCAGGTGTGGTGGCTCACGCCTGTAATCCCAGCACTTTGGGAGGCTGAGGTGGACAGATCACTTGAGGTCAGGAGTTTGAGATCAGCCTGGGCAACATAGACCACAAATACAAAAAATTACCCAGGCGTGGTGACGCACACCTGTAATCCCAGCTACTCGGGAAGCTGAGGCGTGAGAATCACTTGGGAGCAGAGGTTGCAGTGAGCCGAGATCACACCACTGTACCCCAGCTTGGGCAATAGAGCGAGAGACTGTCTCAAAAATAAAAAATCAAAAATAATTTCCTGGTTTGGTATTGCTTTACATTTTGAATTATATGAGAATACTATAGCATATAGTAGGGCCTCTAGAAAGGTCCACATCTCTGAGGCGGGCCTGGGGTTCTGCATTTTCAGTAACTCCCCAGTTGATTTCTTTCTTTCTTTTTTTTTTTTTTTTGAGACCTATTCTCAACTGTTGCCCAGGCTGGAGTGCAGTGGCACAATCATAGCTCCACTGCAGGCTCACTGCAGGCTCACTGCACCCTCAACCCCCTGGGCTCAAGTCATTCTCCCACCTTAGCCTCTTAAGTAGCTAGGACTACAGGCATGCGCCACCAAGACTGACTAATTTTTTTTTTTAATTTTTAATAGAGATGAGGTTTCGCTATGTTGCCCAGGCTGGTCTTGAACTCCTGGCTTCAAGCAATCCTCCTGCCTCAGCCTCCTGTGTAGCTTGGACTACAGGCTGGTACCACCATGCCTGGCTAATTAAAAAATTTTTTTGTAGAGACAGGGGTCTCACAATGTCACCCAGTTGGTCTTGAACTCCTGGACTCAGACGATGCTTGTACCTCAGTCTCCCAAAGTCCTGGGGTTACAGGCATGAGCTACTGTGCTGGTCACCATGTGATTCCTTTCTTCCCCCCATAAACGAGCTAACAAAGGAACCGGGTGATTCTTATGCATATCAACACTTTGGGCCCATGGCTTCAACTGCAGGAAACTTACAGTGGGGCTTCCCTGAGACTCCCAGGCCCCGCCCCCTGTGTTCTGCCCCAGCTGGGTAGGGTTCTCTGCTGGTGCACACGTGGCTTCCTGGGATTTCACTTCACTGCTCATCTATGTTCCATTTTTTCTGTTCTTGTTTTCTGGAACTTGCATTAGACAGGAGACCTCCTGGACTGATCCCCTAACTCCCCCTCGCCACATTTTCCATATCACCTTCTCTTGGTTTAAGTATTTGTAAGCATGTTTGTTAAAAATGTTTATTTTGAACTTTTCTAGTACAAATATATTACATCCTTATTACAGAAAATTTGGAAAACACAAAAAAGGAAAAGTCAGGCAAAACAAAGCCCAGGACCTCACTACCCAAGACTGCCACAGTGTCTTCTCATGTGTCTCTTTCATTCTAGTCTATTTCCTTTCCTTTTTAAATTTTTTTTTTTTTTAAATCAAAGACCTACATGCACATGGCTGAAAAATCAATGAATACCAAAAGGCTTATAAAGACAAACATGATGCTGAGTGCAGTGGCTCATGCCTGTAATCTCAGCACTTTGGGAGGCTGAGGGGGTGGATCGCCTGAGGTCAGGAGTTCGAGACCAGCCTGGCCAACATGGTAAAACCCCGTCTCTACTAAAAATACAAAAATTAGCCAGTGTGGTGGTGTATGCCTGTAATCCCAGCTACTCAGGAGGCTGAGGCAGGAGAATCGCTTGAACCCGGGAGGCGGAGTTTGCAGTGAGCCAAGATCATGCCATTGCACTCTAGCCTGGGCGACAAGAGCAAGACTTCATCTCAAATAAATAAATAAAAACATTAATCCCCTTTCCCATTTCTCTCTATTCTTCATTCTGCTTCCCAGAAGGCCCCTGTCTAGTGTTGTGGGAAGTCAGGGACCCCAAACGGAGGGACCAGCTGAAGCCATGGCAGAAGAACGTGGATTGTGAAGATTTCATGGACATTTATTAGTTCCCCAAATTAATACTTTTATAATTTCTTATGCCTGTCTTTACTGCAATCTCTGAACATAAATTGTGAAGACTTCATGGACACTTATCACTTCACCAATCAATAACCTTGTGATTTCCTGTGCCTGTCTTTACTTTACTCTCTTCATCCTGTCAGTTGAGGAGGATGTATGTCGCCTCAGGACCCTGTGATAATTGCATTAACTGCACAAATTGTAGAGCATGTGTGTTTGAACAATATGAAATCTGGGCACCTTGAAAAAAGAGCAGGATAACAGCAATGTTCAGGGAACAAGAGAGATAACCTTAAACTCTGACCACAGGTGAGCCGGGCGGAACAGAGCCGTATTTCTCTTCTTTCAAAAGCAAATGGGAGAAATATTGCTGAATTCTTTTTCTCAGAAAAGAACATCCCTGGGAAAGAGAATACGTGCCTGGGGGTGGGTTTATAGACAGCCCCCTTGGGTGTGGCCGTCTTCTATGGTCGAAACTGTAGGGGTGAAATAGACCCCAGTCTCCCATAGCACTCCCAGGCTTATTAGGAAGAGGAAATTCCCTGCCTAATAAATTTTGGTCAGACTGGTTGCTCTCAAAACCCTGTCTCCTGATAAGATGTTATCAATGACAATGGTGCCAGAAACTTCATTAGCAATTTTAATTTTGCCCTGGTCCTGTGGTCCTGTGATCTCGCCCTGCCTCCATTTGCCTTGTGATATTCTATTACCCTGTGAAGCACGTGATCTCTGTGACCCACACCTATTCGTACACTCCCTCCCCTTTTGAAAGTCCCTAATAAAAACTTGCTGGTTTTGCAGCTTGTGGGGCATCACGGAACCTACCAACATGTGATGTCTCCCCTGGACGCCCAGCTTTAAAATTTCTCTCTTTTGTACTCTGTCCATTTATTTCTCAAACTGGCCGACGCTTAGGGAAAATAGAAAAGAACCTATGTGACTATCAGGGCAGGTTCCCCGATAGTCTAGGATGCTGTG
This sequence comes from Homo sapiens, assembly GCF_000001405.40. NCBI lineage: Eukaryota > Metazoa > Chordata > Mammalia > Primates > Hominidae > Homo > Homo sapiens. Next base: position 61,951 of record NW_015495299.1, on the reverse strand, counting down.
GTTCTTTCTTCTGTATGTTGTCCATATTTCTAAATAATAAGCTTATATTATTATGTTCTTAGTTATCCATCTCGGGTGCAATCTTTTGGTTTCCTGTGGTACTTGAGGGCTCACCTCCCTCATACCACTCCCTTGTCCTCTCTGCCCTTCTCTCCCCACTGCATCCTTCCAACATGGTGATATCACAGCTGGGGGTTAAAGGATACTCAGGCCTCACTGTTGCCTGGCCAAATTGTACAATATTTTACTTTTCCTGCAGGCAATAATTATATCTTTTTTTTTAACTTTTGTAGTTTTCTATGGATCTACCACTACACAAGGATTTTTTGGTTCCTAAATACTTCAACAGATCTTTCCAACAAAATATCCTGTAATGGTTTTTCCAAATGCTCAGATCACACCGCCTCAGTCCCATGCTTCCCAGATGCCCAGGCCCCAACCCCTGTGTTCTGCTCCAGCTGGGCGGGGTTCTCTGCTGGTGCACATGTGGCTTCCTGGGATTTCACTTCATTGTTCATCTATGTTCCATTTTTCTCTGTTCTTGTTTTCTGGAACTTGCATTAGACAGGAGACCTCCTGGACTGATCCCCTAACTCCCCCTCCCCACATTTTCCATCTCACCTTCTCTTGGTACAACTTTCTGGAAGATTTTTTTTTTTATTAACATTTCTTCCTTGAGATATAATCCGGAAGATTTTGTCAGCCTTATCTGATAAGCATTCTATTGAATTTTTAAATTTCAGCTGCCACATTTTTACTTTGTAAGAGTTCTTTCTTTTACCCTGTTTGTTCTTATCTGAACTGCTCCCTCAGTGGCTTCCCACATCTGTCTCTCTATATAAACACACACACACATGTGTGTGTGTATATACATATATACATATATATGTGTGCATATATATGTTAATACCTTGTAGAAGTTTTAATCTGTTCCATCCATTGATTGTGTTTCTCCCTGTTCTTTTTTTTCTGATTGCTTTATTCATTTACTTATCAATCAAATATTTATTGAGTTCCTTTTATGTGCCAGGTATTGTTCTAGTTGTTGAGGATATAATAGTAAGATAAGGTTCTCTGTCTTTATGAAGGTTATAGTCTAGCTAGGGAAAATAATAAACAAATGAATTATATTATGGCTATGAATAAAAATTAGGCAGGCGAAAGTGTTTTTTTTTTTTTTTTTTTTGACCACTGTCAGGAAAGAAGGTGTTGTTTTCAATAAAGTGTTCAGAGAAGATGTCTCTGTCTGAGGCTTCTTTACTCTCATGTCTGCCACCTGGGCTGGGAGGACTCATGTGGCTTGGGCTTCCTCACAGCATGGCAGCTGGGATCTAAGAGGGAATGTTCTGAGAGCAAGGTTTCCACAGAACTAACTACAAGGCCTCTATGGGTTATAGAAGAGTCACTAAGGCTAACCCAGATTTAAGGGGAGGGGAATCAGACTGTCCTTTTTGATGGAAGAGTGGCAAAGTCACATTGCAGAAGAATGTAGGTGGGAGGAAGTATCTCAGATGTCTTTGAAAAATACAATGTGCCCCACATTGTAACACCCTCTATTCTGTTCAGCTGGTTGCTATTTCTCCACCCACTTTGTCTTCAAACATTTCTTGAAGTTCAATATCTCTGGGTGCTGCTTTTTTTGTTGTCCTTATGAGTGAATAGCCTTTTATTATCCGTTCACTGCCTAGTTGGGTTTGAAAAGAGGAAGGGGATAGATGCGTGTCACCAGTTGGCTATTTTTGAGTAGTAGTCCAGATGATCTACAGTGCAAGGTTGTTGAAAATTGGTATAAGAAAACGATGGCAGAGCTTAGGAATGGCTGAAGTAAAATATTTTCTCTTTTTACCTTTTTTCTGCTCTTGATTTATTTTGGAAGAAATAAAAGCACATGGAGGTTAGATAACTTTCCAAAACATCGCTCAGCTAGCTGCAGAGCTGAGACTGCATTTGCATTTCAACTTGTGTTTTACAAATTCTTTGGGATATACTGAAAGAAATCCAACAGAGCCCTATGTGATGGCTCAAGCCTGTAATCCCAGCTACTCGGGAGGCTGAGGGGAAATGATTGCTTGAGCCCAGGAGTTCAAGACCAGCTTGAATAACATAGGGAGACCCCATCTCTAAAAACAAAACAGAAAAGAAAACAATCCAACAAACAACAATTTAAAAAACAACTACCTAAAAAACAACAACCTATTCAGAGGTCAAAGGAATTTGGGAAGCTAAGTTAAGCAAAGTTAAACAACTTACTTTTTTTTTTTTTTGAGATGAGGTCTCACTCTGTTGCCCCGGCTAGAGTGTGGTGGCACAATCTTGGATCACTGCAATGTCTGCCTCCTGGATTCAAGCAATCCTCCCACCTCAGCCTCCTGAGTAGCTGGGACTAGAGGCACATGCCACCTCGCCTGGCTAATTTTTGTATTTTTAGTAGAGATGGGGTTTCACCATATTGCCCAGGCTAGTCTCAAACTCTGGGGCTCAAGTGATCCACCTGCCTCAGACTCCCAAAGTGCTGGGATTACAGGTGTGAGCCACCGCACCCAGCCAACAACTCTTTCTTTCCTTTTCCCTCCCTCCCTTCCTTCCTTTGTTTTTATTTCATAATTGTAAACTGAACTCTGCAATCCAGCTAGGCATGGAAGGGAATAAGGAAAACATAGACCCAAAGGGAACTGCAGCGAGAACACAAAGATTCTAGGATACTGCAAGTAAATGGGGTGGAGGGTGCTCTCCTGAGCTACAGAAGGAATGGTCTGGTAGTTTAGATAAAACAGAAGTCATACTTAGAGTTGTCCACAGTCAGCAGTGGTGATCTTCTTGCTGGTCCCGCCGTTCCTGGACCCAAAGCGCTCCATGGCCTCCACAATATCCATGTCTTCTTTCACCTTGCCAAAGACCACATGCTTGCCATCCAACCACTCATTCTTTTTTTTTTTTTTTTTTTTTTTTGAGAAAGAGCCTATCTCTGTCACCAGGCTGGAGTGCAGTGGTGTGATCTCACTTCACTGCAACCTCTGCCTCCCGGGCTCCCTCGCTGGGCTTCCCCTGCAGAGTCACGACTGCTCCCTGGGCCAGGCTTCCCTGGGGGCCCTCCGAGCTCAGCCAGCCAGGCTCTCAGGCCCGACACCTGCCTCGGCCAGGCCCCAACCCCAGGGGCAGGCGGCCCCTCCTGGCTTCTCCTGTAGGGTACCTTCTTATCCCCCATCCCCCCAGGAAATGGCGCTCCCTCAGCCATGTGGCACTTCTGGGCTCCTGACCTAGGCCATGGGGAGGTCTGGGGATTCTCCTGCCTCAGCCTCCCGAGTAGCTGGGACTACAGGCATGCGTCACCATGCCCGGCTAATTTTTCGTATTTTTAGTAGAGACGGGGTTTCGCCATGTTGGCCAGGCTGGTCTTGAACTCGTGATCTCAGGATCCTCCCGCCTTGGGCTCCCAAAGTGCTGGGATTATAGGCGTGAGCCACCGTGCCGGGCCACATACAACCATTCAGTCTTGGCAGTGTAGATGATAAATGGAACCATTTTTGTTGGGTCCAGCATTTGCCATGGACAGGATGCCAGGAACTCTATGCCTCAGGATGAAGTTTTCCTCATCAAATTTCTCCCCATAGATGGACTTGCCACCAGTGCCATTATGGCTTGTGAAGTTACCACCCTGACACATAAACCCTGGAATAATTCAGTGAGAAAAGGAACCCTTACAACCAAATCCTTTCTCTCCAGTGCTCAGGAGTGAAAGTTTTCTGCCGTCTTTGGAATCTTGTCTGCAAACAGCTCGAAGGGGATGTGGCCCAAGGGCTTGCCGTTGACAATGATGTTGAAACACACGATGGGGTTGATCATGGCTGGTAGTATGGGGCTCCTGGTGGCGGCAGCAGTGTCTGCAAAGCACAACTTTTTTTTACTCAGACTTTTTGGAGGCCTTTTTTTTTTGAGATAGGGTCTTGCTTAGTTGCTCAGGCTGGAGTGCAAGGGCAGCGTGACCATGGCTCATTGCAGCTTCAACCTCCTAGGCACAAGTGATTCTCCCACCTCAGCCTCTTGAGTCGCTGGGACTACAAGCATGTGCCAGCTAATTTTTGTATTTTTTGTAGAGACGGGCGTCTGTCTGTGTTACCCAGGCTGGTCTCAAACTCCTGGACTCAAGTGATCCACCTGCTTTGGACTCCCAAAGTGCTGGGATTACAGGTGTGCATGGCCTTCTGAGGCTTCAGTGTGCTAGGAAAGCAGGGTTTGAGTTTCCAAGCTCACGTGACTGCTTTTGCGGGGTGTCTCATTTAGACTACAAGTGGCTCTCAGAGTGTCCCGGTCACACTTCCCTTTCCCATCTTGTAATTATATCACCAACAGAGATCTGCATAGCATGGATAGATGGTCAGTGCTTTCATAGGATCAAAAGAGTCTGCATACTTAGTAACTGATGTTTTCATGTACCCCTGTTTAGTAAACAGATGGGCTCATTTAGGCAAGCAATTTAAGAGCTTTTCATTCATGCCTGGAGGGCCAAAGAAAGGAGGTTCTTCAACATTGGATTTGTTTTTTTCAGCATTCTAACATCCACTGCTTATTGGTAGCCGACTTGAGAAAGTTTCGCTATTGATGACTACAGTTTAGGAAACATCTATTTTCAATCTTTTGCGCCTTCAGGGCCATTTCACTTTTGGCCACCAGATGGCAGAGCACGGTCGTGCTTCGTGCTTGGGTTTTCTCTGTGGTGGGTTTATGTTGCGCGCTGACACAGGAGTAGCCGAAGCCTTGAGCCTCTGAGCAACAGCTGTGTTCTTGGAACACGTAGGACATTGGATTCTATCTTGTTTTAATGATTCCTGGACTTATTTCTTACTATGTCAGTTCTTAGGACAGTATAACTGAGCCAGAAACAGGACTTTTATAAAAAGTGCTTCATTTTTCCTGAATGAGTTGTCGGCTCCTGCTACTGACTTGCTGACATTTGCTGTTTGGAGGTCAGTTTTCTGATTGCATAACAAGTAAATTTTTTTTTTTTTTTAGTTGGAAAGAGTAAGTGAAGAAATTTGTCAGATTTTATGTTTGGGTACAGGGTCTCATTCTGTTGCCCAGGCAGTGGCGTGATCATAGCTCATTGTAATCTCAACCTCCTGTTCTCAAACATGATCCTCCCAAGTAGCTGGGACTGCAGACGTGCACCACCACTGCTGGCTAATTTTTGAAAAATTAAAACTCCTTCCATTCAGATTGCTCGCTTTGACACTGTGCAAAGCCCTAAAGGGCCTGACAACACCTCTATGTTTTAAATTCGGATCTCAAGAACAAGGATGTGATTAAAGATCTGTATGGATGCGGGATGATTTCTGCTTTTCTAGTCCAAGGCAAGATCCTCTTTTGCGAAGGAGGTGAGGATGAAGATACAAGTAAGATTCAGGAGAGATAGGGCCCCGAGGGAAGGAAGAGGGGCCAGGACAGCAAACAGTAATCTCCCCTGGGTGGTTTGGCTGGGGAACTTCTTATTATGGACCTACGAGGAGGCACGCAGTTCTGAAGAGGCCTGACCCCCACCCCCCCAAGCTTTTTTTTGAGGTAGGGTTGCACTCTGTCACCCAGGCTGGAGTGCAGTGGCATGAACATGGCTCAACCCAGCCTCAACCTTCTGGGCTCAGGTGATCCTCCCACCTCAGCCTCCTGAGTAGCTGGGACCACAGACGTGAACCACCACGCCCAGCTAATTTTTCTATTTTTTTGTAGAGATAGGGTTTTGCCATGTTGCCAAGGCTGGTCTGGAACTCCTGGGCTTAAGCAATCCTCCCACTCCAGCCTCCCAAAGTGCTGGGATTACAGGCGTGAGCCACTGTGCCTGGCCTCTAAAACCCTTTGAAATGAAGAAAATTTAAATAGTAGTATGTTTGCAGCTGGTTTGGCAGACATTCTCCTCAAACTGGTTCTTGAGGATTGGAAATGGGAAGACAAATGAAGGAAGAACAGATCTTCATTTCTTCTCACCATCCTTCTATCCCTGTGCCCAGCACTGAGATTTGGGTGAAGACTGTCCTCTTTTTCTCTCTACCCACATGTGGAAATTCTAGCACACTGCGGTTCATTAGGTGCTCTGTGATAGCGGCTGGAAGGTGAGATGAGTGCTTGTTCACCACCTCCTGCCATGTCCTCTCTTAACATCTAAAGAACAGCCCGTGGGGAGGAATCGGCATGTAAGAAGTCCTGGCTTGGGCTCCAGCAGGCATGCCACTGAGCATGTTATTCTAGGAAAGAACAGGGCGGCCAGGGCTGTCCATGGTGTGATGGTCTGTGTCAGTGTGGTTTGAGTCTGGGGCATGTTCCCAGCATCTGCCCCTTCCAGCTCCCAGAAGTGGCCCTTCCCTGCCAGGATGGTGCTCGGAGGGGCCGCTGCCACCTCCTGCACCAAACCTGCCCTCAGCTTGTCTTTAGCTTCCCCATCTCACTGGGAGGGCCCCGGAGTTCACTGTATTGTCTGCCCTTGAGTCTTCAAGTTTCCATCCCCCTGGGGGCAACGAAGAAGCCACATCCTGTAACTTAGGGGCTGTGCCTGTGTTCTCACTGGGAACACAGCCATCCCCACTGCAGTCAGGGGCCAAGGGCGCATGAGAGCATCTTGTTTAGTATGAGCCCTGGGGTGAGATGTTGGAAGGATGGACGAGATGCCCTTTCCCAAGGTCTTTTCCTTTCCTATCATTCTAAATTTCCGCTGTGTTTTGAGACCCTTGAATTGTAGAGGCCACAAAAGTGAAAAACATGACAATTATTTATTGTCACTATTGCCATCTGTCTGATTCTCTGCTGGCACCCAAGGCCGCTCATCAATCTCTATGAACATCAAACAGATTACCACTGTTTAAGACAAAAGAAACGCTTTCATGAAAGATTATAAAAAGATGCAACTGGTGGGAGCCACCTCACTGGGACCCCACACCCTCAAGGGGACTGGCATAAAGCAAGCTGTCCCCAAAAGCACATCGGGGTGAGTGTTGAGCTCGAACATGGCTCCCGGGAAAGATGGGGTTTTTCTTTTCCCCGGCGTTTGTCTTTGTGTAGACATACCCACTTTGCTTCCTGACACCTTGTCTGGTCCTGCAAGATACCTTGGTTATACTTCTCCCAACATCAGAGAATTTTTAAAAGCTTAGTTGAAAGAATCATAATAAAAATCTATAAGCGCTGGGCTTTTATGTATTTCACTTTTATTGAATTCCTTCTAGTATAAAAGTAGCCTATTTTGTAGTATTCAGTGTAACGCCTATCTGCAGATAGAATACACTGAGTGGGGGCTGAGAGGCAGAGGCTGGTAGGAAGAGAATGGGCCAAGCTGGTTGGGGGTGGTGGCATCATCACATTCCAAGTCAAGGCCACTCCCAAATCTCTCATTTCCTTCTTTGCTTCCTTTTTGTGTTTATGTTTGTCTTTCTTTTTTTTTTTTTTTCCTTTAGAGACAGAGTCTCGCTCTGTCACCCAGGCTGGAGTGCAGTGGCACGATCTCGGCTCACTGCAATCTCCACTTCCCAGGTTCAAGCAATTCTCCTGCCTCAGCCTCCCAAGTAGCTGGGACTATAGGCACACGCCACCACGCCCATCTAATTTTTGTGTTTTTAGTAGAGATGGGGTTTCACCATATTGGTCAGGCTGGTCTTGAACTCTTGACCTTGTGATCTGCCCGCCTTGGCCACCCAAAGTGCTGGGATTACAGGCATGAGCCACCATGCCTGGCCGCGTTTATGTTTTTCTATAGGTTGGGTGATTTTCTAATCTAGCTGAAGGATGTCTCCTACATTTCATTTTTTTTTTTTTTGGCGTCACCTTGGGTTAATGATCAAGTAAATGACAAGAAAAGAGCACAGAACTAACAGCATCAAAACAGCTTTGTTTGGTGCTTTTGGATAAAACCCTCATTTCTTCCTAGTTTTATTCAGAAATCCAGGTGTGGAATCAAATTGTGCATGCATGTCAGCTCATAGCCTATTTTCAGTGTAACTTCCTGTGCTGTCTCAACGGGAAGAGATTTCACAGTAGTTGCTTCATCTCCCAGTCCAGCTTCCTCGTGTCTCTCAAATTCCTCTTCTCCAGCACTTTATCTACTATTGGTATAGCTGTGTTACCTTGGGTGCTGGGAGGTGCTTCACCGTGTCACTCAGGGTGAGTGACAAGCGTGGCAGCCTTGGCTGTGGGTGTCTGTGAGTCACTCTGCAGGCTGGATGTAGAGTGCGACATCCACTCCCTCACATCCACTCCCGCCAGGCCAGGCATGGGCCTCATCCTGCCACAGAGGGCAGGAGCATGTGATGAGGCTGGGGATGGGCGGGTCACCCTGCCCCACCTTCAGGACCAGGACCCACAGGACACCTAAGCACCCAGCGCTGAGTCTGCTGACCATATTTTCTCTTCTTTCCCATGGCTGGGCTTCTGCCTGAGAGTTCTCCCCAGCTTGCATGTCTGCATTTGGGGAACCCGCTCTCCTAGAATGTGACGTGCAGTCACGAAAGCTGGTGGGTAGACAGGGGCTAGCCCAGCACCTGGCAGAGGGGAAGAATGCAGCACAAAAATGCCAGCCCATGATTTCTGGCCCTAACAGCCTGCCCTCTGTGGTGTTTGTGTGTGTGTGTGTGTGTGTGTGTGTGGTGTTTTTTTTGTTTGTTTTGTTTTGAGACAGAGTCTCACTCTGTCGCCCAGGTTGGAATGCAGTGGCGTGATCTCAGCTCACTGCAGCCTCCGCCTCCCAGGTTCAAGCGATTCTCCTGCCTCAGCCTCCTGAGCAGTTGGGACTACAGGCATGCATCACCATGCCTGGCTAATTTTTGTATTTTTAGTAGAGACATGGTTTCATCATGTTGGCCAGGCTGGTCTTGAACTCCTGGCCTCAAGTGATCCACCTGCCTCGGCCTCCCAAAGTGCTGGGATTACAGGTTTGAGCCACCATGCCTGGCCGACCAGAACTGTTTTACAGATGGAGAAATGGAGATAGGGTATTTCTTGAGGTCCTAGGGTTTGCCAATCGTTAACGCAGGGCCTAGGCTTGCCTTAGGCTCACACTTGTGGGGACTCGGGATGGTGCCATGAAGTACATCTTTCCCAGCAACAAAACTGCATATGCTTGGCTATTCTCGGGCAAGGGTTTGTTTGCCCTTTGCCACCCAGGGCCACTTCTGGGCTGACTCTGAGCTCCTCTTGCAGAAACGGCTGGCTGGTTTTGACAACTGGTATCTGCTGCCTGCTTTTACCTGTCACTGGTAAGGTGAGCCCAGATGTCGAGGGATGGGATTGCAAAGCTGAGCTCAAAGGCATCAATGTGCTCACCTTTGCAGGGTTGGATGCCGTTTTTCACTCCCAGAATGACGTGTGTCAAGTGTGTCAAACCGTCTCTCTGGGACCTCTCTAAATTTGTTATTTTGGTACAACCTGAAAAAGTACGTTTCTTCTGCATTACTTCATTATCATTTAGGAAATTGCCTGTTCTCAATTATCCTGACAACTCAGGAGCTCATAGTCCTAGATTTTCTGTTTAAATCTCCATCTAGGGTTTTGAAAACATTTTAAATTCTTCAGGATGTCTGTACAATTGCCCTTTGTCTTTTTCTTTCCCTGCACCTTGTAACTTTTCAGGATGTGGTGTTATCTTTCTCATGAGAACTGGAATTTACTGCAAAGAGGCTCTGTTGGTTACTTCATTTTGCCTAAGCCTAAGCCCCAGCCCTCTTCAGAGGAAAAGACTATACAGTGAATGGTGGAAAGGAAAGGGAAAACCCAGGGAGCATTACTTTCTGGCTAGCTCTTTTTATTTTTATTTTTTTGAGACAGAGTCTCACTCTGTCACCCAGGCTGGAGTGCAGTGGTGCGATCTCAGCTCCCTGCAACTTCCGCCTCCTGGGTTCAAGTGATTCTCCTGCCTCAGCCTCCTGAGTAGCTGGAATTACAGAGGTGCGCCACCACGCCCAACTAATTTTTGTGTTTTTAGTAGAGACGGGGTTTCACCATGTTGGCCAGGCTGGTCTTGAACTCCTGGCCTTAAGTGATCCACCTGCCTCGGCCTCTCAAAGTGCTGGGATTACAGGCATGAGCCACTGTGTTTGGCCCTGGGTAGCTCTTTTTTTAAAAGTCTTGATTTGACTTGATTGAACACTATAGATTTAAAATCTCCCTCCTCCCAAATGTGTCAAAAATATTGCTTAAAATACTATTTAACTAGGGTTAAAAAACTCTTTTTTTTTGGAGACGGAGTATTGCTCTTTAGCCCAGGCTGGAGTGCAGTGGCATGATCTCGGCTTGCTGCAACCTCCGCTTCCCAGGTCCTGGGTTCAAGCAATTCTCCTGCCTCAGCCTCCTGAGTAGCTGGGATTACAGGTGTGCGCCACCATGCCCAGCTAATTTTTGTATTTTTAGTAGAGACAGAGTTTCACTATTGTTGGCTAGTCTGGTCTTGAACTCCTGACCTTGTGATCCACCCACCGTGGCCTCCCAAAGTGCTGAGATTACAGGTGTGAGCCACAGTGCCCAGTCAAAACTTTGAAACTATTTCATCAGTAGGATGAAATGATACATTAAATATTATATTGAGACAGTCATCACAGAATCTGGCAAGAGTATTAGATTTTCCAGTGCTCCTCAGAGAGCTGCTACAGAGAGGTGGTGTCATCTGAGCACTATCTGGGCTGGCATGGATGAGTAGGATGGCTCCAGTTCTTCACTCATACTTGCGTCGCACGTGTGATGCGTGACTTTATAGCCCTCCCATCTGATTCTGAGCTCAGACGTATGAACTGGCTTTGGCCAATAAGATGTTAACAAATGGGACACACCCAGCTACTTGAAAAGGACTTTCTCTCTTGCTCCTCTGCCACCACCATGAGAAGAACAAGGCTAGGCCAGAGGAGAGAGGTGTGGGCCACAGAGCTAAGCTGCCCCAGCTGAGCCAGTCCAGATGAGCTCGGCCCTGGTTGGACCCCAAATGCATAAGGGAGTCCAGATGAGATCAGTGAACCTTATAGGTATGGGAGAAATGAATGTTAGCCTAGGCAATGTAGTGAGACCTTATTTCTACAAAAAATTTAAAAAATTAGCCAAGCCTGGTGGCATGAACCTGTAATTCCAGCTGCTTGGGAGGCTGAGGTGGGAGGATTCTTTGAGCCCGGGGAGGCAGGGTTTGCAGTGAGCCAAGGTTGTACCACTGTCCTCCAGCCTGGGTGACAGAGTGAGACCCTGTCTCAAAAAAAAAAAAAAAAAAAAAAGTTTGCTATTATTTGGCACTGAGGCTTTGTGACTGGTTATTTTATGGCACATGATTGTGTTATGGACTAAATGCTGTATCCCTCCCAAAATTCATATGGTGAAGTCTGTACTAGTTCATTTTCACAGTGCTGATAAGGACATACCTGACACTAGGGAATTTATAAAAGAAGTTTAATGGACTCATAGTTCCACGTGGTTGGGGAGGCCCCACAATCATGGTGGAAGGTGAAAGGCACATCTCACATGGCGGCAGACAAGAGAAGAGAGCTTGTGCAGAAAAACTCCCCATTATAAAACCATCGGATCTCGTGAGAATTATTCACTGTCATGAGAACAGCACAGGAAAGACCTGCCCCCATGATTCAATTACCTCCCATTGGGTCCCTTCCACAACATGTGGGAATTCAAGATGAGATTTGGTTGGGGATATAGCCAAACCATATGAAAGTCCTAACCCCTAATGTGATGGTATTTGGAGATGGGGCCTTTGGGGACAATTAGGGTTAGAAGAGGTCAGGAGGGGAGTGCCCCCTGGTCTGAGGGGATTAGTGTCTTTTTAAGAAGAGACACCAGAGAGCTCAGTCTCTCTTACTTGCATTCTCTAACATCAGTAGGGGCCATGTGAGGACACAGGGAGAAGGAAGCGCTGTCTGCAAGCCAGGAAGAGGGTCTGCACCAGAAACTGACCATGCTCACCTTGGATGTGCAGACTCCAGAAGTGTGAAAAATACATGTCTATTGTTTTTTGCCCCCTAGCCTGTGGTGTTTTGTGACGGCAGCTGAGCAGACCAACACAGGTGGCAACAGCAAGCTCACACGGTGGCAGAGGGAAGACTGGGTCCTGGGCAACTTCCTGGAGTCTGAAGCTCTTTCCATACTTAGTTAGGCACACCCTCGAACCTTGTTCTAAATGCATGTGTGAGTGTCAGAAACCACTCTCTTCCCTTTTCCTTCCAATTTCTGTGATATAACTTATTAATAAATTGTTTTAGGCAGATAGAGAGGAAAAGGGGTCCTTGGGAAGTTTTCTTTTTTCTCTTTTCTTTTTTTTTTTTGAGACGGAGTCTCACTCTGTCGCCCAGGCTGGAGTGCAGTGCCGCAATCTTGGCTCACTGCAAGCTCCTCCTCCCGGGTTCACGCCATTCTCCTGCCTCAGCCTCCCGAGTAGCTGGGACTACAGGCGCCCGCCGCGACGCCCGGCTAATTTTTTGTATTTTTAGTAGAGACGGGGTTTCACCGTGTTAGCCAGGATGGTCTCGATCTCCTGACCTCGTGATCTGCCCGCCTCGGCCTCCCAAAGTGCTGGGATTACAGGCGTGAGCCACCGCACCCGGCCAAAGTTTTCATTATTTAAAGCATCTCTGGAAAAGTTTCCTGTAAAGCCCCAGCTCTTAGAGCTATGCAAGCGCCGGCCATTAGAAACTGGGTCCGCCCAACATGGCGATTCCCACCCTCTTCTTTTTGCCATTGCCCCACATGTGCCTGGCAACATGGCCATATCCCCACGTGTGTAGAACATCATAGTGCCCTGCATTTGCATATTAAAAGGCTAGGGTGGGAGGGCCAGCTTTTTCATGGGCTACGTGAATGACATGCCTAGTCAAACCAATCCCCTGAGACACTGCTTCCTCCAGCCTCTGTATATATACCTGGTTGGTATAGGTGGAAGGTGGGGTTCCCTCTCTTGGCTTTGGGCCCCCACCCCTCGTCTCTGTACGGGGAGCTGCTTCCTTCTGCCTTCTCTGTTCTTTCTTGTGTATTAAACTCTCTGCTCCTTAAAGCTGTTACCAGGGGGTCCTTGCTCCCAGAGCTCCCAAGACGGCGGTGGGCGCTTCCAAGATGGTGGCAAGCCTTATGTTCTCTGATCCGGGGTTCTTGGCCTCACGGATGCCAAGGAATGGAATCTTGGTCCATGCGATGAGTGTTACAGCTCTATTAGAAGCCGTGGGTCATGGAAGAGAACCATGGAACCCAGTGACTAGTGTTCAGCTCGATTAGGATGAACCCAGGCACTTAGCCGTGCAGGAACAATGGCAAGCCTTTAGCGCGATCGGGAGCGGCAATGGGCGCCTCGCTGGATCAGGAGAACAGCGGACACCCTGCTGGATCCGGAGGGATGGAAGTCAGCGGGGTTCTGCGGTGGTGGCAAATAGCAGTGGTGGACGGTGAGCCAAAGCTCAGCTCTAGCTGTAGCAAACACGGACCAGAAGAGAGTGCAGTTGCAAGATTTAATAGAGTGAAAACAGAGCTCCCATACAAAGGGAGGGGACCCAAAGAGGGTAGCCGTTGCTGGCTCGAATGCCTGAGTTTATATCCTGATCATTCTCCCTCCCGCTGTGCTCTCAGGTGATGGATGATTGGCTATTTCTTTACCTCCTGTTTTTGCCTAATTAGCATTTTAGTGAGCTGTCTTTACTATCTGATTGGCTGGGTGTGAGCTAAGTTGCAAGCCCCGTGTTTAAAGGTGGAAGCCGTCACCTTCACAGCTAGGCTTAGGGATTCTTAGTCGGCCTAGGAAATCCAGCTAGTCCTGTCTCTCAAAACCACTCCACGTGTGTCTGTGTCATTTTATCTAATTCGACTGGAGACTAAGAACCTGGTGTTCCTCCACTCATTGGAGCTGCGTCAGTTCTTCATTTGGTGCCCTCTCCTTGCCCACGGGCTCCAGGCTGAGGCTGGGCTCTCAGACACCGACCTGCCATCTGTATGCTGGGCCCGCGCTCTCTGCACAGACGGAGGCCAGGCTTCCGACCTTCTGATCATCTCCTCATTGCCAAGCATAACAAACCCTCCCAGGCTGCCGCACTTCTCCTTTTCAACTCCGAACTGTCTTTTCTTTCCTTTGTCCATTTCAAATGACAACCTGATAGAAAAAGGAAGAGTTGGAGATGTAGTCAGGGTACTTTCTGATTTCATTCTCTAATAAGTAGATATAATTTTTTGGGTAATTCCTACTTAAATAGAACTAAAACTGATGTTGGAGAATGGAAATAATTTGATAGAAACAGGTAAAAATGGTCAGAACAAAGGCCTCCCTGAGTAGCTAATTTTAAGCTTTGGGCATCACATTATAATTAGTGTTTACTTAGGGTTCATAAAAAGGAAAGAGAGGATTTGATCCCTGTCTGAGTTCCAATAAAGAGGTCCCCTCTATAGCCAAGAAGTGTATTAACCCTAGTTAGAACCCATGTGAAAAAATTGAATTCCATATTGTACTATTAAGATTGTACATATTGTCAGGCCTCTGAGCCCAAGCTAAGCCATCATATCCCCTGTGACCTGCACGTACACATCCAGATGGCCTGAAGCAACTGAAGCTCCACAAAAGAAGTGAAAATAGCCTTAACTGATGACATTCCACCATTGTGATTTGTTTCTGCCCCACCCTAACTGATCAATGTACTTTGTGATCTCCCCCACCCTTAAGAAGGTTCTTTATAATCTCCCCCACCCTTAAGAAGGTTCTTTGCAATTCTCCCCACCCTTGAGAATGTACTTTGTGAGATCCACCCCCTGCCCACAAAACATTGCTCCTAACTCCACCGCCTATCCCAAAACCTATAAGAACTAATGATAATCCCACCACCCTTTGCTGACTCTCTTTTCGGACTCAGCCTGCCTGCACCCAGGTGAAATAAACAGCCTTGTTGCTCACACAAAGCCTGTTTGGTGGTCTCTTCACACGGATGCACGTGGCACATATAAAGGTTTACAATTAGGAAACTGTATAATCATATTTGTTTCATTATCTAATATTTATTAAATGATATATATTTTAAACATTAAAATGTAGTAAGTGGAATTAAAGAGTAAAGGAACTTAATCTTATGCCCAGGGACTTAAGGGCCACTTGAGGTTTTGCTTCTGAGGGTGCAGCTGGGAGGTGAGGATGGTCAATGTGAGATACCAGAAAAGAAAAGTGGAAGATCAAAAGCTTGTTAGTGTTATTTGTTGAAGGTATTTATCCCACTCTCTCCCCAAAAGGATTTAAGACTGCTTATTTAGTATTCTCTTTGGAGTTGGCATAAAAAATGGTGACCAAGAAGCAGCAAATTGTTGGAAATAAAGGTGAGGGTTGGAAGCCATGTTGGTGGGGCAGGGCAGATTTGGTACTTCTGGATGACCTTGAAAACCATTCTGTGCTATTCAGACTCTCAGATGAAAGAGCTTTCATCCACCCCATTCCTTTAATCCCCTTCACCGCCCATCATGAAGGGGTGGAATCTTCCCTGGGACAGGGTGAGGAGGGGTTTCCTAGAAGCATCAGAATAATGTCAACAGAAAACTCTTTCATGCATTCAGTCCACTTGAGTAAGAACTGCTGGGCCCCACCATTGATGAACCTGACCTTAGACACAGTGATAGGGCAACAGCTGTTCAAGCAGGAGTATCTAAGCCTGTCCATGAAATTTGTGTATCTCTTCAAACATGAGAAATAATACAATGATTTAGTCACACAGGGAATCCATTAGGCTTGGCAATTTGATTTCAACTTTCTTAAGATCTTTTCTTGAGGAGTTGGGGGCAGGGATGTCTTTATAGTTAGCATAATAGATCTGATTAGATTCCCCAGGCATTCCTGGCTTGTTCTTTGGGCGATTTTAAGAATATGATTTTTTTTTTTTTAACGTCAGTCTTGTCTGAAAAGAAAATAGGTTATGAGCTCCGATCACTTACCCTTTCAGATTAACATTGAAATGCTAGAGGTTGGAGTTCTGTCAAATGGGGCAGCAGAAAATATGGTTATCTCCAAACAGGGGAAGTGCAGATTAACAAATTTCATATCCAATAATATTTATTGAGTGTTTGCTTTGTTAAACTGAAAATTCTCCATTCTGAGTCAGTGAGTGTTCAAAGCTTCACAGAATAAATCTGTATTAAATGAAAAATAAATCAGTTGTCACGGTCGTATAGCCCAGAAAATTTACAGCTGAAGTAAGACAGAGAAAAGTGACCCCCGCCTTCCTCTTTCCCTCCGGCCCCCAGCATCCCTTCACACCGATCGGCAAGTGGCCTGGGCACACACAAGTCAGCTCAGGATTATTTCGGCTCTTGTGAAAAAGGCAGGAATGAGCTCACCATTAACTTTGTTTCATTGTATCAGCAGCAGTTCCGATGCAGAGCGTTAGAACTGGAAGCTCTGTGACTTCATCCAGCCATTGCCTGGGCTAGCTGTGCTGCCTTTCTTTCGAAAATCTTTTAGTAACACAAGAAAATCAGATGATTGTATTTATTTTTCAGGTGATTTAATTAATTCCATTTAAAGCTTAAAAGAAGAGGTCTTGGAGAATTTTTGGCAGCGCTACTCTCATCCACATTTCAAAGGGAAAAAAAAGATTATTTCCTATTCTAGAGTTTAGGCTTGGGGGGGGCCTTTTATTTTAACAGCCAAAACATTGTCTTACTGAAGAATGAAAGAATTTTGCTACCACCAGTCACAAGATGTGGGGAGTAAGACACCAGCTTAGGGACTGGACACTCTACCTGTGACCAGGAGTGATCCCACAGGCAAATTCACTTTTCTCCCATCTTCCCAACTAGAGCTTTTGGGGTTTGGCTCTCTGAGGTTCCTTCTAGCTTTACTGTTATATAGTGGCCCTGTGTCTGCATTCAGTAGCTGAACTAGCAATTAATTCTAGAAGGAAGTTGGAGACAGTGCAAGCTCTTTTTTTTTTTTTTTTTTTTTTTTTTTTTGAGACAGAGTCTTACTCTGTCACCCAGACTGGAGTGCAGTGGTGTGATATCTTGGCTCACTGCAACCTCTGCCTCCCGGGTTCAAGCAATTCTCCTGCTTCAGCTTCCCAAGTGGCTGGGATTATAGGTGTGTGCCACCACACCCAGCTAATTTTTGTATTTTTAGTAGAGAGGATGGGGTTTTGCCATGTTGGCTAGGCTGGTCTCGAACTCCTGGCCTCAAGCTATCCACCCGCCGTGGCCTCCCAAAGTGCTGGGATTACAGGCATGAGCCACCTCTCCCAGCCACCAGTGCAAGCTTCTGATGGGGAACTGAGTTCTGCATAAGCCTCAGTGCCCCAGGTGCTTTCCTCCCTGGGTGCAGGTGCCCTCCTAGGGGTGTATCTAGAAGAATGTTCCAACCTCATAGGACCTGAGGGCTTTGTCTAGGAGACAATGCTTCCCTTTTGAGACTCGTGAGTCCCTCAAAACTTCACTAATTTGAAGTAATGGTGTAATCTTTGGACTAGAAAAATTGGGCCTAAGAATGTTAATGCTCATCCTGTCTTCATGGCTGTGTGTTTTAAAACCAAATCAATAGTGGAACAAGAATTTTCAAGCCCAGTGGGGGGGTTTTGGGAAAAAAACAAATTTCTTTTTTTTTTTCCGCTTTATTTGCCACAGTGAGATAGCCTAACTGCTAGTAACATACTCATCCAAAGAAAGGCCTTAAGCTCTAAACCTCACCTCTGGTAGAGACAGAGCTCATCAAATTCCTGTTTGGCATTAGCATATACAGTACAGTGGAAGTGCTCTTATTTTTACTTTTTTATTTTTGGAGATTGAGTTTCGCTCTTGTCGCCCAGGCTAGAGTACAATGGCACAACTTTGGCTCACCGCAGCCTCCACCTCCTGGGTTCCAGCGATTCTCCTGCCTCAGCCTCCTGAGTAGCTGGGACTACAGGCGCCCGCCACCATGCCTGGCTAATTTTTGTATTTTTAGTGGAGACACTATTTCACCACATTGGCCAGGCTGGTCTCGAACTCCTGACCTCAGGTGATCTGCCCACCTCGGCCTCCTAAAGTGCTGGGATTACAGACGTGAACCACTGTGCCTGGCTTCTTTTTTTTTTTTTATAGATAAGAGTGACTAGCAGTTAGTTAATCAAAAAAGCTGATTGCAGTATGGAAAACATAAAAAAGATTACATACATGCCATAAACATTTGTGGTAACTTAAACTATATATCAATTTCATGGATGCTAAGACACACTTAAAAAAAAATATATATATATATATATATAAACATCTCTGAAATTGACATTGTTTTGTAATCACAGACAAATTCAAGATGTGGTTGTCATTGCCAGCCTTCGACCTGTTAGTTAGCTCTTCCTGGTGGCACAACTGGTCAACTGCAACTCCTCAATGTTTTAGCCTCCAACCATTAAAGGACTCTTTGAGGAAGGAATATGAGTCCTGACTGTTGTTGGAAAACATTCCCTTGACACCTTCCAGCAAGATCAAGAACATGACAGCATTAAAACATGCTGAATGGGTTTCCAAGGGGCTACAGAGAATTCTTAGAAACAATTGTGGAGTGCTCTTTGAAGAAATGCTGCATTGCTATCACCCTCGATGGCTCAGGGGAGGATATCAAGTTGAAAGGCCTCTGTGACTCCAGAAGGAAAATGATGTATGGTAGGGTTGGGGAGAATTTTTCCTCCCTCTATGAATTTTCCCTCCCCTGCTGAAATGAGCTGATGATAGATTAACAGGAGGAAAGGTATCCAAATTTATTCACATGTGTAGGAATGGGAATCATAAAAACTAGGAGACTCAAAGAAAGGCCAAACAGCTGAAGCCTAAATAGCACCCTCTTCATAGAGGAGTGGGAGATAGGGTAATGGAGGCGATTTTGACTGGTAATAAATGATCTTCAGCTCCCAGACAGTGGCCTGAGACAAAATTCTTCTGAGCTCTGGGGGAGGTGGTGACAAATTATGGGAAGGTGAGGGGCAACACTTCACTGTTAACAAAGGTTGTCTTGTTATGGAGAGAGTTTCACAGGTAATATCTGGGAGCTGCCCTCAGAAGAATAGAGGAAAAGTCTATCTGGGCCTGGCGATGACTTTTAGTCTTTTCTCTTCTCTGCTGTTTCCTGGTTATTTGATGAGATTCCTAGGAACAGGTTTTAAGACAATTGCATTTCTTCTGAAAGAAGTTTCCTCAGTCAGATAAGGACATTCCAGAGAGAGCCCCTCCTTATGCTAGGGAAGAGGGGTGTGGCAAGAAACAAGAGAAGTTTAGAAAGTGTGTAACATATATGTATGTATGTATATATATGTTACATACTGATTTATCACAAAAATCTATATTTTCTTTGTCTAAAACAATTCTTCCGAGAAGTATAAAATAAAAATTTTAAGTGATAAGAAATCTTTGATTATCATTTTGGCTGCAGTTATTCCTTCTTGGTGGCATGCATAAAATAATGTACATTTTAAAATCAATGGTTTCTCAGATTTGATGAAATACGGTAAGCATTTTTTTCTCCAATCTTTTGATGCAGGAGCAATTTTCTTTGAACACTGGTTGGCATTCCCCTTTGTCTTTCTTGCTTCTTCTATAATTTGCACGTGCAATTTCTTTAAAGTGAAGTAAGAACTTAAAGATGGCAAACAAGAGCAGATTTCAGAAATACTTGGGAGGTAAGATTGGCAGACTTATCTATTAATTGGATGTGTCAGGTGAAAGAGGGAAGGAAATATGGATGGCTCCCAGGCTTCCGATCACAAGGGTTGGCAAACTATAAACCCAGGGCCAACTCTGGGTAACTAACTTATCTTAGTCCATTCAGGCTGCTGTAAAAAAAGACCACAGACTGGGTGGTTTATAAACAACAGAACTTTATTTCTCATAGTTCTGGATGCTGGGAAGTCTGAGATGAAGACACCCATAGATTTGGTTCCTGGTAAAGGCCTGCTTCCTGTTTCATAGACTGTGCGTTCTTGCTGTGTCCTCATATGATAGAAGGGATGAGGGATCTCTTTTAATAGGGACACTAATCCAACCCTCATGACCCAATCACCCCCCAAAGGCCCTACCTCCTAACACCTTCACCTTGGGGGTTAGGATTTCAACATAGGAATTTTGGGAGGACATAAACATTCAGCCCATCTCACACCTGCTTTTGTAAATGAAATTTTATTGGATCACTACTACACCATTCGTTTATGTATTGTCTATCATTGCTTTCACACTACTGTTAGCAGAAAGGGGTCCCAATCCAAACCCCAAGAGAGGGTTTTTGGATCTTGCCCAAGAAAGAATTCAAGGTGAGTCCACAGAGTAAAGTGAAAGCAAGTTTATTAGAGAAGTAAAGAAACTAAAGATTTGCTCATGCCTGTAATCCCAGCACTTTGGGAAGCTGAGGCGGGTGGATCACTTGAGCTCAGGAGTTCGAGACCAGCCTAAGCAACAAGGGGAAACTCTGTCTCTACTAAGAACACAAAACTTAGCCGGGCATGGTGGCAAACACCCGTAGTCCCAGCTACTCCGGGAGGCTGAGGCAGGAGGATTGCTTGAGCCTGGGAGGTGGAGGTTGCAGCACATCACTGTCACTGCACTCTAGCCTGGGAGTCAGAGTAAGACCCTGTCTCAAAAAAAAAAACAAAAACAAAAACCCAAAATAAAAATAAAAACCCACGAAACAAAAGAATGACTACTGCATAGACAGAGCAGCTTCAAGAGCTGCTGGTTGGCTATTTTTATGGTTATTTCTTGATTATATGCTACACAAGGAATGGATTATTCATGAGTTTTCCACAAAAGGGCAAGCAATTCCCAGAACCACGGGTTCCTCCCCTTTTTAGAGTATATAGGGACATTGCCATGACATTTGTAAACTGTCATGGCGCTGGTGGGAGTATCTTTTAGCATGCTAATGTTATTATAATTAACATATAATGAGCAGTGAGGATGACCAGAGATCACTCTCATCACCATCTTAGTTTTGGTGGGATTTGGCCAGCATCTTTACTGCACCCTGTTTTATCAGTAAGGCCTTTATGACCCATACCTTGTGGAGTTGCTCTGGTTTGAACGCCTCTGACACTGAGGCAGGAGAATAGGGTCTGGAGGCAGGGAACCTAAGGCCAATTCACGCTGACTTCCTAGAAGTAAATCAAAAGGAAAACCCCAATTTTCCACACCCAAGTAACAAAAGGACCAGCGGCTACTCCCTTCGCAACCACTCCCCTACCCCCGCCCCCACCTTTTTCTGTGTGGCAGATGAGAAATTGAAGGTACCTCTGATTGGTCCCCTCCTGCAACCAGTAAGGCTGGTTGCGGGCCAAGTCTTCATTTGCATAGGAGTATAACTTTGTAACTTCACTTCAGCCTCTGATTGGTCACTTTCTGCAACCAATCATACATTTGCATAAGGGGTAACTTTATAACTTTGCTTCAGTCTCTGATTGGTTCCTTCCTGCAACCAATCAGACTGATCATAGGCCACTACTTCATTTACATACTTGTACACCAAGTAACCAATGGAAAACCTCTAGAGGGTATTTAAACCCTAGAAAATTCTGTAACTGGGCCCTTGAGCCACTTGCTTCTGCCTGCTCCCACCCTGTGGAGTGTACTTTCATTTTCAAGAAATCTCTGCTTTTGTTGCTTCATTGTTTCCTTGCTTTGTGGGTTTTGTCCAACTCTTTGTTCAAGATGCCAAGAACCTGGAGACCCTCCACCAGTAACAACACTACAACAGCACAGATGAGTAGCTGTGACAGAGGCCCCAAAGCCCAAAATATTTATTTTCTGGCCCTTTACAGGAAAAGTTGGCCAACTCGGACTAGCGGAATGCTGGCATTCCCGAATTAGTATAATGCATATGAGAGGAAGAGCAATTTACAGGGAAAGATGAGTTTGTTACATTGAGCTTCTCTTATGCATCTGTCTACAGATGAGCAATGTATTTAACGAGAAATCTCACATTCATTAAAACGAAGAACTGAACCAAAGGCAAAGATGTTTATAAGGGTTCTGGAAAGAGTGCTAACACAGAGACAGATACCTTTGACGCTGGCTCTGAACTTGTAGCATGGGAGAGAGAAAACCTCATATTCAAAGGGTTTCATTTCTAGCTCCCGATGAGGCATAAAATGTACCAAAAACATAAACAGAGTACTTCCTCCAGGAGGCCTGAAGACAGAATGGAGACATATTCCTGCACATGTGGAAACTGAGAACTCAGCTTATTACCAGCAGCTATTTAGGGCGATTCTGTGCCAATGATATGCTTAGCAGAGCTCTCCAATTAAACATTATCTTGATGAATGTGCTCTAATCAACACCCAGAAAATTACGTCTGAAAGTTGGTTTTATATATACTTTATCCTCTGAAGGTGAAGTCAGAAGCTGTTATTTTAGTTGGTTTTACTGGGAACCTGAAAGAAAGTAGAGCTGACAAAATAATGTGAAAAAATGATTTGTAAGAAGCAAGACAATCAGTTTAAAGGACTCCTTTGCCTTCCGGTCCCTCTAAGTTAGGATGTAGGAGTGGATTTTATGCATAACAAAAGGTCAGTCATTTCTGGGCTCCAGAAGGATTAGAGGATTGTCTGATGACATCAGCCTCTTTCCTTCCTGCTGACCATGGCCTTATTACTACAGAAAACGGGAAGGACTGGGGGAAGAGCAGATGGATTTGGGGGATGGGGTTGTGGGGAGTCAGAAACACTGAGGTTTAATCTCAGTTTGGAAATCGCATGGATGTCCGGGGAGGAGAGGCCAGTTGGAAAACTAAAACTGGCAATTGAAATTCATTGGGCAACTTGAGTGAGTTCTGATCAGAGTAGAATTACCTGCGTTGTGAAAAATCAAAGAATGCCAGGAAAAAAGAAAGCACAGATGAGATAAATAAATCAGCATTAGCCCTCTTCTGGGAAGACTTGCTAGGGTATTAATAACCTGCTTGAGCTTTTGATTTTTGTGACTGTCTCCAAAATGAACGATCTGTTCACTGTGGGATGAGGATGTGCCAAATCGAGTTCACCAATTCACCCCAGATAAGTGGCTCTGTCTACACCTCAAGGCTCTCAAGTCTGGGTGTACCTTTCAATTCCTTGAACTTTCTGCAGTTTTGGGATAAAGGAGGTGACTGCAGTGCCTCCTGGGAGTACAAGGAGGATCTTCCACAGCTATCAACTGCTATCAACTGTGTCAACAGGGCATTTATTTCTCAAGGCTGGGTCTCGAAGAGAGCTGTAAATATTTGAAACGGGAAGGCGATAGGAAAAAAATGAAGCATTTAAACCAGCCATCTTTGTTAGACTAACAGGCGGCTGTGATTGCCTCTTCAAGGTGACCTTTGGACACAGGTTTATGGAAGTGTGGAGAAATTCCCGGGCGCCTGGCAGTGCCAGTTCCTGTGTGTGCATGGCTTGTTGGCGGCAATTACTGAGCGCGGGAAAGGGATTGCATTATTAATATATGAATTATTAATTATTATAATTGCATTTGTCATTTATTGAGCACCAGCCATGCACTAGAAGCTGAGCAGACCTTAAGAGTCCCTGCCCAGTGGGGGGTGACTGAGGTAATTACATTTGAAATAGCTGCAGTCACAGGCTCACTGTACAACTGGTGGCATATACTAAGTGCATGGTATAGCTCCTGTTCTTTTACTCTGTCTAGAGCCATATATCCTCATATGCTTTTTCTAATTTGTTTGTGTAAAGATGGGGGACAAGCTATTTGTCAAGATGAAAAATGCTGCATCAAGTTATTTTAATTAGTATTTATTATATCTTCCTACTGGCAATAAGAGACCAAATGAGAAAATGCTTCCACGACAAAACACATGCAATCCTTTTTTTTCTGGCCAGCCACCTCTTGAATGAGGGCTGAGGGGTCAGAAGGGGAATCCACACAAGGGTGGGGGGACAAACCCTGCTCTGTCGGGAAACCACCTCTGGGCTCACCTAAGTCATGGGTATCCTATTTGCCTGGCACAGGCAGCACATCCTAAGAGTTAATGTTAATATTTAACTGTTAATGCGTAGAGTCCAAGGCTAGGCACGGTGGCTCACGCCTGTAATCCCAGCACTTTGGGAAGCCAGGGTGGGCAGATCACTTTAGTCCTGGAGTTCAAGACCAGCCTGGGCAACATAGTGAGACCCTGTCTGTGAAAATAAAAAATATATAAATTAAAAAATCAAAACAACAAAATACGTAGAGTCCTACATGTTAAGACTGAAAACAATTTTAGAAATCACCTTGCTCAACCATCTCATTTTGCAGATTTGGAAACAGGCTCAAAATGTCACACAATCTGCCTGAGGTTATGCATTCAAAGCTGAGCTCGGGCTACAACTGGAGCAGGTCAATCCATTGGTCAGGACCTCACTGCTCGACAATGGTGTTTACTCTCTTTAGAGAAGGAGCTAGTATAGAATTGGATTCATGAATTGGAGAGGAGAAGAATCAAGTTCAAGTCATGTGGGTCACTTGTAAGAGTTTTCCATGCAGACACTGTGGGTGGTTCTTTTCCCTGTTTGCTCTTTGTTCGTCTGAGAAAAAGGTGCCATCAGTCATATCATTCATTACATACAATGATTCTCCAGTCTTCAGATGCAGTAATATCATTCATTACACACAATGAATCTCTTCAGATTCTTCCTGAGGGGTTCCTACCTTCCTATCCTAGGTTCAGTCTAGGGAAGGGGTTGTGAGGGTCTGAAAGTCACTGCCCCACCCGAGTCTCATCTATCCATCAAGAAGAGCAGGTTTCCCACCCATCGTATCAGGAAGATGGTCAGGGGCCATTGTTGTCAGGGCTCCAGAGTGTGACTTCATCACCTGCCACTTTGGCAGTGTTTCCAAAAGGTTCAGAGAAGCACAGGGGGACTGAGCCGCATCTTGGTCTGAACCTCTGTACATCATTTGGGGCTTCCCAATCGCATAACACTGCCAGCTTGAGACCTCACAGGATACATCTGTCTTTTTGTCCAGGCATGGTGGAGATGGTCGTCTGTGCGCTTTACCTCCTCACCTTCCTGATGAGGCCAGGCTGTCCTTATAGTGATTTGGAAGAAGGACTGCAAAACAACCATCTCTAGCTGAGGGCTTTTCTTTTCCTGAAATTTTCGCAACATAGATGCTGTATGTTCCTATTAGTCTTAATAAGCACTCTGCTGGGGATGGTGGACAGCCTCTTGGGTGAACATTTGCTTATTGCCTCTTCCTAAAGGGCCGTAGTGGGGCATATTAATAAAACATATGCCGCCTTCAGTAAATGGGATCTTTATTTACAATGGGAATTAAAACATGGGGATATTACCTATAGCAGGCCTTCACCATTTGTTTCTATGCATTTCTGAGAACACTCCACATATGTTTCTAGATTCTTCATCTTCCAGGTGAAGAAAAGTCATGAAATCTCTGCATTAAACTGCTCATGTAACCTGGAAATGATTATGTTGGAGTTTCAGATCCAAATCCAAGCCTCCAGTTTCTTTGCACTTCAGTACTATTTTTTCTTTTCTCCTAGCTAGACTTGAAAATATTAGCTTGCTGGACCACCAGATATGTCTGCCATTTTGAATGTCTACTTCTTTATTCATATTGTAACCAATGCCAGCTAAGACTGTCCTTACACAGTTGTATAAATGACCACATTCCCATCTACTTTGTAAATGCTTTGGCATTCAGAATGCATATGCATTTTATTGTATTTCCCTGTATTACGGCTTTTCCACTGGGAGATTAAGAGGCTAATTCAGAGACATGTGATTACAGGAAGATGTGTGAGGAAGGCAACAGGGATCCTATTCTATAAGGTCCGCTGGGCCCAAACAAGGAATCCATATGTTTCCATTTCCCTAATAGGCAGAGAAAATAAAAAACAAAGAGGCCTAGAGACACGCACCTGCACAAGCAACCGAGCAGAAGTAACCTATAAACACATGAAAAGCAGCTCTCCAACAATTCCATCTGCATTTTATTGAAAGAAATCTTTGAAAAGGAGAGAGAGAAGGTACAATTTACAAGAACCATGGTATAAATCCTGCCACAGTGCCAATTGCTAAAAGCACTGGAGCCTGGGAAGGAGGGAGAAATCCATTCATTCATTGCCCCCAGAAAATAGGCATCCAGGCTGTGGCATACCTCATGCACCCCGTGGGATTTACACCTCTGACTGGCTGATTGCATGAATCACCTTGGATTGATTGCTTCTATATAGAATGTTTCTTTATAGTGTATATGCCTTCTCATCGCAGCTCAGCTCAATTCCATTCTGCTGAGCCTCTTCGGGACACTTTCCATGAGAGATGCAGGAGAAGGTAATGTTGTGTTTGTTGGTTTCTCTGGTACATTTCAGGACTGATTTACTCTTATGCCGGGTGCAGAGCGAAATTCCATCATTCCCACATCAGGTGAATCCTAAATCAAGCAGCCCCATCCCCATTTCTACAAAGGACCATGCACTTTTCTCTTTCTGTATTGTTATTACCCTTTAAAAACTCCCTCATGGACATGCATATGTCTTTTCCCTTTCCTTTCCTCTCGCTTCTCCCTTTTTTCATGGGAAAATAATTTTGTCCATCGGATATATCACTCAGCATGTCTGGTATTAATGCTTAAGGCGGCTGCTTTCAAGGTTGATGTTTGCTTCTCTTTAAGTTTTTTATTAGCTCTCCCTGAGACACTGGGTTTCTCTTCCAGGGCTGTCCATCTGTCTCAGCCTTTTAAGGGTTTTGGTCACTCTTGTAGTTGTTATTTTTCCCCGCTGTTGTCCTCATTCCCGGTGCTCAGGCCACAGAAGATCTCTTTGGAAAACCTTTCAGATCATCGGAACTGGCCACACTAGACTGAAGATTTGAGAGACGCACAACTTGAGAATGTTCCAGGGTCTCTCGGACAGAAGCACCACGGAGCAAACACCGGGAGCCCAGCTCCTGTCGCTGGCAGCGCTCCTTGGCGTGTGTTCATGTTGCTGGCGGGCACTAGGTGGCGCTCCAGGCTCGCTCACGGGAGGGAGGATGCCCGGCTGTCTCGAGAAGCGGCCCCGGACCGGGAGGGACCCTGCCCGACCCCTCCACCCACGCGGGAAGTCGCGTAGCCCACACAGCCCTCTGGGTGTCTCTCGGGCTACCGTGTTTCCACCCTTCTCTCAGACTCTCACCCCTGTAGACCTGTCAGGGATGAGCCTCCAGGATTGTGGAGGGCATGGGCTGGGGCTGGCCTGAAGGATTTAAACAAATGTTGGTCTTCCCCCAAGGCCTGAAATCTCTTCAGTTCATTTCTTAACATTAGTGTGGAATACTCTATCCCGGTTACTTATTTTTACCACGAAGAGGAGGTTTCTATGAAAGAAAGAAAGAAAGGGAAGGAAGGGAAGGAAGGAAGGGAAGGAAGGGACTTACTTAAGAGCCCGTGGGAGGCAGCTATGGGAAGATGACGTGAGCCTGTTTTCTAAAGTAAGAGAGTGTGCAGGTTGCTTAATCTCCTTGGCTCTCTGGACCTCAGCTTTTCTCTGTAAAATGGGAACGATAACGCTGCTGTGAAGATCAAATCAGACTCAATGTCCTTGAGGTCTCTCTCTCTTTTCAACAGGGTCTTACATTCTGCCGCCCAGGCTGGAGTGCAGTGGTGTGATCACGGCTCACTGCAGCCTTGACCTCCTGGGCTCCAGCGATCGTCCCACCTCAGCCTCCCAAGTGGCCTACCAACTAGCAAATTTTTGTATTTTTGGTAGAGATGGGGTTTCATCATGTTGCACAGGCTGATCTCAAACTCCTGGGCTCAAGCGATCCGTTCGCCTCGGGCTCCCAAAGTGCTAGGATTACAGGCGTGAGCCACCGCGCCCGGCCCCCTTTGTTTTCATGCCATCAGTCTCTCCTGGTTTTTATTCTCTTTCTCAGGCTTTTAAAACGTCTCCTTTGTGGATTTTTTTTCCCTTTCTACTTTTTCTTAAACGTGGGTGTTTCCTGGGTTTTAGCCATACCAATTTATTCTTTTGCTGTGGTGCTTGTTTTAAATAACCCCGTGTGCTTTCTCTGGAGAACATTGACTACCAGGTGTCAGCTTCCCCTGCTGGTTCCTAGATCCCGGCCCACTTCCCGCCTCTGTCCAGGGCTCTGGATCCAGAGGTCAGCCGCCCACGGCGCCATTCCACAGAGTCCTCCCGGGAGTATTTCAAGCTCAGCATGCTCTGACCTGAGTTGGTGCAGTTTTCTTCTCCATTGCCCTGCTCCTGAATTTCCTACCTCACCCATGATACCATTTGCTACCAGGCTTCCAAGGCAGACCCAGGGCGCCACCCTTGCCTCCTTCTCCTCCTTTATTCCTCACAGCCAGTAGGGAATACAGTCAATACAGAGCTTTCCATCTGTACCCCTTCCCCACCTCCCCACAGCCCCCCAGGTGGGCACCCCCCACCTGCTTTCCTTGCCTCCAGGCTCCTCCCTCTGCCATCCTTCCATCCCGTCCCCAAATGCAGTCAGAAAGAACTTGCTAAATCAGCTGGGTGTGGTGGCATGCACCTGTAATCCCAGCTACTCGGGAGGCTGGGGCAGGAGAATCACTTGAGCTGGGAGGCAGAAGTTGCAGTGAGAAGAGATCACACCACTGCACTCCAGTCTGGGTGACAGAGCAAGACTCAATCTAAAAAAAAAAAAAAAGAACTTGCTAAATGTGGATGTGATGGTGTCACTCCTCTGCTTCTCATCCTGTTGTGATTTTTGTGAAGAAAACCAATCACAAGTCTTATAAGCTCTAACCCCTGTGGCTGTCATCCCGCTCCCCCAGGCCCAGGAGCTCGCTCTCTTCTCCTAGAATCACAACTGGGCCCCCAAGAATCTTCCTCAGCTGACCTCTCTCCCTGCCTGGGTGTGGAGTGGGGCTCTTCTGTCGTTGTGTCCATCACGCTGCATTGTAACTTTCCTAGCCGTGGCCTCGCTGTGTTTTCCCTGTTCTTCCTCCCAGCATGGGGGCTCCATAGGGCAGAGCTCCGAGGTCTTCCTGGCACACAGTACATGCTCAGGGGTGTCAGCTGGAGGCACACTGAGTGACTGAGGGCACTGGACTCTGCCCACTAGCTTCACTGGGTTCAGTGAGAATGGAAGCGTGTTGTCGGGTGGAATATCTGATGTGGGGAAGAGAAAGGTGAGTTAGACGCAGAACCTGCCCTCAGTGAAGACACATCCTGAAAACTGCATTGATGCAGCTTCATTCAGGTTTTCAGATCCCACCGAAGAGCCATGCCACATTATCCACCTCCCTATCCACTTCTGCACAAGTCTTTCCCATGGCTGGAAGCTATTGAGGGGCCCTTCCGTTTCTTCGGGCTCAGCCTTGGGTCTGGAAGGACTCAAGCACTGCCCGTAGGCACACAGACTCAGGGTTTGCAGGCCGAGTGAATGGGCCTTCCAGACTCTGGAAGGCATCTCTGGCTGTGAAGAACTTCCTCTCACCCCGCTCCCTAGATGCTTAAAGTCTCGATCACATTCCATTAGAGCTGTTTGGAGTTGATTTTCTGGCAATGTCTCCCAAGTGGCAGGGTATCATCTATAGCTCATGACTTTTTTTATGCTCAGGTTCATTTAATCATAGCCAAGGGTCTCCTAGTTCATCAGGATCAATATCCTGACAGGATGCAATCCATCAGCTTGGGCAGCATGCCAAGGGGTGGGCTCTGAGCATCCTGGTGCCTAGGGTGGTCCTGGCTGTGCCAGGCAGAAGCCCGTGTGGCCTCCCTATGCCTCAGTCAGCAGGGCCCGCCATGCTGGTGAGGAGCCAGACATGCCTTAAAGTGGTGCCCGGTCCCCAAGGCCCATGGGACCTTGGATGCCTTCCATGGTGTACCTGCTGGGTGAGATGTGTCCCTTCCAGGATGCTGTGTATGGAATCAGAGATGTGAGGCTTGAAGAGCTCAGCACCCTTGGGTCATCTCGCCTTCCCTCCCACCAGGCAGAGCATTCCCCAGAGTGTCTTTCCATCTTTCCTCAGCTCTGTCCAGCACAGTTATAGGAGTCTCATGTGACTGAGTTTCAGCCACTTTCCTTGAGGGAAAAATTCCACACTCATACACAGTTGGTGGTCTCAGAAAACGTGCAGCATCATATGATGGATGATGTGGGGGCAGAGAGCATTCCCTGGTTGAGTACTTTGCTGTTCAAAAGAAAAAAAAAGACCTTAACTGTCTCTCTCTCTTTTCATTTTTTTTTTCTGTTTAAAAATTAAACAGGTTATGGCCAGGTGCAGTGGCTCATGCCCGTAATCCCAGCACTTTGGGAGGCTGAGGTGGGCAGATCACCTGAGGTCAGGAGTTCAAGATCAGCCTGGCCAACATGGTGAAACCCTCTCTCTACCAAAAAATAGAAAAATTAGCAGAGCATGGTGGCACACACCTGTAGTCCCAGCTACTAGGGAGGTTGAGGTGGGAGAATTGCTTGAACCTGGGAGGTAGAGGTTGCAGTGAGCCAAGATCACACCACTGCACTCCAGCCTCACTCAACAGAGTGAGGCCCTGTCTCAAAAACCTCACAAGTTAAATTGCCTGAACAAGTGCTGGTTCATGTCTAAATATCATAGCCTTTAGAGTCCCTCTCTGGCCTTGATTCTCCTCCACACTTAGGTCTTCTGCAATTTCAAGTCCTTTTCTTAGAGTGCCTTCCTGAATCCTTTACATGCTGGATTTTTGTGAGTGTAGCAAAAGCAAACTCTTAGGGGTGTTCCTTTTTATCTTCAGCCCAGTTGATCTAAATGTATGGTTACTTGAAATTGGGCTGACCTGGGTTGGAATCCTAGGACTCTTCTTTTTACTGGCTGTGTGATCTTGAGCCACTTGCTTAACTTCACAGATGAATAACTTCCCGGGGCATCAAGTTCTTCATCTGTGATGTGCAGTTGACATTTCATTGGGTGTTTGGGAGTATTTCATGTGACATTGCAGGTACTGTGCTTAGCAGAGCACTTTGCACGTTTCAAAGATCCTTCTCACTAACATTTACTTGATATAAAAATGGCAATGCTGGGGAGGCCCAGAGAGGCGTCTGATTTCTGTTCTGGGAGGGGACTGATGTTCTTCAAGGAGAAAGAAACTCAGAAGTTAGAGTCAAGAGCCCTAGCTCTGCCCCTGACTTCCTTTGCAGCCTCGGCAAGTTACAGAACGTCCCCTGGCCTTGTTCCTGGTCCGTGAAAATGGTGGTTGGAAAGGTTCAATGAGATGATGTCCATAAGAGTGGGTATTTAGTGCACACTCCACTTAAAAGACTAAGGAAAAGCTGTAGAAATAGCTGCTTGTTTCTTCTCTCAGCTCTGTCACATCCTCCTTTTCTCCTGGATGGTGGCTGGACAACAGCAGCAGTGGCAACAGGTGTGGACTCTGTGCTGAGCTGTTTCATGCAACATCACATTTCATCTCCACCATCACCAGGGCAGGGCTGCTGTTTCCAGTTTACTGATGAGGAAAATGCCCTTAGTCTCAACAAAATAATGTCTTTGCGAACATCTCCACCATGAATTGCATTCCCAAGATGCCTGGTGGCTGGGTTTTGGCAGCGGGGCTGTGAGAGTTTCAAGCACTTTGAAGGCATGTCTTAAGAAGGGGCTTTAGATGCCACCAC
The DNA here is from genome assembly GCF_000001405.40 of Homo sapiens. Lineage (NCBI taxonomy): Eukaryota > Metazoa > Chordata > Mammalia > Primates > Hominidae > Homo > Homo sapiens. The sequence goes on along the minus strand of NW_015495299.1, from coordinate 30,416 downwards.
CCTTTCCTGTGGAAGATTCATGTCTTAGGTAAACTGGTATCTGTAGCAGACCCAGGTCTGGATGAAAGTGGACTATTTGACTTGAATGGATTATCCTGTAGCCGGTTGAGTCCAGCCCAAAGCTATTATTGGTATTGGTAAAAATAATATCAGTTTAGATAACATGTCTGGGGACCCATGATTTGTGAAAAGGATTATTGAGAGCTGACTTGTCCACCAACATTCACCTATCACTATCACTATCAAAGATGCTACATATTTCTTGCCAGAGAAGCAAGAGTGTGCCTTAGGGAAGCGTGGAGGTGAATTGATCTAGGGACAGTGGTTCTCGTTGGGATTTTTGGCACAGCTCTGAGCTTGGAGACCACTCGTGGGTAGTGAGTTAGGGGCCACTGGGGTTTGTGAGTGATTTCTAAGTGTGTCCCCTTCTAGCTATTCTCAGAACACGGCAGGTGACTTTTCATGCCTTCTAAGTCTATGAATCTAGAAGTTGCTGTTAAGGTTATCTCACCTTACCTCTAGCCAACCTGTGTTGCTGTGATTAAAAGTAACCATGAGTCCTTCAAATGCCCTGGAATGATAATATTGAAAGAACTGACATCTCTCCAGTCCTTGCTATGAGCCACTGTGCTAGGATTTTTATACCAACAATATCATTTAAGCCTTACAATGTACTATGAAGAGGGTATGATTTTTATCACCATTTTTCAGTTGAGGAAATAGGTACTGAGGGGTTAAATAACATACTCAGTGTTAGAGCTGGGGTTTAGACCCAGATAGGTCTGACTGCCAAAGCTCTTAACCACTGTGCCTGGTTGTCATGCGTGAGGGTGTCTACTGTTGTGTTGGAGGGAGCTAAAGGTAGTGACAATTTGCAAAATGGTAGCCCCTGTCCATCACCCTGGTAAGGTTATTCTGGGTGTCTGCCTTGTCTATTTTATGAGGTGCTAGTGATTCTCATTTGGGTAGCACAGATTTATAACGTGATGGTTACATACAGTGCTCCTGACGCCTCCTCCGTCATCCTCTTTCTGTCTTTAGTGGAGATTCCATTTACCACATGTTTGCCTTTTCATTCTACCATCCATTTTATCAGCTGAACTTTCTTTCTTTCTCCTTTCTTTCTTTCTTTCTTTCTTTCTTTCTTTCTTTCTTTCTTTCTTTCTCTTTAGGAGTTTAGGTGTTGAGGTTTAATAGGTAGAAGAAAGAGAAATGAGAACATCCATCTCTCTCTAGTGAGAGAGAAGGGACTTTCAAGAGGAAAAGCCCGGCTGACGGCAGATGTGCTGATTTTATAGTCAGGCTTGAGGAGGCGATGTCTGATTTACCTAGGAATTACTTTCCTGAACGGTAAAACTTCCCATGCATTACATACACAGAGAGGATAGGAGACATGGCTGTCGCAGATAGGAAAGGAGGAAATTACGATAGGAAAGTTGAAGATCCTGTTGCCGACACCCCATTGGGTGTCAGTCCGGAAGCCTTTGGATAACCCAGAGGGTTGGAGGCTGGGGTCAGTCCAGAAGCCTTTGGATAACACCAGGGGTAGCCCCAGCCAAAATTCCTCAGTTGCTTCAGGACCTCTTCCAGCCCCATGAGGTGGCTAAGTCCTCCGTGAAAGGAAGCTGGTTCAAACATGGCCAATATGCCCAGCAACCCGTGGGTACTGGGGGATTCTCCATGTTCTCCCCAGCAAGCCTCACATCCAAGTTTTTAAGAACGGCAGCCACACTAATCATATTCTTAATGGCTGAAGGATACCCGTTATTGATTTGATTTGGTTCTAAAATGGAGGCTGAGGGCCCCGAAATGGAAGGACAGAGTTGGCGTCCACTCCTCTACTCACCATTTTGATGAATGTTGTACCTTGGTATCCTGGACGAGGTTCTCAATATGAAGCAGCTAGGTTGTCTAGGGTAAATACCTGGGGTTCGTTGTCTCGTACCAAGAAAATTTAGGACACGGACACACATGAGGAGTTTAGGAGCAGAGGTTTAATATGCAGAAGAAAGAGAAAGGAGTAGAGCCCTCTCTCTAGTGAGAGAGAGGGGACTTCCGAGAGGAAAAGCCCCTCAGCTTAACTGTTTTTTAGACCGTTTTTTGCTCCTAACTTTTTGACTTCTTTCATGGTGTATTATTCTGTTTTCGCACGGCTATAAAGAACTTCCCTGAGACTGGGTAATTTATAAAGGAAAGAAGTTTAACTCACAGTTCTGCATGGCTGGGGAGGCCTCAGAAAACTTACAATCAAGGCGAAAAGGGAAGCAGGCACCTTCTTCACAAGGTGGCAGGAGAGAGAAGAGAAAGCAAAGTGGGAAGAGCCTCTTATAAAACCATCAGATCTCATGAGAACTCACTCACTATCAGAAGAACAGCATGGGCGAAACCACCCCCATGATCCAATCACCTCCCTCCCTCAACACGTGGAGATTATGTCAAAATGAGATTTGGGTGGGGACACAAAGCCAAATCATATCACATGGAATCCATGGAGCACTAAACTGTGTACTCAGAAAGGACCTTCCAAAGAGAGGTCCCCTGGCCCCTGGAGCTGTGTTCCTCAATGGAGTGGATGAGGGCACACTGTCTGAAATGATGGCTGGATTTCAGTCTAGGTCACTGACTGTGTCAGATCTACAGAGTGAATCCTTGCATTCCCAGCACACATTCACTCCTTCTCCTAATTCAGATCTGTCTTCGGTTGACTTTCCCCAAAAAGCCTGTCCTGAATTCACGAAATACCAATATTTATTATTGCCAAGAATTTTTATTGAAGCTTTAATAAGAAAATGCATTGTATGTCTCTAAGTTTGTCCTTTAGAATTGCTGGTGTGATTTTAGGGTTGTTTAAGGGGGTGACATAGTACCTCCTTCACTGAACAATGCCTAAAATTTACATATTAGGGAGTCATTCCTATAACTTGAGGCTTCCTTTAGGAGTTAAAATGAAAATTCCCATGGAAGGGTTTACACTTTACACTTTGTTGATTGTTTGTATCTTTGTATGAATGAGTCCTGGTCTTTCCCCAGCCAAGTTTTACGAGGTTACCGGTAGAGGGAAAGGGTATGAATATGGAATAGAGGCTGTCTTTCCTGGCTTCTCCCTAACAGAATCCATTTCCTTGGTGAGCTGTATCTACTATGTCCATAGCACATGGTGAGGATTCTGCTCTCTGGTTTCCTCCCTCACTGGTTCCAACTGTGTTGCCTCTTCACCAAGGGCCTCTTATGTCTGTTGCAAATCTTCTACCACTTGGACTTGTTATTGTAATGACATGGTTTAAATAAATATTACTTATATAGGCATGCAAAAAAGTGAACCATTTTGTTATGTAAAAACCAAGTTTAATGTTTTTGAAAAATTTCTATTGATTTAAGTGTGGGTGATATACCTGTAAGAGATTTATATTAGAAAAAATAATCAAACTCTAGGCAGGCTCTGAGCTCAGATTGCTTCATGGGTGGCTTTCAGTTTCAGATCTATTTTAGAAAAAAGCAGGAAATCATGGAAGATGTATTTTGGGCATGGCTTATGAAAAAATATATCACAGGCTCACCCCAGTGGATCCATAGAAGGCTCTACAAAAAAATGGCAAATGAATGTATGCTAGGTCTTTGTTTAAGTTCTTGCTCCCCAAAATGTGGTACCTGTGGCATTGGCCTCACCTGGATGCTTTTTTGGAAAACACAGAATCTCTGGCTATAGCCTAGACCTACTGAATCCAAATCTGCATTTTAACTAGTTCCCTACATGACTCATATGTACAATAAAGTTTGAGAAGATCTAGCATAAGCTATTTAGGTATCTTTTTTTTAAACATTTTTTTGGCCAGGTGCAGTGGGTCACACCTGTAATTCCAGCACTTTGGGAGGCTGGAGCAGGCAGATCACTTTAGGTCAGGAGTTTGAGACCAGCTTGGGCAACATGGTGAAACCTCGTCTCTGCAAAAAATACAAAAATTAGCAGAGCAGGGTGGTGCACGCCTGTAGTCCCAGCTACTTGGGAGGCTGGGGTGGGAGGTTCGCTTGAGCCCAGGAGGTGGAGGTTGCAGTGAGCCGAGATCATACAACTGCACTCTAGCCTGGGTGACAGAGTGAGACCCTGTCTAAAAATATATATGTATGTGTGTATGTGTGTGTGTATATATATATGTGTGTGTGTGTGTATGTGTGTGTATATTTTAAAGAGTAGTTTTAGGTTCACAGCAAAATTAAGAAGAAGTACAGGAGAGTTCCCATATATCCCCCATTTCCCCACACATCTAATCTCTCCCTTATCCACATCCCCCATGAGAGTGGTACATTTGTTACAACTGATGACCCTACATTGACACATCATCATCACCCAAAGTCCCTAGTTTCCATTAGGGCCCTCTCTCGGTGGTGTACATTCTCTGGGTTTGGACAAACATGCAATGGACATGAATCCACCATGTAGTATCACACAGAGTAGCCTAACTGCTCTAAAAACCCTCTGTCCTCTGCCTACTCATCCTCTTTCCCCCAGGTTTTATTTTATTTAATTTTATTTTCTGTTTTTGAGACAGAGTCTCAGGCTGAGGTAGAGTGGCATGATCACAGCTCACTGCAGCCTTGACCTCCCAGGCTCAAGGGATCCTCCTGCCTCAGCCGCCTGTCTCAGCCTCCCAAGTAGCTGGGACCCAGGCATGCACCACCATGCCCAGCTAATTTATTTTATTACTTTTTGCAGAGATGGCGTCTCACTATGTTGCTCAGGCTCGTCTCGAATCCTGGGCTCATGTTATCCTCCTGCCTCAGCCTCCTAAAGTGCTGGGATTACAGATGTGAGCTGTTATGCCTGGTCTAGGTTTTATTTTATTTATTTATTTATGTATTTGCTTATTGAGACAGTCTCACTTTGTCACCCAGGCTGGAGTGCAGTGGTGTGATCATGGCTCACTGCAGCTTTGAGCCCCTGATCTCAAGTGATCCTCCCACCTCAGCCCCTTGAGTAGCTGGGAACACAGACACATACCACCACGCTGAGATAATTTTTGAATTCATTTGTAGTGATGGGGTTTTGCCATGTTGCCCAGGCTGGTCTTGAACTTCTGGGCTCAAGCGATCCTCCTGCCTCAGCCTCCCAAAGTGCTGGGATTATAGGTGTAAGTCACTGCGCCCAGCCTACGTTTTATTTTTTAACTTGGCAACTTTAACCTGCATTTTCAATTCATCAGCCATCCTGATCATGTCAGATAAAAGGACTTCTGCTGCTTAGATGGCCGAGTGCAGGAGGAAATGCTATTGAGTGGGGGATAAGGGGAAGAAAGGGGCCATCAAAGACACACTGTGGTTGGCAGAATAATGGCCCCTGAAGATGTCAGCATCCTAGTCCCTGGAACCTGTGTAAATATTATGTTACATGGCAAGGGGAAATTAAGGTTACAGATGGAATTGAGGTTGCTGATGAGTTGACTGTAAAATAGGGGGAGTATCCTGGATTATCAGATGAGCACAGGGTAATAATCACAGAGGTCCTTACACGTGGAAGAAGGAGGCTGCATGTAGAGTAAGAAAGATTTCCAGATGCAACACTACTGGCTTTGAAGATGGAGGAAGGGGCAGGAGCCAGGGAATGTGGGCAGCCTCTAAAAGCTAGAAAAGATGAGAAAATGGGTTCTCCCCTAGAGCCTCCAGAAAGGAATGCAGCCCTGCTGACACCTTAGTGTTGTAGCCCAGTGAGACCCGTTGCAGACTTCTGATCTCCAGAAGTGCAAGAGAATAGATTTTTATTGTTTTAAAGCACTATGTTTGTGGTAATTTGTTATAGTTGTAAAAGAAAACTAATACACATACTTTGACTGTTTTGCTCAGGGCCATCCCAGAGAATGTTGACATCAGTTATTTACATACCTGCTCACAGTAAAGTCTTTGAAGAATGAGTGGGTTCTCAGATGTTTTAAGCTTTAATACAATACACAACACTAAAGCAACCCCATAGGTGATATTTCTTTGCTAATTTAGAAGGCATTGGCAGATCCTAGGTGTCCCTGGATCCCCATTAAGAACATTGATAGCCACTAGGCAAGCCTGCCAGCTCACAGAGGTTTCTGTTTGAAGAGTTGCCAGATGAATCAACATGCATGCTACAGATTCAACCTCCCATGCCATAGAGATGAACACAGAGAGAAGGTGGACATTGTGCCCCTTTCCTTGGACTAGAAGCTGTGGGAAGGCAAGACCATCATCTTCTGTGTCTCTCGGACTCTGCTACCAAGCATCAGATATGCTTATTAAACTGCTCATCAAACTGTCAAACAAACTGCATTTGTTTCCAAATGCAGGCCTCTGAAGGTCTCACTTTAATATATAACCCATGATTCATGGAGGAGAAAGGGAGACATTAATTGGGGCTGGAACTGAGGTCACCCCCGTTCCCTACCCCACACTTGTGCTCTTCCACGGGGCCAAAAGAGCAGCTGCAAACCAGCAGCAGCCTGCCGTGCACACTCAGCCCTGCTTCTTAAATACACATTTCCTCCTGTGTTCATGCATTATCTGGCTGACCTGTTAATTAGTCCTCTGGTCCTGGTAAGTCTTCTTTACTTGCAGGCTAGAATTGCTATTAGCACTCTCATAATAGTGGTCCCTTGTTTTGCCCATTATGTTTTGCTATGGAGGAAAAAGCATAGGTTTTTGCCATTTCTTTTTAAAGGAAAGAGCACAAATACAAAGAGTGGAGCTCTGGGTGTCAGCTATGGGCCACGTCTTGGAAGACTTGATTAGGTCCAGTGGATGAATGACTTTCTCTTATGAAGTGACTGTAAAAACTTCTTTCTTCTGCTAGTGCTTCCCTCTGGGGACTTGCTGGCAGAGAGAATGGAGTCTCTCAGCAATAATACATTTCCAAGTTTTTATGCCAGTGGAGGAGAAATACTGGGATTTGAGAGAATGTTTTTATGACAGGCCAAAGTGCTAAAAAATAACTAAACTTGTGCAATCTCCAGATGCAATCAACATTTCAAAGTCTGCTGAAAGTTGATTGACTCCAAAATGACTTGCTTACTTAGGTTGTATCCCAAGATAAAGGTAATAAATGATGCAGTTTCACATTCAGGGACAGAAGTAGAATATACAAAACTTTCTTCTCTATAAGAGAGTTGTGGTTCCCAGTGATTTATGGAAAGTTTTGCCATGTTTATTTCTCATTGGTGTCTGGGTAGTGCTTTTTCTTTTTAGGGAAGTAATTAATTGTCAAAATCAGTGAATCAGAGTATTGTTTGGAGGCCAGAGTATGGGGACATTGGGTGTTTCTTCAAGCAGAGGGAGGGAAACTAGCAGAGTGGAAGGACCCTCAGTGAAGGCTCAATTGATCAAACTGATTAGGGATCACATGAAGCATTTGGTTTGGAAAACAGATATGCATGTCTATCCACAAGGCAGGAATGCAAGAAACCCAAGTTTCAGACCCAAGATGAGTCTGAAGCCCAGAGGAGGTGTGTGGCATAGCCATCGTGTCAAAACTCTCAGGACTTTGCTACCTGGCTGTGGAGTTAGTCATTGAATCATTTGACCTTTGCTGAGGTCAGGATATAAGGTTGGTTAGTTTCATTCAACAGTTCATTAGCTCCTGCTGACTTAATTAGTGTCAACCAAATCATGGCTGCACTCAACAAAAGGGAAAGTTTGAGGAGTATTTTCATTTTGAATTCTGACCTTTTCTGGGACCAGAGACTCAAACCCTTTTTGACCCTATGTTCTTATTCATTTATTTATTTGTTCATTCATCCATCCATTCATTCATGCACACCTATATTCATGCATTCAATAAATGTTTAATTTTCCACTGTGGCATACAATGGCTGAGTAGTCCAAACCCTTCAGAAAACAGAATTTCTGGTGCCTGAGGTACAAGACTGCAGGACAGGAGCAGAAGAAGACATTATGAGAGGCATGAGATGATGTGGCACATCTCCATTATGTAGGTGCAATGCTTCAAATGGGATTTCTTTCCTTCTTTCTTTCTTCTTTTTTTTTTTTTTTTTTGAGACAGTCACACTCTGTTGCCCAGGCTGGAATGCAGTGGTGTGATCCCAGCTCACTGCAACTTCTGCCTCCTGGGTTCAAGTGATCCTCCCACTTCACCCTCCCAAGCAGCTGGGATTACAGGTGCATGCCACCATGTCCGGCTAATTTTTGTATTTTTAGTAGAGATGGGGTTTCACCATGTTGGCTAGGCTGGTCTCAAACTCCTGACCTCAAGTGATCCTCCTGCCTCGGGCTCCTGAAGTGCTGGGATTATAGGCGTGAGCCACCGCGCCTGGCCCAGATAGAATTTCAATTTGCAGTGCTGTCAGTGACCTTATGCACTGAACCTTGTCCCAAGCACTTTGGGTGAACAAAAAAATTATTTTGACCAAATGAATGGGAACACGACATTTTTCCCATCACCTGGGGATGTGATTAAGTGGTCATCATCATTAATAGGACATGCAAGGAGCAGGGAATGGGCACTTCCCTGGCCTAGGAGGTTCAAATACATTTATTTCCTCTAGTTCAGTGTATTTTAATTTTTCATTGCACCTGTTACCTGATCATGGGCCAGTCTTTTTACTTACTGGTTTTTTTTTGGTGGGGGGGGGCGCAGAGGAAGTGGGCAGAGGACGTGGGTGTGTATATAGTAATGTGCTTCTCAGAGACTGGATTGAAATCTAACATTTGTGGAATTTGTAAAGGTCCCAGGGATTGTGTGACACGATAAGCTGTCTTAAAATTGTGATATGTATGCCTCTGAGAGTACAGGAAAAAACTTTACAGGGACGTGAGTAGATATAAGGAAACAGATTTTAGGAGCTTCAACTTCCACGTGTACCTTGTGTTAAACTGTCTATTGTCTGCCAGGTTCTCCTTGACTTTCCTTTCCTAATCACCCTTTTCCCACACTACAAAAGAAAACAATTCCTCTCATCAATCTTGGATTCCACTCTGGCACTTTTCCTCAGAGAGAGAATACTCTGAGGGCACCCTTAAAAGGGACAATTTAATAATGCATTGTTGTTGGGGGCAGGATCCCATGAGACCAATGCAAAAAAGAGCCTCTTTAAGAAATATTGAAGGAGATGACATCTTATTTCATCCAAATGACAAACTTATAGGCTCTGATCCATCCATCCATCCATCCATCCATCCATCCATCCATCTATCCATCTATCCATCCATCCACCCACCAATCCATCTGTTTTAGAATTAGAACTCAGAATAAAGGAAATTGTCATGGGTACTTGTATTAACACATGTGCTTGAATTAATGAAGTGAAATTAGGCTTTTTCTGACTTAAGTAAGTTTGATTTTGTTGGTTTGAAAAAATAAGGTTTGATTTTTTCCATGGGAAAAACATTCATGGGAGACATTTTCCATAAATTGGAGCTGAATATTCAGCTCAAAGATATAAAAATATATATCATATATACACATCAAAATGTATACATATGATAAAAAGTATCACCTAATCTGGAAAATATATCCTTTATTTAAACTAAGGAGAAGAATTTGGGGTATTCATTTAATGATGTAGAAGAGGAAAATCAAATATGAGACCATGACTTGGAGGTGAATTATATTGGTCATTCTAATGTTCTTTCTCTTTATTTAAAAAGTTTGCTGAGACTTGGGAGAAACTTCTTTAAACCTATAAGAATTTTCCAAGCATTTCTTATCCATGAACAATATTTCCAAGCATAACAACAGTGACTTGAGGCTTACTTTATATTGCTTTGATCAACTGAAAATACTTACTAGGTAGCCCCTACGGACAATGGAGAAAGTATACGACATTCCTTGTCCCTTCTCCCAGTCTGTAGTTATCATGCTTAGCAAGGCAACCCAGTAAGCTGCTTAAATGTGTCCTCCTTATCCTGAGAGCTTATCCTTTTGGCCATGAAGTGTGAAGCCAGTCCTGCAGGAGCCTCTGGCCAACTCAGTTGCCTGTAGTTAAGCCTATTTGTTCAGTAACATTTGGTCTTGGTTGAATGGCAGTGGCTACTCTTACTGTACCCAGGATCTTACTACTTTGACCCTCCATGGTTGCTCATTGGCATGATCTACACTTGGAAGATAGGTTACTGGGGTGTACGGCTCTGAAGTGACTTTCTCAGAGTCAAGAAATCAGAGGCCAAATCGGCAAGGCAAAATCTAAACCTGGAGGAGAATTCCCCTGACCCTGTAGCTCCACCACATTCTCATTGGAAGGTGGTACTGGCATCGGGGTCACGAACACTGGGAATCTGGAGTCAAATTCCCAGTTCTACCACTTCCTACTTGTGTATTCCCCTGGCATATCTGATTTTGCCCTCGCTGAGTGGAAGTAGATGTAGAGATTTATATGTGAAATAGACTCTGGGACTGCCAGAGTTTTGAAGATGTAGGCAAAGAGTCTTTCTAGGTCTAGAATGGTCAGGGCTCATGAGCTGTGTCTTTGGTGATAGTCTAGCAATGTCACAAACCCATCTGCCATCTTGTTCCTCATTTATGTCAGAGGAACAGGAAAACCATTAGGAGACAGAGATGGGAAAGAATGGGAGATTCCAGGTACAGAGAAAGAAAATGCATAGAGAATATTCTGAGATAGTTATAGTGAGTGTGTACCCTAGTTTCTCAGCCATTAGAGAATAGAAGACAGCCCACGGGATACTTAGATCCAAAGTGAAGGAAACTTCCTAGGAGCATGGATTCAGCTAATAATGACAATGGGGAATGCCAAAAGGCCCAAAGGTTTTTTTCTCTTCTGTCTCTTTGTATACTGTGTGCACCTGTGCACCCCACAAAGGAGCTTGGCTAAGGAGGAAAGTGGGAGCTGATCACCAAGTTGGGTTGCCCTGCTGTGGGGCTGAGTGTGCCAGGAGAAAGGGGTACCTCTACCCACTGCCATAGAAGTGCCTCCTATGCTCCCAGCCTCGCTCCCTGGATTCTAGCCACAGCACATGTCCAAAATGGGGTAGAGCCTCCAGATTGGTGACGCTGGATCATCAGGCTTCGGTGGGGGAGCTGTGTGCGCTTTTTTTTGGAGGGGCAGATCTGCCTTTTCGGCATTCCCTTTATACCTCTAGATGTTTCTGTCTCTTGCACTTAGAATGGTGTGTCCTCCGAATAAATGGGCAAAAACTTAGGGTGAGAAGAATTTTCTAGCAGAGACTAACGTGTTTAGCCAGTAGCTTCCTGGAGACTCCAGGTCTTTTCTTCTTCCGCTTGCTTCTGCTGCTCTTCTGTGTCTCTCTTTTCTCTTTTTTCCTGCCAGTCCCTGCAGGAGTCCTGCCAGCAGGATAAGCACTGACATCTCCCACGCTTGGCGAAATGGATCCTTTTTTTCCACGATGAATAGATGTGAATAAGAAGGAATTACATAGCTTTATGTTCTCCAAGAGGTGGATGAAACCCTTTCTTTCCTCCAGTTTCAGCGAGTGAAGAAATTAGTGAATAGAATTCTGAATTCCAGATTATATTTTTAAACTGCTGAGACCACCACCCTTTTTGTATGATGGGTTCAGTTAATAAAGATTTGCTCCATGAATCAAAAGGTCAAAATCTGGCATCCCGGAGTTTGCATGTTTCAATAGAGTGGGCTGTCTAAATCTCCTAGTCTCTCTGCTTTCTCCCTAGTTCATGCAAAGACTGAATTTTGTTACTGTATTAACTCCAGGTCCTTATGTACTATTATTCTAAATCACATGTTACAGAAGAAGAGAATTTCCAATATGCTGCATGGCATAAAATATAGCTCTAGCCCAACCGAGACCTTCTTGAGATGCATAGATAAAGAATTTGGGAGAAATGCCATGTGCTGTTTCAGGCTTGTCAGGCAAAACCATGTTCTTTGTAACGGTTGGATGACAGTGTCTCAGGAGAGATTTTATGGCTGCTGAACCTCCCCCAAGGGTGACATTAGCAGAGAACCGGGGCCTGGCCCCTGATCAAAATGGCCATCCAGGAGGCAACTACTGAAATATGCTCCCGGAAGAGACTTCCTGTCCGAACCAGAGGGTCCCAAGACAGCAGGCACTGAGGGCTTGGGGTGCCTTCTCGGGGCTGTGTTTACTCACACTCCCTGGACTGTGAGTAATAAACTTGGTTAACAACCTGGCTGGCAAGTTATTGCCAACCCAGCAGAAATAAAACAGAATAGGTTGAGCTATCACCGGGAAAAGAAAGCTTTCTAATTCTATCAATGTTATTGAGCTGTTTGAAATAAAGAATGGATCCAAAAAGGATTCCCCACCCCCAACGTTGGCCACATGTCAGTGCAGACAGAGGTCCTGTGGCTCATTTAAGTGACCGAGCCTGTAACGGGAGGCCTGAGAGCTCATGTTCGTGGTTGGGACTGAATCCTTAGCATTCAACAGAGGTGGAAAAATCACGATGTTGCTTCCCCATAACGGAGCACTCAAACCACAGAGAGTGTGTGTGTTTATGTGTCTGAGAGTTTTAGAGGGAGGGAGAAAATGCATGCATGACTTATATGAAGGCAGGGACACAGGCCAGAAAGAGAAGCTTAATAGCTGTTTAACCATTTTTAAACAAACCATAAAATCATGTTGACCAAAGGCCTATTGGGATTCCCCATGTCTGAACATCTTCTAGCAAAATTGTCTCCCAAATGAGAATTGATTAGCCAAGACCCACGCATTGATGTTATCAGAGAGTTGGGCGGGCTCCGCATAAGCGTGCGATTTCAGGTTAGCCCCCATTAGTGTGCTTATGCAATGCCCTCTGACAACAGCTGTCTGGGGTTTCTACCACAGAACCTTGGCGTGTTTCATGCTCTGTGCTCTGAGATTCCCTGGCCCCTAACAGAGGGGTAGCTGGCTCGTCACCGGAGAATGATATACTATTCCTCTTGTCAGCACAGGCAGCCCCGAGATACGTGGGAAAGAATTTTCAGAGACACCAGGGTAAGAGAATGAGCCATGTCTACCTCTCATCTTGGCAGCAGGAGTGTGTCTGAAACAGTCTGTGCTGCACAAAATTGTAGTTTATAGAGAGCATTTTGTTGATTCAGCCATAAAAATGTGACCTACAATATGTTTGTTGAAGAGAATGTGCTGCTGCTTTTTTATATGGAAGAATATGCTTTTCATGTTTCCAGCCAGCTTCTCCTAAAGAGAGTCCTTTGTGGGATTCTGGTTGTTTTTAAAGTTTCTTTGTATTTTGGGGACTGAGGAAGTGGTTCCTACAAAGTTAATTTGTAGGATCAGCTGTTCATGGACACCTGTAACTTAGGAAAAAGAACCAAGGTTGGGTGTTGTAGTTGGCTGAACAATGCCACCCCTGTCCCCAGGATAGCAGGTTCTAATCCTTGGAGTCTGTAAATGTTACCTTATTTGGAAAAAGGATTTTTGCAATTGTGATTAAGTGAAGGATCTCGAGATGGTGACATTATCCTAGATTATCTAGGTGGGCCCTAAATGCAATCACAAGTGTCCTTATTTGAGAAAGGCAAACAGAAAAGAAGAAGGCAATGTGACAACAGAGGCAGAGACTGGAATGATGCAGCCACAATCCAAGGAATGCCAGCATCCACCAGAAGATGGAAGAGGCAAAGAATGAATTCTACCCCAGAGCCTTTGGAGGGAGTATGGGCCTCCTGACACCTTCATCTCGGCCCAGTGATGGTGATTTCAGACTTCTGCCCTCCAGAACTGTGAGAGGATAAATTTCTATTGTTTTAAGCCACCAAGTTTGTGGTGATTTTTTAATAGTAGCCACAAGAAGATAATATAGGTGTTCTCTTCATTCATTATATTGATGTGAGATATATCCGTGTCTATATGGGTATATATGTACATATACACATACATATGTGACTATGACTTAGAGGAAGGCACGTGTTAAGCACTGTAGAGATGTTCTTAAGAGCTTGTAGTTCAGTACCTTGGTTAAGTGGAAGGGTCAGATTGCCTTAGGTTCAAATCTGTGACTTATTAGCTCTGTGATCTTAGACAAGTTAAATAACTTCTTTGGGACTTAGACAGGTCTTTGAAGATTAAGTGCAGTAATCCATGTGAAATCAGAGTGTCTGCCTGGGAGAAGTATGCTAGCCATACAGAAGTGGCTCTCGAGGCAGCCCCAGCTCCAGCAAAGCAGAATTGGACAATTTCCACATCTAAGGAATAAACTGTTTTAAGGAGACAAATGGGAAAGGAGTGACTTTTGGCTAAGGGATTTATGAAAGCATTAAGGATGAGGTAGCATTCAGGCCTAGGCTTTGAGAAGAGACAGGGCTTGGCCGGCAGAGATGGTGAGGTGGGGACAGGATGACAATCAGGTAAAGGAGATGGTCTGGAACAGGGGCAGAGTGAAGAAAGCCCTCAGTGTTTTCATGGTTTGGAAGGAGGGTTTGAGGGACACGGGAAAAAGCAGGTGAGACAGGTCAGGGCTTGGTAGAGAAGGGTCCTTGGGCTCCTCAGAATATTTGCTGCTCTACACAGCCACAGCATCTCCAGTGAAGTCATTGGTCATTAAACCCCCTGCTAGAAGCATGAGAAAATTCTCGGCATGGGTTGCTTACTGGAGTGAAAGGGAAAAGGAGTCCTCCATTTGCAAAGTGTCAGGAAGCCAGGAGTAGCCAGACACTCCCCACCAGGCTGGACTAAGCATTACTTTGGGCCTGGCAATTTGTGGCCAGGTTTTACAGTAATTGGAGTGATGCCTTTTTTCATCTACTAAGGAATCATTTTGCCCTGCCTTAACCACAGCTCTGGAATCTACACTATTTAGTGCATTCAAGTGTGCCCATTACATAGGTAAGTTATGCCAGGAGGCCTGGAACAAACGCGGAGGATAAGTGGGCTTTTTACAAAGCAAATAGCAAACCTGGCATCTCTCATGCAGCCTGTTGCAAGTTGGAATTCTCACGCAGTCTTCTGAGATTGAGGTGCCTACGTGTGCAGAAATGAAGGAAACGGGACTTCACACTTCACACGTTGAAATGTTTTGAAAGGGTGACTAGGGCACGAGAGCAGGCTATTCTAAAATAGAAGAGAATTGAGAGCTGAGGCCAGAAAGGCAGTGGACTACAAGTGGACATGATTCCTATGCTCAGAACTAAGTTTTTTGTTTTTTTTTCTTTTGGAGACAGAGTCTCGCTCTGTTGCCCAGGCTGGAGTACAGTGGCGCCATCTCGGCTCACTGTAAGCTCCGCCTCCTGGGTTCATGCCATTCTCCAGCCTCAGCTGCCCAATTAGCTGGGACTACAGTCACCCACCACCACGCCCCACTAATTTTTTTGTATTTTTAGTAGAGACGGGGTTTCACTGTGTTAGCCAGGATGGTCTCGATCTCCTGACCTCGTGACCCACCCGCCTCGGCCTCCCAAAGTGCTGGGATTACAGGCGTGAGCCACCACGCCCGGCCAGAACTAAGTTGTTTTAACAAAGTGAAGTATACGTACTTGTGTAGAATTTTCACTGTACAGAGTAAGACTGAAAAGAAGCCCCCGACCTGAAAAGACATTAATCCTTTTTTATCTGGCTAACACTGAAATTAACTTGCTTTATAACCAATGGGTGATAGTCCCTAGTGAGGCTGAGGTCTCAGAGATGTGGGGGAAGGCAGATGAAGCCAAGCTCTGCACCTTTACTTGGGAATTTGAGAAGGAAAGATTTGTCTCAAGTTACTGTGGATTCAAAATTCTCAACACAGAAGGTGGGGTTTCCAGTGAGATGTTTTGAGTGGGAGGTATGTCACTCTATTCCCTTGCTCAGCTAAAGGTAGGTGATTTTAAAAATGGCTTTATTTGTGGGGGAGGTGGGATATTTGAAAGAAGAGGGAAGAAGATACTTTTAGTGAAAGATTAGGCTGAATTGGTGGCAGTGGATCTTGGGGAAGCACGGTTGGGGAGAGAAGCACAGATGGAAGGAAACTCGGGAGATATTTTTGGCTCCTTCTGTCTGTCTTCTTAGCTGTTTATCTCCTTTTGTTATTTGCCCCTTTCCTGTTCTGAGTCTCTTCTTATTGGTGGGTTTCCTGCTGATAGCAGGCTTGCTAATTCTAGAACAAATCTAGACAATCTATGTTATAATATAGCCCAAGACCCAATTCTTTCCAATTTTTAGGATGTCTCCAAGCTTTCAGGAGAGGTTTATAAAAACCTTAGCTTTAAATAAACTATTAATACATGCAACAACATGAATGGAGATCGAATAATTATGCTGAGTGAAAGAAGTCAACCCCAAATAGTACATACTGTATCATTCCATTTATACAAAACTCTAGAAAATGCAAACTCACCTGTAGTAATAGAAAGCAGATGGGTGGTTGCCTGAGAAGTGAAGAGGCTGGGAGGAGGAGGGGCTGAGAAAGGGAGGGGCTCACACAGAGGTGATAAACATGTTCACTATCTTGATTGCAGTGATGGTCTCATGGGTATATACATAACCAAACTCACCAAATTGTACACTTCAAATATGGGCAATATTCTATGTCGATTATACCTCTATAAAGCTATTAAAATAACATTAGCTTCAGAGCATCAGCTATTTACACATGGGTCAAGGCAAGGAGAAGAGAATAGCCAAGTGGTCGTAAGGCCGTGTGGTAAGATCGGTGATGGAGCAACTGTGCAGAGACAGGACCTGTGTAGCTTTGTGGGGATGGAGGGTCAAGTTATACCTGCCCCATGCCTGTGATTAGAGAGTGACCTCCCGCCCTCTTGCTGACCACATAGCTGTTCCCCTTGTTCAGTTCCACACTTTGCAAGGAACAAGGGGGAGAAATTCATAAGCAAGAAAGCAGTATTCGTTCGACTGGAACCAGTGACTTTTCTGGCCTGTTTCCTTTTATTTGGCTAGTCCACACTCACACTCCACATACATCTGAGACAGAGAAGGGGCCAGAGGTGCTGGACCCCTAATGTGGCCCTTCACTTTTGCTGCCTCTGGTGCTCATACTTTGAGAAATGGGGAAAATGGAAGCTAATCTCTGAAATTCTTAATCTCACTGCATGGACCCTAAGTAGAAAAATATGGGCATAGATATTGTATAATCTAAAACTTTTTCAATGATTGCTAAAATACTTATTGAGTATGTATATATACTATGTGCCAAGCAAGATCCGTGCTTATAATTGGTAATAAAATGGTGAATGAGATGGAAATTGTCTCTCATAGTAGAGAGATGACAGCCAGGTGGGTACAGTAAGGACTGTCTGTATTGATAGTGGGCTATGGAAGAACAGAGAAGACACCCCAGATTTGGGGTTAGGGGAATCTTCTTAGGGTGAGATGAGAAAACATTTGAATTCCTCTTTATGAAAATATGGAGGACAACATTTTACAAGGAGGTAACTGAGTGCCCCAAAACACAAGATTCTGGAATACAGACACGGAGAAGGGTGGAACAAAAAGGATTCTGAGGCTGCAGCGAGGTCCTGGGAGAACAGTGCCCTAAGTCACAGCTGATCAGAGGCACCGGATGGAATGACATAAGGACAACATCACCACAGCACACCCTGCTGGGCTGTGGGAGCACCTGCTGGATGTGGTGACAGGCGGTACAAACATCCCCGTGGGGCCAGGCACGGTGGCTCGTGCTATAATCCCAGTACTTTGGGAGGCTGAGGTGGGAGGACTGCTAAGCCCAGGGGTTTGAGAAGCCTGGGCGGCATAGGGAGACCCATCTCTACAAATAATAATAACAACAACAACAACAATAAATTAGCCAGGTGTGAGGGTGCATGCCTGTAGTCCCTGCTACTCGGGAGGCTGAGGTGGGAGGACGACTTGAGCCTGAGAGGTCAAGGCTCAAACTGCTGCATTTCAGCCTGGACAACAGAGTGAGACTTTGTCTCAAAAAAATAAACCCTGTGCAATGGGTCTGAGGACCCAGTGACAAGGAAGTGACTACACGGAGACACGAACCACTTTCCCTTTTCACTTGTGGAACCGTGAAAAAAATCTAAGGCGGCTGGTACGGTGGCTCACGCCTGTAATCCCTGCACTTTGGGAGGGCAAGGAAGGTGGATCACTTGAAGTTAGGAGTTTGAGACCAGCCTCACCAACATGGTAAAACCCTGTTTACTAAAAATACAAAAGTTAGCTGGGCGTGGTGGCGGGTGCCTGTAATCCCAGCTACATGGAAGGCTGAGGCAAGAGAATCTCTTGAACCCGGGAAACGGAGTTTGCAGTGAACTGAGATTGCTCCACTGCACTCCAGCCTGGGTGACAGAGTGAGATTCTGTCTCAGAAAAAAAAAAAAAAATGTAAGGAAAAACAAGGGAATGTGGGCAAGATAGCCAATCAACTGCTAACACAGACCTAGACTCAAAAGGAAGAAAAAATCACAACTCAGCTGGATTTGTGATTCACAAAAAGTTGAGCCAGTAAAATGTATTCTCCAGAGTCCATGCCTGAAGTATAACTACAGTTCACAGAAATAATCATTCCGCGCACTCAGAAGGGCTTTCGTTGGGAGATGGTGGGCAAAGACGTCACTCTCGCTTTTCCAATGCTAACATGGCTTTCTGTGATGTCCAGGGCTCTCAGCCTGATCCAGGTAGGCTGCTTCGGCTGCCCGGAAGGGCGGGTGTTTTACAGTTTTCCACAAACTGCTGCTTCTCTTATCAGCATGGTCACTCTCTAGCTAATGAAAAACATCTCTCTGGTCCAAACATGACCTTGAGGTTTATCTAAATTGTTTGTTGCTCAGCAGAACAACATGTATCAGAAGTGAAATATATGCCAAAAGACACTTCTCATGCACCATTTATCTTTTCTGTAATTGATTCTCATGCAGGACAAATGCCCTGTGGGGATTCACAGAGGACTTAACACACTCTGCCATTATGATGACATCATCTCACAGAAGGCGGCCCTTCTGGAGGCCTGATAGATGACATGCTCTTTTTTCTAAGTGCTGCTCACAGCACTGAATTTAACTATGGGATTACAAGGAGCAACTGCTCCTATCACGCGTCCCCCACTTTGTTTTCTGACTGCACTGTCCAGCTAGCCCCACACTCCAATCAAAATGAAATTATTTCAAAATCCATACCCAATGGATTAGTCTTGCCAAAAGAAAGTCTGTAACAATACATATCCATCGACTTTCAGTTTGGGTCGGTGTTGAGATTTATTGTCTCTAGGCAAATATTGAGCTGGGTGAAGTTTCGGTCAGTTACATCCTTCTCAGTCAATAAATCTAAGTGTTGACTTTGGGAGGAGTCAGCGGCCATCACTCTGTGGCTTGTGAGCAGGCATTTGTGTAAACGGGTGCGTTTTAAGACTGTGAAGGTGACGCAGAGCCACAAAACCTAGTTCAAAACTTCCAGGACCCATGGGTTTCAGAGAGAGCACTTAAAGATGTACAATAAAACCTCCGAACCACGTGGCCAGAGGATGCTCCTGAATGTCACAAAGGTAGAACAGGCAACAGCCTGACTTTGAAGAATAGCCTAGGAAGAACAGGTCTCTATTGATAAAAACCATTACTGCAGTTATATATCATGATAATATTAATTACATAATCATTGAAATGGCCCTCCCGGATGTCATCCTCTGACCTGAGGGCTGAGCCACACAAGGCAGTTTAGCAGTAATTGGTAGTTTCTCTAGATGTGTTAAATGGAAGGGTGGGCAGCTAAACCCTGTCGCCAAGACTGGGTCTTAAAGCAGGCAGGCGGGCCTTGAGAGATGCTGTCAAGACTATTATACTGGCTGGGCATCACGGGTTCATTGCCAACTGCAAGAACATCACTCAGCTAAGCATATTTGTTTCTTGAAGCGGAAGCACACTGTTTTAGCCCTGAAATTGCATTAAAGATTCTTTTCAAGTTATGAAGAGGAAAAGGGAAAAGAAACATACTGCCAAAACATGCAGAGATTCTCAGCAGAGCCAATATATATTCTGTGTTAGTCAGGATGGGCTAGGCTTTTCTGCAGTAACAAATCTCCAAATCTTAGGGGCTGCATACTGCCTATTTCTCATTCATGTTACAGTCTGGCATAATTTGAGTGGCTTTCCTTGGTGGACTCCTTCACTCAGTGACTCAGGGATCAAAGCTCCTTCAATCTTACATTCCTACCATCTTAAACATATGGACTTCAAGTTGGTCACTGAAGAGAAAGAACTGGAGGATCACATAGTTTTGTTTGTTTGTGTGTGTGTTTTTAAGAAAAGTGGCTGGGTGTGGTGGCTTATGCCTGCAATCCTAGCAATTTGGGAGGCCAAGGTGGGTGAATTGCCTGAGCTCAGGAGTTTGAGACCAGCCTGGGCAACACGGTGAAACTCCGTCTCTACTAAAATACAAAAAATTAGCCAGGTATGGCAGCGGGTGCCTATAATCCCAGCTACTTGGGAGGCTGAGGCAGGAGAATCGCTTGAACCTGGGAGGCGGAGGTTGCAGTGAGTCGAGATCGTGCCACTGTACTCCGGCCTGGGTGACAGAGCAAGACTCTGTCTCAAAACAAACAAACAAACAAACAAACAAAAAACAAAAAACATACTGCCACATGCAGCACCTCATTTGGATGTGTCTGGAGCCTTGGAAGCTTCACTACCCAACATTTTCCTGCAAATGGACCTTGAGAGCTTGTTTGGAGGTTCTAGCAAGGGAATGCAGCTACTTATATACCCTTGACCAAATATTGGCCTTCTACTGGGGAAGGTTGTCTTCTTCAACCAAGCATGCAGCTTCAGGAGGGATGAACATGGAGTGGTGAGGCTCAGGAGGGCATACCCACCTAGCCAGCCAGATCAGCCGAATCAACCCTGGTGATCAGTGGGGTGACAGATGTTGCAGCCAGACCACCGTCACATCCTTGCATGGGTTGTTTTTTGTTTTTGTTTTTTTTGAGACGGAGTCTTGCTCTGTCACCCAGGCTGGAGTGCAGTGGCGTGATCTTGGCTCACTGCAAGCTCCACCTCCAGGGTTCACGCCATTCTCCTGCCTTAGCCTCCTGAGTAGCTGGGACTATAGGTGCCCGCCACCATGCCTAGCTAATTTTTTGTATTTTTAGTATAGACAGGGTTTCACCATGTTAGCCAGGATGGTCTCGATCTCCTGATCTCGTGATCCGCCCACCTCGGCCTCCCAAAGTGCTGGGATTACAGGTGTGAGCCACTGCGCCTGGCCCTCGCCTGGGTTGTTTTTAAGGGTCAGGCCTGAAAATGACTTTAGTAACTTCTGTTCATATTCTACTGGGCAGAAGTAGCACCCTGTTTCTAATTTAGCTGTGAATGAGATGGCTTAAATGACAGGGGAGCCTGGGACATGTCATCTTTCTGTGTGCCTGAGACAAGATGGTGGACACACAGCATTGTCTCTGCAACCATCTTCTAGAGGGGAAACAAGCTCTGGTAGGGCAGATGGTGTAGAAGATGCTGCTGAAGCCCTGCCCTTTTCCCTTTGGCCCACCTCTGAGTTCACTTGCAGCTGCAAAGGCCACTCTTGTGCATGCTCACAGCTGCCTACCACAGACGCCCTCATCTCTCTGCTTCTATACCTGAGGGATCTGTCAGCCAGAGCACAGGGCAGACCAGAGACGCCTAGAATATAATTCCCCCAGAGGTGGTCCCCAGCCTGTGAGGGTTAGGAATTGGTGGATAAGTATTGCAGCTTCCTTGGCCCTCCTGGGGAAAGTTCTGAGGTGTACTCTACAGTTCTTTAGTGGGGCCAGGCCAGAGTCTCCCATCGTGGCAGCCTCCTCACCAGCTTACCAACTCACCCTTCATTGTTTGCTTCTCCCTTCTGGATTTCACTTTCCCTTCTCATTCTCTTGCCTTTCCAGGATCTTTCCCAATAACCTATTGACTCTCAGGTCCTTGTCTCAGAGTCTGCTTCCAGGAGAATCCAAACCAGGAACTGATGCGGAATGCTTAGAAGCAGCTAAAAGAGTAATCCCATGGGAGGGTGTATTAGTCTGTTTTCACGCTGCTGATGAAGACATACCCGAGACTGGGTAATTTAAAAAGAAAAAGAGGCTTAATGGACTCACAGTTCCACGTGCCTGGGAAGACATCACAATCATGATGGAAGGTGAAAGGCACGTCTTACATGGCAGCAGTCAAGAGAGGAAATCAGAACCAAACAAAAGGGGTTTCCCCTTATAAAACTATCAGATCTCGTGAGACTTATTCACTACCACGAGAACAGTATGGAGGAAACCACCCCCACAATTCAATTATCTCCAACTGGGTCCCTCCCATAACACATGGGAATTATGGGAGCTACAATTCAAGATGAGATTTGGGTGGGGACACAGCAAAATGATATCAGACAGAAAGGCCGGTGAGTGGATTCATAGGCATCTCTCCTCATTTTCTTTTTCTTTGCCATGAAAGGAAGATATTCCAGGGAAGAGGGATTTGAGTGGGAAGTCTGGGAAATTTTCTCAGCAGGAATGATGCAGTATGCATGGAAACAAAGTATTAGCTGCAGATATGACATGATTAATGGCTTCTGATGCCTGGAAAGTGGTGGGGATGTGTGTGGTTTGATAAGTGCTGCTTATCTAGAATACAATTCTGTGACTTTTCCAAAATGCAAACTGCCTTAGTCATTTGGGCTACTATAACAACATACCTTAGACTAGGTAATTTATAAACAATGGAATTTATTGCTCACAGTTCTGGAGGCTGGGAAGTCTACAATCAAGGCATTCAGCAGTTTTTTTGGTGTCTGGTGAGAGCCTGTTCCTCGTAGATGGCACCTTCTTGCTTTATGCTCACGTGGTGAAAGAGGAAGGCAACTCTCTGGGGCTTCTTTCATAAGGGCACTAATCCCATTCATTAGGGCAGACTCCTCATGACCTAATCACCTCCCAAAGGCTTCACCTTCTAATACCATTACCTTGGTGATTAGGTTTCAATGTATGAATTTTGGGTGAACACAAACATTCAGAGCATAGCACAAACATTTTGCTTAAAATTCTTCACTTAACAAGATGTAAGCAAAACTCTAGATTCCTCAAGGTGGCATACAAAGTCCTTTGTGATTTGATCTGTCTTTCCATGTCCTACTCTTCCAGCATCCGGTCATGCCACCTGCTCTGTACCCAGGCTTCCAAGAAGACCTTCTTCTCCTGTGAGGATGTCTGTAACTCTTTCTTCAAGAAATGATACTTTCAAGAACAAACCCAACTAAGGCCTTTGGTGAAGCTTTCTCCTACTTCCCCAGCCAGATTTTCATTATTTATTCATTCATCGAGTATTTTTAAAATGCCTATAGCATGCCAGGCACTGTTCAATATACTGGGGATAGAGCAGGGAATTAAAAAAAAGACAAAAACACCTACCCTGACGAGTTTCGCAGTATAGTGTGGGGAATTAGAAATAAGCATCTGTCTCTTCTCTGGTCTTTAAGCACCTCACAGACACTGGCCATGTCTGTTCATCTGTTTATTCCCAGCATCTAACAGAGTGCTCAACACATCTGCTTGATGACTACGTTTTGAGCACTAGGAGACGACCACAGAAGAGCTAAGAAGTGATAACAGTTGCATTTAGTGGAGAACAGTATTCACACCTTGTTGTCTAGATTGCCTTGAAATCACGCTCCATATTTTATCTTTTATTTTTTCATTTCTTAGAAAAAACTGTTAATCTATTTAGAGTAATTTTATTGAGGAGTCTTTTTTTTTTTTTTTTTTTTTTTGAGACAGGGTCTCGTCCTGTTGCCCAGGGTGGAGTGCAGTGGTGCAACCACAGCTCACTGCAGCCTTGACCTCCTGGGCTCAAGCAATCCTCCCACATCAGCCTCCTGAGTAGCTGAGAATACAGGTATGTGCCACCCTGCCCTGCTAATTTTTTATTTTTTGTAGAGACTGGGTCCCACTGTGTTGCCCAGATGGGTGTCAAACTTCTGGGCTCAAACAATCCCCCCGCCTTGGCCTCCCAAAGAGCTGGGATTACAGGAATGAAGCATTGCACCTTTAAAAAAAAAAAAAAAGGCCAGGTGCAGTGGCTCAAGCCTGTAATCCCAGCATTTTGGGAGGCCAAGGTGGGCAGATCACGAGGTCAGGAGATTGAGACCATCCTGGCTAACACAGTAAAATCCTGTCTCTACTAAAAATACAAAAAATTAGATGGGCGTGGTGGTGCATGCCTATAGTCCCAGCTACTCAGGAGGCTGAAGCAGGAGAATCACTTGAACCCAGGAGGTGGAGGTTGCAGTGAGCCGAGATTGCGCCATTGTACTCCAGCCTGGGCAACAGAGCAAGACTCCATCTCAAAAAAAAAAAAAGAATAAAAACTATGACATTGCATAACACTGTGAATATATTCAATGCTACTGAATTGTACACTTTAAAGTGGTTAAGATGGTCAATGTTATGTGTATTTTAACTCTAATAGAAAAAAAAGTGAGGCTGCATTTCATTCAACAGAGAGGCACTCACTATGTACCTGGCACTACTCTGGGTTTGTGGGCTATAAAGATGGATAAGTCCCTGTCCTTGGAGGACTCAGACTTAGCAGGAGACAGGCACCTGAGCCACAGAGACAATCAAGAGTTGCTCCCTGTGCCCAGGGAGAACTCTGTTCAGCCCACAGCACCTTAGCCACTAGTGACAGCCACCTGACTTGCAGCATCATGAGTACCTGGATCATCACAGAGGAACCAATCAGTTTTTATATAGGGCTAACTTTGGTGTTTTCAAAAATGTCAAGTAAAACACACAACAGAACATTGATAAGAGCAGGATTCCAAGGTATCGGTTGGACAGTAAACAGAGGGGCCCAGCCAAGCATATTCCCATGCTGCAAAGCCACTTGATATTAACACACATCTTGAAGCAATCAACACTGCCCTGGCAGGCCCTGGCGGATGGCACTTGTGAATATTTAGAAATGGGGCAGCCCTGTTTGGGAAAACTGTCAGATTGACTGTAGGTTAGGAGAGAGGGGGTAGAGACAGTAATAGAATAATCACGTGACCCCTGACATGAGGCAAGGGAGAGGCTCTCACAACCCGCCCTGCATCTCAGAGACTGCCAGCTGCATCCCACTGCTTCTTAGCAACTCAGATAGCAACGAGAAGCATTGCAGTGGACACAGAATGTATGCTGTTCTCCAATAGCAAGGTGGAGACACTGGTGTAGGGGCTGATGTGAGCAGGTCGCCTGAGAGTTTATACCACCAGGGCAAGAAGAAAAAGCCCGGAGGAAATTGTGCCCTGTGGGGACCTGGCTTGCCTGGGGGTGAGGAGCTGAGACAGGGGGCATTTTTGAAACTACAGAGGGCATCTTAATAGAAGACAGATGTGTGAGTGTTTTCTGAGTTCTGTACTGGATGTTTCCGCCTCCCCCTCAAATCCAAGAGAGTCTGATAGTGTGCTTCTGGTTAGCTTGATGATGCTATTTTTCTTTCACGGCAGAGGGAGGCTATTGGTGAAGACTGTTGCAGCATAGTTTTTCCAGTGTGAAATGCTGGGAAGGATGCTGAGAGTCTGCCTGGGATGTTTAGTGCGACACTTGCTTCTGCACCTGTATTCCTTTTGGATGACACTGTGTGATGTGTCACCTCTGAGGATGATTTTTGTCTGGGCACTGATTCTTACAGTTGGAAGAGGGAAGAAGTCTCCCTGAGAATGTGTTCAACTAAGGTCAGTTTAATTTACATCTTTCGAATCCAACTTCCATTCATATAAAAAAAGACAGACTTGTTCCTTTGAAGTTTTCTGATCTCTGCCCAGATTAGGCATGTAGGTGGCTTAGGGCAGGTCCCTTATTCTCTCAGGGCCTTCCCACATCCGTAAAATGGACCAGCAGAGCCAGTTGATTCCTTGGGCGATTCTGGCTCTAACCTACCTGTCAGTGGTTTGTTCTATATAGATAGTCCCTTCCACCAAATTATACACTCAACTGGTGACTTGTGTCTATAATTACATTAATAAAGCCCCAGAGGCTCAGACAAACACGGAGAACATCAACTGTGGGATCATTTGGAACCAAGAAGATAATGATACGCTGTACCAATGTGTTTTGTACACACACACTGACTGGAAATTTGTTCAAGTCTAAAGAGGGCTTATGGAACTCTGATTTGCTGCTAATGTTGACAAAGATGAATAATGCAATAATACTGAACATTTCTCACTGTGAAACAAATACTTTTGATGATTTTTAGCACTTTCATTATTTTTTTTCTATATATATCTGTCACTTCATAAATATCTGTTGAGCATCTCACATATGTCAGGCACTGGTGCAGGCCCTGGCAATGGTGCAGTGAACACGACTGCCAAAAATTCTTTTTTTAAAAACATTTTTATTTCTAAAGGTTATTGGGGAACAGGTGGTATTTGGTTACATGAGTAGTTCTTTAGTGGTGATTTGTGAGATTCGTGTGCACCCATCTCCCGAGCAGTATACCTGGTACCCAATTTGTGGTCTTTTATCCCTCACCACCTTCCCACCCTTTCCCACCGAGTTCCCCGTGTCCATTGTGTCATTCTTATGCCTTTGCATCCTCATAGCTTAGCTCCCACTTATAAGTGAGAACATACAATGTTTGGTTTTCCATTCTTCAGTTACCTCACTTGGAATAATAGTCTCCAATCCCATCTAAGTTTCTGCAAATTTCATTAATTCATTCCTTTTTATGGCTGAGTAGTATTCCATTGCATATATATACCACAGTTTCTTTATCCACTCATTGATTGATGGGTATTTGGGTTGGTTCTACATTTTTGCAGTTGCGAATTGTGCTGCTATGAACATGCGTGTGCAAGTATTTTTTTCGTATAATGACTTCTTTTCCTCTGGGTAGATACCCAGTAGTGGGATTGCTGGATCAAATGGTAAATCTACTTTTAGTTCTTTAAGGAATCTCCATACTGTTTTTCCATAGAGGTTGTACTAGTTTACATTCCCACCGGCAGTGTAGAAGTGTCCCTTTTCACTGCATCCATGCTAACATTATTTTTTGATTTTTTGATTATGGCCATTCTTGCAGGAGTAAGGTGGTATCACATTGTGGTTTTGGTTTGCATTTCCCCGATCATTAGTGATGATGAGCATTTTTTTTTATATGTTTGTTGGCCATTTGTATATCTTCCTTTGAGAATTGTCTATTCATGGACTGAAAAAAATTCTTGACTTTATGGTGCTTCTATCGAAGTGAGGAGATAGTTGTAAAATAAATGAGGTCACTTTAAATATTTATAACTGCTATAATGAAAACAAAACAGGAATGAAATGGAACCAAATGAAAAGGAATGACTAGGGTGAGGGAGGTAAACAATGAACAAGGGGATCAGAAAAGGCCTCTCTGAGGAGGTGACATTTGAACTGAATCTTAAATGGGGGAAAATATGCTTTTCTGGTTCCTTGTCTATTAGTCTCTCTCTCTTGGTCTCTCTGTGCCTAGGCTGGAGTGCAGTGGTGTGATCTCGGCTCACTGCAACCTCTGCCTCAGGTGTTCTAGTGATTCTCCTGCCTCAGCCTCCCGAGTAGCTGGGATTAGAGGCATGCACCACCCCACCCAGCTAATTTTTGTATTTTTAGTACAGACAGGTTTTACCATGTTGGCCAGGCTGGTTTCGAATTCCTGACCTCAGGTGATCCACCTGCCTTGGTCTGCCAAAGTGCTGGGATTACAGGCGTGAGCCACCAAGCCCGGCCTTATTATTCTCTTTCTTGACCTGTGTTGAGTAGGATCCGTGCAGATGTCCAATCATCAACAAAAACTTATAGGGGATTCATTATGTGCTAGGTTCTCTTTTCTGGGATACAGCTGAGAAAAAAACAGACAAAATCCCTGTTCAGAAGGAGCGTATGTTGCTGATATTCAAGGGCAATGCACCTGTAGAAATGTTTCCACGTAAGTTTCTCATAGCACCTTGTGGTTAATGTAGATAGGGAGGGTGAACCATTTGAGCTCTGGGATCCCCTCTGCCACTGACCAGCTGTGGGGCTTGAAAGTTAATCGAGAAATGCCTCTCGGGCTCAATTTTCTCATCCAAAAATGGGGGTGTTGGATTTAGATATTATCCAAGACTCCGCTCACTTTTAACACTTTGAGATGTAGTTTGGGGTGGGGAGGAAGTTTTTAGATGACTTAGGATTTACTGAAGTTTCTCAATCTTGGGCATGGGGACTTTCAGAACTGACTTCGTTTTGTGTTCCCGTAAAGTAACCATTTCTCAGCCACTGCTGACCCTGTGCCATTCTGCTTAGGTAACTCGTGTGCTCTTTTATGGTGGGACCAAGTAAATGTTTCCCCCAACCTGTCTATCAGGATGCCTGGTTACTGCATAAAAAGGCCAGCCACAGGCATTCAGACGGTTGAGATGTGTGGAGACAAGTCTCCCCAAACAGAAGCCGCACGTTTAATGAGTGGAATTAAAAATGCAAATGATGGGCATGATTGCAGGGTAATTACACGATTAGAGCAGCTTCATCAGACTGGGGCTCCAATGGCCTGTTTGTGCTTCTGTGTCCTGTTTAAGTCTAGGCAACTAGCCCGAGGCCTCCTCTTGCCTTGGGCTTGCCGCCTCGGGGGACCCAATCGCCACTCACCTCCTTTCCAGGGGGCCACGGGGACTAATGAGGGAGCCTTTGAGATTCACTGATAAAAAGTACTGTAAAAGTACAAAGTCCTATTCCGCTATTACGAAACCACATTTCGGCATCTGTTACCCACCAATGCCGGAATGAAACTCGACAGCCTCTCAGCCCATTTGTCAAGCGCCAGCAGGTCCCCTCCTGGCACAGGTGAAACAATAATAATTAGTGGTTGAATGTGTATCCCAGTTATTTTAATAAAGTCGATAAAACACAGTTGCGCTGGCCCCTTTGGCTTTTGCCAACTCTGGCGCAGAAACAGAAACCCTCTGGGGGATATTCACTGACTGGGGTGTGTGTGTGTGCAAGGTGCAAGCTCATAGCCCAAGCTCGCTATTTCCTTTGGAGTAAAGTGCTTGGTGGATGCGCTTGGGTTACCATGGTAACCAAGGGACAATGCTCTTGGGCGTGCAGACCCCATGTTTGCAGCATTATGCTTTAGAAGGGGGACTTAGAGATGCAGAACAAAACATAATAAAGAAGCGTCAAACCTAGTAAGACTTGGGACTGAAAGAAAGCCAGGGACTTCTGTTTAGACACCACAGCGTTCTCGCGTTGTGGGTCTGGGAACCGATCCAAGACTGAAGCTTGTTCATTATACCTCCCAGGCCGCAGGCATTCAGAAGGGCTCTCTGCATTGAAATTGCAACTTTTTCTCACCTGGCTGCAAAGAGAACCCACTGAGTTTAGAACAGTACGCGAAGGAAGAGATTTTCTCATTTAAACAACATCCTTTTGTACCTGGTCGATAAGATACAAGGAAAAGAAAAAACCCAGCTTGAATATTGAGCAAGTTGCCAAAATTGGGCCCAGAAGAACCCCATGGTGTCTTTATTGGGTAACATGAATATCATTCTTGGATATAGCCTCGTTAATCAAAGCCTCAAATGCACTAAGAGTCTGATGGAAAGGATGTAGCAAAAGGTGGCTTTCATCATTTACATAATTTTAAAAAGTGCTGGGTTCTCTTCCCTCGTCTGAGGCCTCTGGTTACGGGCAGCTGGCACCTGCTCCCTGGGTGCGTGCTGTTCTTCCCTACCAGTTCCCTTTTGTTATCTGGGGTGGCCCCACATTGCCTTGTTGTTGGGAAGAAAAAGGTAACACAACACAAAACTAAGAAAGAAATTCAGCTGAAGATTACATTAACTAAGGAAGCATATGGTGTAGAGAAAAAAGAATGGTAGTTAATAAACTTGATTTTGGCCAGGGGCAGTGTCTGTAATCCTAGGACTTAGGGAGGCTGAGGTAGGAGGATTGCTGGAGCCCAGAAGTTCAAGACCAGCCTGGGCAATGTAGTGAGACCCTGTTTCTAGAAAACATTAAAAAATTTTGGGACTATAGGCTTGCTGACATGAGCCTATAGTCCCAGCTATTTGGAGGCTGAGGAGGGAGGATTGCTTGAGTCAGGGAGGTTGAGGATGCAGTGAGCCAAGACTGCACCACTGCACTCCAGCCTGGGTGACAGGATGAGGCCCTGTCTCAAAAGCAAACCAACAAAAAGACCCCTGATGTCGAGTCCCCTGTGGTCGTTGACCTGGTGTGTGAACTTTGGCCAAGTCATGGAAACTCAGAGCCTTGACTTTGCTCCTCAAGTGAGGCTGGGAGGCTCTACTGCAAGATCTGTGAGGGTGAGGACAGTTTCCTACACATCTTTGCATCTCACACTGCTTACAGTCCCCACGTTTAAGTGTTTCTTGAATAGGTGAATTCCCAGGAGTGTATGCAGTTCTATTAGACTCTTGGCCCAGAGTTGCCAGTGAAAGTCACTTCACACTGTCTTGTTGTGGAGGCCAACGAATGGCATTCCCACGGACCTCTATCATCTGAAGCCGCTTCAGAGGCTCCTCAGGGCAGATGCAAATGGGACAACTTAAGTTTGACCTTAAAACCCATATTTAAATATT